>NC_000008.11:1873710-2175995 GCF_000001405.40 Homo sapiens | reverse complement strand
AAGCAAAAGAGATATTATTGATGAAATGCTCTTGTAGTATATCAGCTTGAGTTTGTCAGCTCAATAAATACTTTATGCCCCAGGGCCAAATAAAAAGAAAGAAATTTTCAAGTTTTTATCGACTATCAAACTCCAAACTGTCAGCTTCTCCTGATACAAATCTATTTTAATTTCAGTTTCTTATGAGTCACTTAGTTTCCCAACTACTGTACTTAAAGTAAAAAGGGGCTATAAGAGGGCACATTGGTGAAATACAATGTAAATAATTTAAAAACCTAAGTGATTACAAAGCCATGGGCCCCAGGTATGAAACACACTCACCATAATTTCTGCTCAGCTGATGACCTCCTGTTCATCTGTTGTCATTAGCAAAAAGCATACTTATGCTCTGGTTGACCAAGGGAAGTCAGTGAAGTCTTTGACGTGGGAACAGAGAATATGTGTGGCAGCCCTGAACCAGACCTGTGGTGTCTACCTTATGCTACTCTCACGTTAACCAAGCAAGATAAACACCTGCTTTCAGGATACATGGGTGCATCAGGATTACTTAATGCATACTTGACTATAGAAAACAGAAAGTGGGGCCAGGCACGGTGGCTCAGGCCTGTAATCCCAGCACTTTGGGAAGCTGAGGCGGGTGGATCACTTGAAGTCAGGAGTTCGAGACCAGCCTAGCCAACATGGTGAAACCCCATCTCTACTAAAAATAAAAAAAAATTAGCCAGACGTGGTAGTGGGCGCCTGTAGTCCCAGCTACTCAGGAGGCTGAGTCAGGTAAATCACTTGAACCTGGGAGGCAGAGACTGCAGTGAGATGAGATCGCAGCACTGCACTCTAGCCCTGGAGACAGAGTGAGACTCCATCTCAAAAGAAAAGAAAAGAGAAAACAGGAATCAGTCAATAGTCCATGGACAGGATGAATACATCCATGCGGTGCTGTCTTCAGCGACAGGAAATCTTGGAAGGAGAGTTGATCCTCGCTATTCATGGTGGCTGTGCTGTGTAAGTGACTCCCTGAGTAAACTGAGAAAGTACTGATCAAACCCAACCCTTTCAAAGTAGAGAAAACATGACACCTTGCAAAGTCAGAGACAGTCACCAGACGCCATATAAAGTATGTGCGTCCATTCAGCCAGCACAGCTAGTACTTGTCAAGTTCCAGGGACTGTACTGAGCCTCTATAAACAGAAGCAAACAATGTCTCCCCACTCTCGGGGATCTTTCAGTCTAGTGAGAATTTGATGTAAAGTAAAACTTCAAATGGGGATTTGAAATGGTTCCCTGTTAATTTAAGGTGTGATATAATAATATCCATTCAAAACGCAAGGGCTTTTTTGAGAAATATAGACAATATTGTCTGGGATTTTTTTTTTTTCTGCTAAGAATAGCTGACAGACCAGCAGCTGATGCCAACCAGGTGGGGGTACAAAATTCAGTCTTGAATTATCCATGATCTCTGGGAAATTTTCCCACAATTCTTTGACTTTTCTCAGGCTCTTCTCCTAGACAGCAATTCTCCCTCCAATTCAACTTCCCACACATTTGGAGTCTGAGCCACCCTGGGCCCCTCTTCCAGGAGGCCCTCCCGGGTGTCTTGGAGGGATGTACTTCTCCCCTCTCCACATCTGTGCCAGGCTCTGTCACGGTCAGCCGCGCACATGCAGGAAGCCACTCTGCTTCCTGGCGACACAAATGCACGGCCTTCCTCAGCAGCAGGGACGGGGCTTGTTTGTGGGCTTACGCCCCAGCAAACAAAACAATAGCTGGCTCGAGTCCGTGCTTCATGGATGTTTTTAAAGGAATTAAATGGTGATGATATTTAAAGCAGGGGTCCTCAACCCATCAGCCTGAGACGCGACCCTCTAGTTACAGGAAAACAGGCTCAGGGCTCCCACTGATTCTATGTGATGGTGAGTTGCATAATTATTTCAATATATGTTATAATGTAATAATAATAATAGAAATAAAGTGCCCAATACACGTAAATGTGCTTGAGTCAACCTGAAGCCATCCCCCTCACCCCGTCCGTGGAAAAATTGTCTTCCACGGGTTCCTGGTGCCAAAAAGGTTGGGGACCACTGATTTAAGGCATCAGGGAACTGTATGGTTAAGATGTGAGTTAAATTATCACCCAAAGGGCAAGTTAGTGATCATTTTACCAGTGGAAAGCTAAGGAGCCGGCTATGGTTCCCCTCTCACACTGTCATACAGGGGAGGGGAGCAGGGACACCAGCGGGTGGAAATCTCACCTCCCCACAAGGTTCAGCCATCCTCAGAGGCTTCCCCATGCCCCGCAGGGAGCCCAGGGCTCTGCCACACTGTCCTAGCTTCATCTGAGCCCAGCTTTGACCCCTCTCCTCCTCCATCTTTAGTGAGGCTGATGAAGCACCCCTGACATTCAGCCATTCGAGAGCCTTCCATGGATGCTTCGAGGAAGAGGACCGGGATCCGATCAGCTGTTCTCTTCCCATGTCTCTCACCATTCTTTCGTCCTACAAACTGATAGGGAACTCCTCCAAGACATATGTCCCTGAAGAGAAGGAAGAAGCCCTCATTACACACGATGAGATTTGGTTCCTCTCAGGTTATCTTGACCACCTGGGGATGTTCAGCCCCATAGCTAATTGCCTCAAGGAAGGCATTGAAGGGCAAGAGGAGACTTTTGAGGGTCTCCTAAAAGGCACAGTAAAACCCTTGACGGTAGCCCAGGAACCTGGGTTATCGCGAGCCTTCATTTTGACAGTACAGGCACACACGGGACCACAGACATGTCTGTGAGTCCTCTGGCTTTGGAATGACTTCATTTCCTTCATCTAACCACCTCACTCATGGACATCTACCTGACTGAGGACTCCTTAATCTGCTTAAATCCTGGCAAGCACAGGACCTCTGCGATAATTTTTTCCGGTCATGGACATAACTTACAAGCACTGCTGAATGTGGACCTACTTGGCTCCACACAATAATAAATGTAAGTCATAAAATCCAAAACATTTGCCAGTACAGGACCCAAATATAAATAGCTAACAGACACTATCCCGAAAGATCGTTTCAGTATAATTTTATGACACTGCAAGCAGGGAAGTCATTACTTTACCCTAAATTCTTTTAGAGAAAGTGAGACCTCCTCCCAAGAGGAACATGAATTTGGTCCCAATAAATTTTGACTCAAAGTATAATTGCATTTTGTGACTTGATCTCACCTGCAAATCCAACCTCACATGATTGAAAAGATTGACTAAGACTGAAGACTGTGAAACTTGAGTAAGAATTTAGGCACGCCATAGGCAGCCTGTCATCTCTCAGAGAAGAAATTAAGGATTCCAGTGACTTCTGAGGTGACGGAGACAGTGACAGGCCACAGCTGTCTCTCTCCCACCTCTAAACTTCTCCTTCTCCTTAAAATAACGAGTGAGTGCTATGACTGTCATCTAAGACCACTCTTAAGAAGCAGAAGCGGCCAGGCACAGCGGTTCACGCCTGTAATCCCAGCACTTGGGGAGGCCGAGGTCAAGAGATTGAGACCACACACACCTGTAGTCCCAGCTACTCAGGAGGCTGAGGCAGGAGAATCGCTTGAAACCAGGAGGCAGAGGTTGCAGCGAGCAGAGACCTCGCCACTCTAGCCTGGACGACAGAGCGAGACTCCATCTCAAAAAAAAAAAAAAACGAAGCAGCAACATTACATTAATGCAGGTACGGTGATCCTAATTAGCTCTCACTGTATCATTTAATCCACATGATAGTTTACATATTATACTTCATGTTTGTGTGATTTTCTCATTTGACTTTTTCATACATCCAATGAAACACAGAGCTACATATGGGTATTCCCTTCTCATGACTGACAAATGTGATATAAAATTATTTAGGATTTGCTCAAATTCACAGGACTAGCTGGTGATGAGGCTGTGATGAGAAGACTGGGACCCACATTCTTTCCCCACGTCCTCTCCATTACCCACTAGGGAGCAGTGGGTCAGGAGGTCTCAGCGAGGTGTGAAAAATAACCCTCTTATTACAAGGACTATTAGGCACCCAAGCGCATGTCTATGAGAAACAGTGTAACTGGATCATTTGGAGATTTCTTTTTCAAGATGATTCAATTATTATTTTCATTAACAGTGAAGTAGGAGGTGGAACTTGACTCCAGAGGTGGGGCTTGGACAATGGACCACATTGAGGACTAGCTAAAACACGGCCCCTGGGGCAAAAGCAGCTTTTGATCAGACACGCCCGCCAGTGTGCCATGTCAGTTTAACGAGGAGGCTGTGCCTGAGTGAGGCAGGGAGTGTGTAGAGAAGAAGCGTTCAATTTTGCTGTGAAACTAAACCTACTCTATAAATAAAGTATTTTAAAATAAATAACACACGCATGGAAAGTGAACAAGCTATATATATATATATATATATATATACAGGCACACACATATATATATATAATATATATACAAAACTCTACGAATTATTGCCAAATGAACACAGTAATGTAGCCACCATCCCCATCAGGAACCCAACCTCTGGGAAGCTCTCAAGGGCTGTCTTTGCTGAGACCTCACAGTGTCCTTTCTCCGTGCTATCTGCCTCCACGTCCAGCTCTGATCCTGGGAAATGGGGAAGGTGTGTAGACCAGGGCAGCCAAGGTCAGCAACAGGCATCCAGGAGGAAACAGTTTCAAGCTAAGGAGGCCAGAACAATGTCACCCCCTGAAGGAAAAGGCTCTCCCATAACAAGAGCCTCAGGCACGTTGGTAGACCAAAAAAAAAAAGCTATTTACGAGCAGGGAGGATAATTCTAGCGCCCCACACACCATTCCACAGAGGCGGCTGCAATCATAGAACACGGCAATTTTTCTAGGTGACGGGGGACTTCCATGACCTTAAGTCAGACTCGATATTCAAATTGGTATTTACCAATTATAATGCTGTAACATATAATACTAAATGAAAAATTATAACATATGTATGACTCTAGAGAGACCCAAATCCAGGTAGCCTCATTAATCTGCCGAATGAGGGGAGGGCGTGATCTCCATGGTCTGCAGTGTTATCCCAAAAGCGCCTGTGTTTTCATGAAGTTTTGAAAAAATCCACGTGGCAAAGCTCAGTCAGGTATCTCACTGCCACTCTGGTATTAAACGCACATTTGTTTATCAGCAGGCAGGAGCCTTTAATCCCCCTTCATGGCCAGAAGCAATCCCAGCTGACATCTAATTAAAATGTTCAGTTCTAAACCTGTTGAGGTTACTGTCTTAGATGGTTCAAGTTCCTCGCCTGCCCCATCAGCCACGTGTGTAGAAAAGCATGCCTGTGCAGAGCCTGCCATTGCCCTTTGGAAGAAGGGAGAACTGAGACCAGCAGAGGCAGCCCACACTCGTGGTTGGAGAGACATCCTTGGATTCCACGCAGCAGAGTTAGGAACATGCACTGCCCCACTCAGGAGAGCGTGGCTTGGGGATTAAGTGCCCCCAGCCCAGTGGCTACACAGGGAGTTCCTTCCTCAGGAAACCCCCTTCCACTCCCTGGAAACATCGGAAGAGATAACGCCAAGGTCTCTTGGCTTCTCAGGCCAAGACTCTGTAACCAGTTAGTAAGGACCCAGCATCTGAGTCTGATCTGGTTTTCCGGTAGGATGAGTCCATAGCAACAGAGGTCAGCTTCAGCTAACGTGGTGTGGGGCTATAGATACCCCGGTAAGACCACCTTTGTTTCAAGAACAAGCAGCTCTTGTTAAGGAATCCCCTGTGCCTTCCCTCCTACGCCAGCCACCTCCCCACAGCCCCTGCAAGACACCTGCAGAGTTTCTTGCTCGGAAAACCTAACCCCGCTGACATCATCACTATCACCCCTGTGCTCTGGGGTTAAACAACACGGCAGCAGGATGACCTGACCTCCTCACCACCAGGAGATTCAGGCTGCCCGAGTAACAAGTGCCCCAGTCAGATGCAGGGTAGGTCATACACGCAGAAAGACAACTTTCCACCTGCAGCTGAGCTCACCTGGAACCAGCCCACGGCAGACACTCCATTCGCATTGGCCGTCCAAGTTTTAGGTGGGAATTTAGACAGTTTCCAAAATGTTTGAAATAGTTCTGTTATGCTTCCATGGCAGCCTTTGAAAACTCTTCTCTGTATCACTAAGTAAATTACCTGTTACCTTGGCCTTATTTTAACAAGCCAAAGGATAGATTGAGAGAAGCAAAGAAATCTGTCAACGTTTTCATCAACTTGTCACAAATTCCCTCTGTTAGTCAGAATTATATCAAAGAAACTAGAGACCCTAGTTTCTCTATGGTTAGGATTATAATTGAATTCTCTAAATCACCATGTTTATTACTCAAAATTGTTTCAGTTTAAATCCAAGAAGAGAAGAATGTGTTCATGGTAACATATTACAGATCTAATATATGAGAGCAGTGATTTCAGACAATGCTGAGGGGTAACGAAGAGCATAAAATGAGTATTCAGTGACTTAGTGGGGGCCTGCCAGAGCCTCCTCCCATATTCATATTTGATACATTTATGAGAATAAAAAATTATGCTGTTCAAGTGCTACCAAGTATTTAGGCATATGTCAAGAGAGGCACAATTATCTTGCTTCCTGGGGTAATGTGACAGTGTCATGGTCCCATTTCATAAAGGATAGAGGTAGCCTGATTGACAAGGTGATTTTCATGTTACCACGAGGCAGGAAACCCCAGCGCCGGGCTGTAACTTCTGTCCTCAGAGCCACCAAGCAAAAGTGTTGTGCGGTGATGCCCGCTGCCAGAACAGACATGATTGCGTGGAAATTGAGGTCGCATCTGCTGAAATTGCCAGTGGATGTTCAACCTGCGAGCAGTGTCATTAGAGCAGGAAGAAGGCATGAAAGCTGGAAAGCCAATTCATGCTCGGCTTGGGTACACAGTCTGACCGGGAAAAGCTCACTGGCACCGCAAGTCCACTCAGCCCTTCATCAAAGGAGAACACGGAATGTTCGTCGCCAGATAAAATCGTTGTTCATTTGCAGGTTTTGGTTTTGAAAATTCATGTTGGTTAGCATTGTATCATTGAGGTTGGCACTGATTGACCCGATGTCCTAGGCACAAGGCCTGCTGATTCCCCAGGAGTCCTGTGAGGCAGGGGAGAAAAGAGTCTTCCTTCCCATCATAGAGTGAGCAATCAGCGTCTCAGAGATGCTAAGTGATTTTTTCAACGTGCAAGACACCAATCGAATGTGCTGAAGTGGCAACAAGGAGATCCTGGCCACCCCAGGGCAAGTGTGTGCTGAGACTTTCCCTTGGAGCTGCCTGCAGCCATGCACTGGGGGGTGCTCACTGGAGAAAGAGAGGCTCACACAGACACGGGACTGCTGGGTGCAGGGTCTGAGCTGACCTCGGAAGGCAGAAGCATTCCCTCTGAAAACTGGCACAAGACAGGGATGACCTCTCTCACCACTCCTATTCAACATAGTGTTGGAAGTTCTGGCCAGGGCAATCAGGCAGGAGAAAGAAATAAAGGATATTCAATTAGGAAAAGAGGAAGTCAGATTGTCCCTGTTTGCAGATGACATAATTGTATATTTAGAAAACCCCATCATCTCTGCCCAAAATCTCCTTAAGCTGATAAGCATCTTCAGCAAAGTCTCAGGATACAAAATCAATGTGCAAAAATCACAAACATTCTTATACACCAATAACAGACAAACACGGAGCCAAATCATGAGTGAACTACCATTGACAATTGCTTCAAAGAGAATAAAATACCTAGGAATCCAACTTACAAGGGATGTGAAGGACCTCTTCAAGGAGAACTACAAACCACTGCTCAATGAAATAAAAGAGGACACAAACAAATGGAAGAACATTCCATGCTCATGGATAGGAAGAATCAATACCATGAAAGAAATGGCCATACTGCCCAAGGTAATTTATAGATTCAACGCCATTCCCATCAAGCTACCAAAGACTTTCTTCACAGAATTGGAAAAAACTACCCTAAAGTTCATACAGAACCAAAAAAGAGCCAGCATCGCCAAGTCAATCCTAAGCTAAAAGAACAAAGCTGGAGGCATCACGCTACCTGACTTCAAACTATTCTACAAGGCTACAGGAACCAAAACAGCATGGTACTGGTACCAAAACAGAGATATAGACCAATGGAACAGAACAGAGCCCTCAGAAATAATACCACACATCTACAACCATCTGATCTTTGACAAACCTGATAAAAACAAGAAATGGGGAAAGGATTCCCTATGTAATAAATGGTGTTGGGAAAACTGGCCAGCCATATGTAGAAAGCTGAAACTGGATCCCTTCCTTACACCTTATACTAAAATTAATTCAAGATGGATTAAAGACTTAAACGTTAGACCTAAAACCATAAAAACCCTAGAAGAAAACCTAGGCATTACCATTCAGGACATAGCCATGGGCAAGCACTTCATGTCTAAAACACCAAAAGTAATGGCAACAGAAGCCAAAATTGACAAATGGGATCTAATTAAACTAAAGAGCTTCTGCACAGCAAAAGAAACTACCATCAGAGTGAACAGGCAACCTATAGTATGGGAGAAAATTTTTGCAATCTACTCATCTGACAAAGGGCCAATATCCAGAATCTACAAAGAACTCAAACAAATTTACAAGAAAAAAACAAATAACCCCATCAAAAACTGGGCAAAGGATATGAACAGATACTTCTCAAAAGAAGACATTTATGCAGCCAAGACACATGAAAAAATGCTCATCATCACTGGCCATCAGAGAAATGCAAATCAAAACCACAATGAGATACCATCCCACACCAGTTAGAATGGCCATCATTAAAAAGTCAGGAAACAACAGGTGCTGGAGGGGATGTGGAGAAATAGGAACACTTTTACACTGTTGGTGAGACTGTAAACTAGTTTAACCATTGTGGAAGACAGTGTGGCGATTCCTCAGGGATCTAGAACTAGAAATACCATTTGACCCAGCCATCCCATTACTGGGTATATACCCAAAAGATTATAAGTCATGCTGCTATAAAGACACATGCACACGTATGTTTACTGCGGCACTATTCACAACAGCAAAGACTTGGAACGAACCCAAATGTCCATCAATGATAGACTGGATTAAGAAAATGTGGCATATATACACCATGGAATACTATGCAGCCATAAAAAATGATGAATTCATATCCTTTGTAGGGACATGGATGGAGCTGGAAACCATCATTCTCAGCAAACTATCGCAAGGAGAAAAAACCAAACACCGCATGTTCTCACTCATAGGTGGGAATTGAACAATGAGAACATTTGGACACAGGAAGGGGAACATCACACACCGGAGCCTGTTGTGGGGTGGGGGGAGTGGGGAGGGACAGCATTAGGAGATATACCTGATGTAAATGACGAGTTAATGGGTGCAGCACACCAACATGGCACATGTATACATATGTAACAAACCTGCACGTTGTGCACAGGTACCCTAGAACTTAAAGTATAATAAAAAAATTAAATCAAATTAAAATTAAATTAAAAAATAAAATAAAAGGGAAGACTTGAAAAAAAAAAGAAAGAAAATTAAATGACTTATTATGTCTAGTGCCTGGTACATTTCTAGTGGTCATAAGTTCCTTTCATTCTGAAATGTGTGAAACAACAAGTTGATGAAAGGAAAAGAAACTTACCAATAAACAAAGGAAAAAAAAATCTGAGCCTTGAGCAGTTTCAACTAACCAGAGACTTCTTTTGTCCCATCTTTAAGGTAAGGTGAAAATAAAAAGACCAGGTGGGTCTGTTTTCAGACTCACTGGTGACATGTAAGCTTCATGTTTGCACAGCTGTAATTTCTCATTCATGACGCTGGTGCTAAGCTGTTCCCACCTACACGAAAATACCTTTCAGTCTGTTCAGCAAGCCCAATGTCCCCACCAACAGCCTTCACAGCTCCTCAAGCCCATCTTAGGGGGATTGGCCCAAGCAGGCCTTGTCTGTTTACCTCCAAACGAGGATTACCCTGAAATTGAAAACACCAGGAAGCACGGCGGAACCTACAAAGCCCATTAATAAATTAAAGCATGAGAGAGAGGGAGAGCAACCTTGGTCTGAAGTGAAAGGTGGTGCCAGGGCACCTACCCTCTTCAGCCTCTGAAAGCCTCCGTGCTAAACTTCTCTGTGTGGCACCAATAAAGCAATCAGGCATCTCAGGACTTCAGCAACAGCACACAATGAATTAACAACCTGAACATCGGGCCATCTGCAGACAGGACAGGAAAATATAATGCTGAGGCCAGGTCTCCTAGAGATGTCTGAGTATTTTATCATAAACATCCAAACTTATGTCTTTCTTTCTCTAATTAACTATGACAGCTCAATTTCTGAGATGTCTGAGAGAGACCAAGTCCAAGGGCGATATCACAGGAATGGAAAATCCAACGAGAGACTGCAATATAAAATAAAAGGCATAAATGAGATACTTTGAATTCAGTTAATAAAAATTGTATTTCTGAAACATGAGTCTTAAACTGTAACATTAAATACAAACTGATTTACTTATGCAAATGATGGGTGAGCATTTTTGAGCAGGCATGCACATATGACTATAAGTAAATTTAAAAATAAAAATAATATTATGTCACTTTTTTCTACAGAACAAACAAGTGTGAATTTTCTTTGGCATTACATTGAAAAGAACATTGGCCTTCCAGCTAGATTCAAGTCTTCCAACGATATCTCTTCGTTTGGATGTGGCGCGTCACAGACATCACCTATGGGCATGCGAGTCTGCTGCTTGGGGAGCTTCCGGCTTCTACCCAGGGTGCAGAAAGCTGGAAGGAACATTGCTGCTTCTCAAACAAAAAGAATAAAGCTGGAAAACTATAAAATTACAACTTAATCAGAGGAGAGTTGAGGTTTCAGGGCAACCCACTAGCCCAAATTCTAAGGAAAGACAGGCCCCTACAAGAGAGACGACACGCACACCGGCTAAACATCAAGGGAAGGGAAGAGGGGCACAGAAAGGCCTGCCCTGCTTGTGGAGTGTTTTGAAGAGGAAAAGCTCCGAGAGGACAGTGACAGCAAATCTCTCCATCTCTCCGAGTTGGAAGATTGCACCCTCTGAAAGAGGAAAGGAGAAAGATGCCAAGTCTTCCATTCCAAGCACTTTTATTTTGTGCTTAGAAGATGCCGGATACCATTACCCAATTGCTCCGTTTCACAAATCTTATGCAGATTCAATTTAAAAACTGGTAGGGATGGTGCATAAACTGCTTAAAGACAGAAATAGCAGCAGATGAGGATGAGAACATGGCAAGCTGGAACCCAGCTCTTTTGACTTTGTCTAAGTCACCCAGAAGGACCATTGCTTTGCACAGTGAAGATGGATGGACCCTAAAGAGCAGGATGAGGAGGTCCGTGGCCTTCCACTGCATATGCCGGAAAGACTTTCTGTAAAGTAGTGGCACGATGAAAGCGATTACTGACGAGAGGAGACGCATTCTCAGTCGTACTCAGTAGACACAAGGGCCGAGGAGCAGGCGTGCCGCTGGAGTCAGCCGTGCGTGTTGAGAGGCGCACAGACAGCGGCTGAGGGGGTCCATGGCCAGGGCATCAGCCACAGCTCAGCAGAAGCGAGGAGGGCGCTTGATAACTTAGCTCCTCTCTTTCACTGCCCTCCACGTGGAAAATGATTTCATCTTTCTAAAACTGGGCGATCGAGAATGTCTAGCTGTCTTTCGTCCTATCCTTAAAGAACCTCACAATCTAATTTGGAGAACATTTCATATTGTAAGTGTATTTCTTATAGCATACAGCATGGTGTAGTCCACAGGAGGGGCTCAATCCATTTTTTTAGCTGGATTCAAAAAAAAAAAAACTTCATTTTCTCCATCAACCTAGCTTCCCAGCATACTACTTCACTATTTCATTGCAAAAATAGGCTACAAATATGAAAGGAAGTGGTACAATTGAGAATATTTTTTAAAAATGTTAATAGGTAATTTATTGTTATTTCTGTAAATAACCGATGTGATGCCGTTCAAATGTGGCTGAAATGTCGGCCTACGAGTCACAGGGTGTGATTTGTGAGGCTACAATCTGTCCCACCTATGAATCATGCAGCGTGACTTTTCTTGCACACTGTCCTCCGCTCCATGCTCCAAAAATGAGCATAAATCTCAAAGGAGTGGACCCATTTAAGCAAGCGTATTGTGAATGAACTTAAATATATGCATATTCATGATGGAAAACAATAAACACAAGAGAAAAGATAAACATATGGATAAAAGATGCAGAGGGGCCAGGCACAGTGGCTCACGCCTGGCACTTTGGGAGGCCGAGGTGGGCAGATCACTTGAGGTCAGGAGTTCGAGACCAGCCTAGCCAACATGGTGAAACCCCATCTCTACTAAAAATACAAAATAAAAAATCAGCAGGATGTGGTGGCGAGCGCCTGTAATCCCAGCTACTCGGGCAGCTGAGGCACAAGAATTGCTTGAACCCGGGAGGCGGAGGTTGCAGTGAGCCAAGATCGCACCAGTGCACTCCAGCCTGGGTGACAGAGCAAGACTCTGTCTCAAGAAAAGAAAACAAAACAAAACAAAATGCAGAGGCAGTCGTCTTCACTCCTGGAGTCACGATGCCCGTGGCTAACTTGGTATAGACATGTTTCTAACAATAGTTTTATTGTTAGACTGGTCAACTCAAAACAACCTGGTATGTATCCATCCATAATTTCCTCCATATTAATATAAATACATATGAATGTGCTTCCATATATGCATGCATATACTTTTATATAACATTTGTATAAAGTGTTGTGGTCAATATTTGCTTTACAAAAAATGAGGTCTATTCATCTTATTTACTCAACAGCACTGTGTGGAAACCTCACTGAATTAATTGGCATAAATCAAATACATGTTTTAAGGCTGCATAGTATCATAAGATGTCTTTACACTTACTGATGAGCTTTCATTGTCTCCAGGAGTTCTTTGGGTCACTATGAACAATGTTACTAGAACATCCTTGTTCATACAGACTTTTATGGTACTGGTGTTTCTGTGGGATAGTGTCAGAAGTGGGTTGCTAGGTGACAGGGCATAGGTATATTTAATTTGCATAGAATTTGACATCCTATTCTAAAAAAAACATGTTGTAACAGTTTCTATTTCCGGCAACACTGTATCTGTGCCTTCTTTTCCACATAGCCCTGCTTGGCAGTATAAGTGTTACTGCTGTTTAAAATTTTTACCAGTGTGATGGATACCAGTGATACCTCATTGCTATTTTAATTGGGACTTTCCAGTCTCCTTGTAGTTTTAAATGTTGATTCCTGTGTTCAATGGTCATTTTCATTGCTCTTCTATGACCTGCTAAGTCATAAACTTTGCTTATTTTTCTATTTATTTGTCTTTTTCTTTTAATTTGTAAGAACACTGTGTATATGACATAAATTCACAAGTATATTTTTCCATATCACTTGTCTGTTGACTTTACTGGAATTTTTGTCACCTTTCCATATAACTTTGAGCATCTGGTCTTGACTAAAACAGTATCTCGAATCTCTAAGTAGAGTCGTTGGGGAATTTATTTACATCTTAGGAGCGCAAAGTTGGATGATATAATCTTCATAAAAGATTATCATCTTTTTATTTTATGAATGACACTCTTATATTTATTCAGTTCAGTGTTTGGTTACTTGTTTTTCCATAATTTACCGATCCAGCATTTAAAATAAAAGCTGGGACTTTGACAAAACCTACCTCTCAGCACACGGTAGCCCTCCCTCACCCACTGTGTCTCTGGGCTTGAAGTGGCCATCACACTGCACTCTTGCTCAGCCTCCTTCCTTTCCTCTGTCTTTGTGTAGTTGCATCTTTTTCCGTTGTCACAGTGCAGCCTCAACCTCCAAGGTTCAGGTAAGCCTCCCACCTCAGCCTCCTGAGTAGCTGGGACTACAGGTGCACAAACCACTGTGGGCTAATTTTTGGTTTTTATGGGGTTTTTTGTTTTGTGGTAGAGACAAGGTTTCACCATGTTGCTCAGGCTGGTCTCAAACTCCTTGGTCCAAGCAATCCTCCCACCTCAGCCTCTCAAAGTGCTGGGATGACAGCCATAAGCCACCGCATCTGGCTGAAATTCATATGTTGACCCCCTAATTGGAGCCCTGATCCAATGGAGCTGCTGTACTATTCAGAAGAGGAGGAGACGCCAGGGTTGGGCACCAGGAGGCCCACGTGAGGATACTGAGAGAGGGCGGCCATATGCACACCCAGGAGAGAGGCCTCAGGAGAAACCAGCCCAGCCACACCTTGCTCTGGGACTTCCAGCCTCTAGAACTGTGAGGAAATAAATATCAGTTGTTTAAGCCGCCCACTGTGTATTTGATTATGAGAGCCTTAGCAGACTAATACACCTGAAAGTAAAATATGCTCTTACATATTAATACATATTAGCACCTAGGATTTGCTACTGAGGTTATATGGTCAGGTAGCATGTGAGATCAATCTTTGCGGACTGGAGTGCCTTCTCCTAACGTCACAGGGGAATGTGGCACTGATCCTACATCCCTGCAGGTCGTTCACGCAGCTGGGAGTCCTCTCCTGAGGCCATGGGCTTTATTCGGTGGCTCACAATTTACTTCACTGATCAATTTGTTTATTCTCCCACCCAGGCAATATCGACCTGATTGTGCTGGCTCTGTAGTGTGTTTTTGTCAGTCACAATCCCCCTCCCTACTTCAGCTACTGACATTTTAACTCTTTCTCAGCAATTTTGGATTACTGATTTTTCAAATCCAGAAAGTTTTGATGGGATTTAATTTTGAACTGAATGAAGCATACGGGGATGGCAGAAGAAGGCACTGCACAGTGTCTTCTCTTGCTAGAATCTGGAATATCTTTCTATTCTGTCAGAACCTTTTGCTGTGTTTTTCAAAAAGTTTTAAATTTTCTGTATGAAGGCCAGGCTGTTCCTGTCCTTCTATCAACTAGACCTGATTGCTGGTATGAGTGTAAGTGGACCGGGGTCTTTCCCCTTTTCATCTCTAGATGCTTAGTGAGTTTAAAGAAATGCTACGGACTTTTGTATATTTATTTTGAACGTAACCAGCATAAGACATATTTTTAATTCTAGTTTCCTTTAACTAGAATCTCTTGAGTATTCCCCATCAGCCATTATAAAATCAGCAAAGATAGAGAGTGTAATGTCTTTTGCCTCATATTAATTTGGTTTGATTCACTTTATTGTCTTACTACTATTTTTAAAACTTCTTGTATAATAATATTAATCACAAAATGATCCATCTAATTCCAGATTTTAATTGACACTTTTCGAGTGTTTTGCTGCTTAGATGATATTGTTTGTTCTGACAGTATTTTCTGCCCTATCTGTCTTACCTTCTTGTATTCCTAATACACAGAGAGGTGTTTTAGGACTGCCTGCTATATTCTACCAAGTGCAGTTTTAGCATATAATGGTATGGTTATTTGATTTTTTTCTCTTATTAATGTGTGCACTACATCAACAGATCTCCTGAAAATAAACCTCCTTTTGACTCTTGAAATAAGCTGCAACAGGCCCTAGTGTATGTCTTTAATATTGTATTATATTCTATATACATACATTTTTATTCAGAATTTTGCATCTCTCAACTGAAAATCAATCAAGTAGACTATAAAGATTTGATATTAAAGTTGCATGGTACTTTTAACACAAATTGTTCTACATGATATAGATTAGTTTAAACAATGTTCCATTTATCTTTTCTTTAAAGCAAGTTAGATATTAGTGGCAAAACCCCTGATTCTGGTGACTTTTAGAATAACAAACCTTAGACCACCTTGCTAAGCTCTAAAATGGTAAGTGGTACGTTCAAGACCTCCACATCTTCATTGTTAAGGAGCATGTCAAAATTCTTACCGTTGTTGTTTCAGTTTTGGTTTTGTCAGCAAACTCCTTGAGATGTGAGAAAATAAAACTCTTTTTAAGCAATGGTAAGTTTTGTTACCTAGTTACTTATGGGCAGGCATATCGTAACTGATATGGAATTTGGTAACAAGAAGAGACGTGCTCCAAGAAACAGACCCTAAATTGTGGAAACAGGTGCCAGCGTGTGGCTCAGTGGAAAAGGCAGGGCAGCAGGTGTCAAAGAGAGGAACAGCCCCCCCATTCCTTCTCGAAGGAAAGAGGGATGCTTCCTATACCTTCTAGAAGGAAAGACAGATGCCTCAGGCCCCGGCTCTTTGTGCTTCTACCACTGTGAGGGCAGGAGGTAGGCATGGCATGAACCTCTCTTTTGAACCTGTCACCTACCATTTTTAATGTAAAAAATCGCCTTCTACTCATTATGAAGTCATGGAGCAGAACTTTGTAACATTTTCCTGTGATATTTACACAGAAATCTGTAATATATGTGCATCTTGTATTGCACATGGCATCTTTTTAATTTATAAAGCATTTTCACGCATCCAGCTGCACATGAGCCTCTGGGAAGTCCATGAGCTGCCCCATTACACACAACACTCTACAAAGATGGGAAGGAAATGGCACTGGCAGGTTGCACCATTTGTCAGAAGCAGAAATGGAGTCTGAACCACATGCTTTGATCTCCAAGTCCAGTCACAGGGCCACTCACTATGGCTACCTCAATCAACGTTACTAAAAAACTCTTCACTCGCCACAACCACCTCAGTTGATATTGCCTTGCACATACGACTTACAGCAAACCAGGGAGGCCCTTCCCAAGCACAGCATTCGTGCAGCACCGTGGGTATGTGACTGGGTATGAGTGGGCCCTGGGAAAAACAAACACAGCCCCCAGATGCAAACTGTAGCCTCAGTTATGAATTATAGGAGCTCTCATTTCAGAGGCATTCTACAAACACAAACAAATAAATGCATGACAAGACTAAGACAATTATATATATGTTATATACATTTATATGTATAAATATATATTCAAATATATATACGAAATATAATAAAGCAATAAATGTGGCTATGATCAAGTATTTCCTGTTACTCTTCGAATCAAGGCTGTCAGACTTAGAGAAACCAACCATATAAAACTGTAGCAATTTCTCAGTAAATTTTAACTATTATTGGCCATGACAATGAGCCAGTCTTGTGCTAAGCCCTCTCTGTGCCCTGTTAATTTTGCCACTAATTGCATTGTGTGGGCTTTTATGTACCTTTCCATTGTGTATATTTTTAAATTATCCTTCCATGAGTACTTTATGCTAGCAAAATCATGAAAAAAAAATGCGTTGTTAAAAAAAATACACGGGGTCTGTATCTAGGCTAAGCCCAGAATACCAGGGCGTGAATCTGCAACCCCAGGGAGATAGATGGAGTCTGACTCCAGGGAGATAGATGGAGTGCTGTAATCCCAGCACTTTGGGAGGCCGAGGCGGGCAGATAACCTGAGGTCAGGAGTTCGAGACCAGCCTGGCCAACTTGGCAAAACCCTGTCTCTACTAAAAATACAAAAATGAGCATGGTGTGGTGGCGGGCACCTGTAATCCCAGCGACTCAGGCGACTGAGGCAGGAGTATCGCTTAAACCCAGGAGACGGAGGTTACCGTGAGCCAAAATCTTGCCACTGCACTTCAGCCTGGGCAACAGAGCGAGAATCTGTCAGGAAGGGAAGGGAAAGGGAGGGGAGGGGGAAAAAAGAGGCAAGAGAATGTTATGTACCAACTTCAAGCAAGACAGTGGTAAACTCTGGAGTGGTAGACAGGGAAAGGATGGGCGTCCAGGTTTAACGACCTCGAATAGTTAAGTGTGTACACACATGCCTGTGCGTTTCCCTGTCACATGTTTTTCTGAAGTGTTCTAAGTGTTTTTAAATTTTTAATTATAAAACTACAAAACTAAAATAGATCAATGCATAGCAAACACGGATAGGAGAGAAGGAGAAATGGAGGGAAGAAAAAACAAACAGAAGAGAGTACCCCAGCAAAAATTTCCAAAATTATCCTTTAGAATTTACAAAGTGGCACAGTTGTTCTTGATTTGGTTATATACAGACAGAACAAGTTCATCTGGGTTGATAAATTATAATATACGCAGCAGTGTTTGCTTTAATATGTACCAGGGCTGATTTACAGGTTATTTTTAACTAGATATTTCCTCGGATGTCTCTAGTCCTGCCAGGTGGGCTAATAAGAACGAATCTAGCAGAGGCTCTGATGTGATTTGCTTCGATTTCTTTAACTTTAGGCAATATTGATGAAGCACCTGTCGTGGGCCAGGCAGGCTCTCAGAGCAAAGGTGCAGCCGTGAAGAACACAGGTGTTCTGCCCTCATGGAGCCGCGGCGCATAAATACTAAGGATTCTGTGTGTTAATTGCCTGCATGTTTGCAATAGTGCTGTAAGCTTACTGGAAAACAGAGTTAGTGAGTGTAAACATTTCTTCTATGACCTTGTTCACGTTCACTCTTTTGCTCAGTAAATCCTATGCTCACAAATAATTCTAAACAAAATTTACCTTGGTGCCAAACTAAGTTATCTCACATTTCACATTAAAGATCCCAAAGAAAGTAAGATTGTACCAGCATTGTGCATATCAGTTAATAACGTGAACTCTTGCTGTAATGAATGCAGTGTCCACCCACTGACGTATTGCTTGATTCCAATCCCTAGTGAGCAGCTATTCTGTGCACTGGTAGCACTAAGAGGCAGAGGAGCCCAGGGCTGGGTGGTCTCCAATGCTCAGGGGATGAGCGATGGAAGGAATGAATGGTGTCGCTGCTTGGATACAGGCAGGAAGTATTTTTTCAAAATGCTGTAAAGCAGCAATGGTGTACATATGGAACATTTTTTAAAAGCTTGCTTATGGCCAGGCGCAGTAGCTAACACCTGTAATCCCAGCACCTTGGGAGGTCGAGGCCAGCAGATGGCTTCAGCCCAGGAGAGACCAGCCTGGGAAACATAGTGAAACCCTATCTTTACCAAAAATACAAGAACTAGCCGGGCATGGTGGTGTGTGCCTGTAATCCCAGCTACTCTGGAGGCTGAGGCATGAGGATGGCTTGAGCCTGGGAGGCAGAGGTTGCAGGGAGCCCAGACTGAGCCTCTGCACTCCAGCCTGGGCGACAGAGGGAGACTCTGTCTCAAAATAAATAAATAAATATAAAAATAAAAGCCTCCTTGTACTCAGGTAGCCTAGTTGACAGATGAATAGAAGGACTTGGGTTTTTTCTTTTTGTTGCAATCTTTAAAAGAAAAACACGGAAATACATACCTGCAAGTTTTCCTCTGTTTGGGCAAAAGAACTGAAGCCATGCTGAAAACGTCACTCTGTGACAGCAAACGGCAGCCTGGAAGTGGGGTTGGAAGGTTCCCACTTCTGGAGCAGGCTCTGCCCATTTGATGGAGCAGGCTGTGCTGATGCAGGCCCCACCCACCTGGTGGAGCTTGTCACGCCCACCCAACAGAGGGCCACGCCCACCCGCTGAAGCAAGTCCCTAGGTTCCCTGTCCCTCTGGCTGGCTGCAGCCTGCCTTAGGCTACCACAACCAGCATACGATCCCTTTCCCAGCAAGAAGGTCTGTTCTGGGCCCAGGCTCCCAGAAGCTTTGAGGTCTCTGGTGCCAGAGCTCCAGAAGATTTAGTCTTATTTTGCTCCTAGGTCTACACCCTGTTGCTGTCCCCACTGTCCTGACATCCAGTCTGGCACTTCCTCAGCACCTGGCTAGGAGGCACTCTCTGCCTCATTAGCGAGCTCACCTGGGCTGGGTCCTGGGCGCTGCTCCCTCCTGTCTGGGCCTGATTTCTGCCGGCTGCAGGTGAGTCCTGCAATATCAGGATTTACCTGCTCAAATACCACCTGCTTCTTAGTTTCTCACTGAGTGGAGACTCTGAGACCAGCCATCCTCATTAGTATGGTGACCTGTTTCTTTAAACGTTGTTAATGGTTTGACTAGGATGTGGGAATGAAGAGGAAACAGACAAATGGTGAGGGCTGCTGTTACAGCCGTGTCTCTGAACTGATGGTGCAGCCTCTGTTACCACTGAACCAAGAGAAGATCTCTAATGGACTTGAGAGTTCTGCAAACTGATTTGGGCAAGGAGCCATGAGTGGTCAGTGCAGAAGGCCAAGGGCATGGGCTGTGTTTATTCCCAGACACCCACCTGACAGGCACCGCTGCGTTCAGCCCTCAGCACATCTAAAGGTTAGGAGCAGAGATTTTGAATTAGCTAGTCATCAAAATGAGAAAGACAAATTATAATTTCTTAAAATTTTAGATCTGAGAAGTAGCTTAGAAAACCTTTGAACTACATGATTCTACCTGAAAAACAAAAACCCGAGAACCTTTGGGACAGGACTCTTGTGGGAAAGAGCAACATACAAGACGAAACCCGAGCCTGTGACCAAGGGGTGTGACCGGGGGCTGTGACTGGGGAGTGTGACCGAGGGGTGTGACCGGGGGCTGTGAGTGGGGAGTGTGACCAAGAGCTGTGATCGGGGGTTGGGGGCTACAGCGGGGGAAAGCAGAGTCCCCTTGGGCACATGAATGCAGCTCGATTTGAGAACTGCTGACCCAACTTTTACAGAGAAGAAAACTGAGGCACAGAAAAAGAAAAGCAGTTTGTCCAAGGGTGTGGTATTTGTCTGTTTTCATACTGCTATGAGGACTGCCTGAGACTGGGTAATTTATAAAGGAAAAAGGTTTAATTGCCTCACAGTTCATCATGGTTGGGGAAGCCTCAGGACACTTACAATCATGGCGGAAGGGAAAGGGGAAGCAAGGTGCCTTCTTCACCAGGCAGCAGGAAGAAGTGCTGAGTGAAGGGGGAAGAGCCCCTTGTAAAATCATCAGATCTCATGAGAACTCACTATCAGGAGAACAGCATGGGGGAAACCAACCCCATGATTCAATCACCTCCACCTGGTCCCTGTCTTGACATGTGGGGACTGTGGGGATTCTGGGGATGACAGTTCAAGATGAGATTTGGGTGGGGACACAAAGCTGAACCCTATCAGGTGCAGAGCCAAGCCTCCAACAGAGCCAGGACCAAAGCTGGATTCTGTGTTCTTCCTGGTACACTCCGGGTTCATTGCTTTTTGACAGCAATATATTAAAAGAAATTATGTTTGTGTTACTGAGAAGCAGACTCACATCTTAGTAACATAAAAGCAGATATGAAGGAATGTGAATGATGAACCAGAGTGGAAGCAAAGAATTAAAGCAGTGCAGAGGCAGTGAGGGGCTGGGTGTTTCTTTTGGTGTCATAAAGTTCAATCAGTTTGGGATCTTTTATTTTAATTTTCATTTTAATGTACCTTTTTAATATTCCCTTTTATTATTCCCCTTCAATATACCTTTTAAATATGCCCCCCTTTAAAAAATATGGTCATCATCCTACAGGTAAAATGATGTCTAAATAAGATATTCATCTATTTTTAAGCCAGTGAAAAATGGGACTATTATATGCAATCTTTCCTTCCATTCATTGTTTAACTGCAGCTCAAAAAGGCAATTAAAAAAATAAAAATCACAAGTGTTGACCATGTTTAGCCTCTACAAAACAAAGCATAAGAGAAGTTTCTAATGGCTCCCAACCACTGCTTTTTCCCAAACATGAGGAAGTCTTTATGAAAATTGCGAGGCTGAACCACCATGGAGAAAAAGCTCAAGGGCAGATCAGGACACCAGGGTGAACACAGCTCCCTGAAGACCCAGAAACTCCTTTCTCAGGCCCTGCCTCACCCTGTGATAGCTTTGCAGTATCACATGCTTCATGTGAAATATTTCAATGCTGTAATTTACTGCTTTGAAAAATGAGTGAGCCCGCTCCCTTTGACATGCCTCTTTGAAACATGGAATATTTAAAATTCATACCCAAACTTAATGTATAGATAGATCACACATTTTTATGACTTCACTGATGTAATAAGAGCCTTGTAATATCTCAAAAGATACGTTTTATCCCTCCTAATGTGTATCATGTGCAGATTAAGAAGCTATATCATTGCCTTCAAAATGACCTGCTATTTCCTGGAAACTGTAATTTGCTGGACCTGTCCTTGTCACTGGGGTAAGTATAATGCCTTTAATAATCTTCCAGTCACTAAGTGATGTGTTTGCATCAAAAAGATGGATCTGGCTTGGCGGCAGGGGAGGCGCTCCATGTCTGTTCTCCCAGTGACATCTAGAGGCTTCACAGGGCCTGGAGCAGAGTGAAGCAGGTTGGAGGACTTTTCTCCAGGTTCACTGAATTTAGTCATAAGAATGTTTTAAAGGCTGAGAATGAGAGCATTTCAGGGCACGACTGCCTTATAGCATGACTCCCAAGTGGGGCAGACAAAAACCGGGTGAGAGGCAGCGTCCACAGGAAAGGATCTGGCCGAATCCTTTGAAGACACAGAGAAGCCACTGAGAGCTCTCCCATAAACCGCCACCCTCAGTTGAGCTCAAAACTCCAAGCCACTGCGAACCAGCCTCGGGAAGGCTTTTAAACAGAGTTCCTTTTCTAACAAGGTAGGCATCAAAGGTGATCTAAGGGAAGCAAGTGTGTTTTAAAAAACACCCTCACGCCTATAATCCCAGCACTTTGGGAGCTGTAGGCAGGTGGATCACCTGAGGTCAGGAGTTCAAGACCAGCCTGGCCAACATGGTGAAACCCCGTCTCTACTAAAAATACAAAAAACTAGCCAGATGTGGGGGGGAGGGGGCGGGCCCTGTAATCCCAGCTACTTGGGAAGCTGAGGCAGAAGAATCGCTTGAACCCAGGAGGCAGAGGTTGCAGTGAGCCGAGATCATGCACTCCAGCCTAGGCAACAGAGTGAGACTCTGTCAAAAAAAGAAAAAACAAAAAACAAAACAACAACAACCAAAAAAAAAACCCACCCCAGGTGGCCCATGCTTTCAGCCCGAGAGTCTCAGAAGAAAGCTCAGAGGCCCGTGTGACTGGCCAACATCCAGCCCACCTGCCCCAGGCCACACTGTGCTTGAAAGCTGGAGCGGCCAGCAGGGGCATCTCAGCACCAGGGAAATCGGCTGGACTTGACTCGACAGATCGCAGACTGCCAGCCAAGGGCTCCACACTGAGTCACCTCCTGTGTGCTGTGGTGCGCGTGTGCCCGATAGACAAAGGTAAACCTGGGTGTTGGTGATTTACTTTATATGGGAATCACAAATGTCATCTATAGTTTTATCTAGACATGTGTGATGGAGATACATACTTTGACCAGTTGTGTTAATTATTGCCAGCAATGTGTGCAAAAGTCAACTTTCTACTCCTAGAGGGACAAAACAATTTTGAAAGCAATGAGGAACAAGCCCAACTTTCCAACAGCCTCATTTTAAAAAGTGAATGTGCAGAGGAGGCCTAAAGACAGAGCGGATATATCCCTCAACATCTATAAGACCACATATAAGTGGGACAGGAGGAGAGACCCGCACTCCACATAAAAACTTCCATGAAGAGAAACGATAAACAGTGAAACAGGAGACGGAGCCCAGAAACACACCCGCACACATATGGTTGACGGTTTTTGACAAAATTGCTGAGAACACACAATGGAGAAAGGACAGTGTCCTCAATCAACGGTGTTGGGGAAACTAGATCTCCACAGGCAGAGGGTGAAATTGGCCGTTATCAGACACCATAGGCAAAAATCAACTCAAAATAGATTAAAGACTTCAACGTAAGACCTGAAACTGTGAAGCTCTAAAAGAAAACAGGGAAAAGCTCCATGACACTGGTCCAGGCAAAGATGTTTTTGGATATGACCCCAAAAGCACAGGCAACAAAAGCAAACACAAACAAATGAGATTGCAACAAACGGAAAAGCTTCTGCACAGCAAAGGAAACAACAGAACAAAGACGCTGAGGTGGATGGATCACCTGAGATCAGGTGTTAAAGACCAGCCTGGCCAATATGGTGAAACCCCGTCTCTACTAAAAAAACAAAATTTAGCCAAGCGTGGTGGCAGGTGCCTGTAGTCCCAGCTACTCGTGAGGCTGAGACAGAAGAATCACTTGAACCTGGGAGGTGGAGGTTGCAGTGAGACAAGATAGTGCCACTGCACTCCAGCCTGGGTGACAGAGTGAGACTCTATCTCAAAAAAAAAAAAAAAAAAAAAAGGAAAAGAAAATATTATCCAAAAATACATAAGGAACTCAAACACCTCAATAACAATAAAAGAAAGAACTCAATTAAAAACTGGGGCAAAGGCTCTGAAGAGACATATCTCAAAAGAAGATATCAGAATGGCCAATCTGAAAAAAAATGCTCAATATAAATAATCATCAGGGAAATGCAAATTAAAACTATAATGCGCTGTCACTTATACACAACTGTTCAGATGCTGTTGTCGAAAAGAGACGCCGCATGTTGATGAGGGTGTGCAGAAGAGGAACCCCTTGTGCTCTGTTAGCGGGGATGTAAATTAATACAGCCATCCTGAGGAGCAGTGTGGAAATTCCTCAAAACACTACAGATAGGATTACCATACGACCCAGCAATCCCACCTCTGGCTATGTACCCAAAGGAAATAAAATGAGTGAGTGGAAGAGAACCTGCACCCCGTGTTCATGGAGCGCTGTTCACGGTACCCAAGATAGAAAATCAACCTCAGTGTCTATCAAGGGATGAAAAGATAATGGAAATGTAGAAATGGAATACCAAAGTGAGCCTTAAAAAAGAAGGAACTCCTGTCCTTTGCGGCATCATGGATAAGCATGGAAGACATTCTGCTAAGTGAAATAAGTCAGGCTGAGAAAGACAAATACCACATCTTCTCATTCATATGTGGAATCTAAAAAACGTCAGACTCATACAAGTAGAGGGTAGAATGGTGGTTAAATGGTGGTTACCAGAGGCTGGGGCAAGGACCAGATGGAGAAATGAGAGATGACGGCCACAGGGTACCAAGTTTCAGTGGGATAGGAAGGCTAAGCTTAGAGACTGATCTCACACAGTGGTCAGTATAATAGATAATAATGCATTGTGTATTTCAAAATTGCTGAAAGAGCAGAATTTCAGTGTTTTCACCACAAAAAAAATGGTTAGTATGTGAGGTGATGGATGTGTGAATTAGCCTGATTTAGTTATTCCACATTGTAAACATATGGCAAAACTTCACAGTTCACCCTACAAATATATACTGCAGTTATTGTCAATTAAACATAAAATATTTAAAAAAAATCATGTAGACACACACGCACAAAGAGGATTGGTAAAGAATGGCCTAAAACTGGGAGGCTGAGACAGGTGGATCACTTGAGGTCAGGAGTTCAAGACCAGCCTGGCCAGCATGGTGAAACGCTGTCTCTACTAAAAATACAAAAATTAGCCAGGCCTGGTGGTGGATGCCTATAGTCCCAGATACTTGGGAGGCTGAGGCAGGAGAATCGCTTGAACTCGGGGGACAGAGGCTGCAGTGAGCTGAGATTATACCACTGCACTCCAGCCTGGCTGACAGAGTAAGAACTTGTCTTAAAAAAAGAAAAAAAACAGTTATATTCCTTTGTTGAATGTTGAATGTCATCATTACTGTAAGTGTGCTTTTATGAAATTTAATTTCTAAATCTGCTTATGGTTTCTAATCTTCTAAGTCCTGAAAGTTCCCGTGATGACTCCCACTGTACTCCTGGGTTACAGGTTTTGTGGGAAAAAAACAGCGCGCGCTTGGCCAGGTGCGGTGGCTCACCTGTGTAATCCTAGCACTTTGGGAGGCCGAGGCGAGCAGATCATTTGAGGTCAGGAGTTCGAGACCAGCCTGGCCAGCACGGCAAAACCCCATCTCTACTAAAAACATGAAAATCAGCCAGGCGTGGTGGCGGGCACATACAGTCCCAGCTACCTGGGAGGCTGAGGCAGGAAAATGGCTTGAACCCAGGAGGTGCAGGTTGCAGTGAGCCGAGATCAATCATGCCATTGCACTCCAGCCTGGGCAACTGAGTAAGACACCATCTCACCAAAAAAAAAAAAAAAAAAAGAAAGAAAGAAAAAAGAAAAAAAAAATGCACGCTCTGCCATCAGCCACATATTTGTCACCCATGGAGTGAGGCTGGTGTGGTCCATACATGACCTGTCCATGGTGCATATTTTCACTCTCAGCCAGTGAAACACACACAGAATGATCCTCCTTTTCCAAAAATGAAAGTGCAGCTGTGATACAGTATAAGGAATAGGTCTTGGCTTAATGTTTGTACAGTAAAGAAACTTTGTGTGAATCCTTTAGAAAGTAGCCAATTTTTTAATAAATGGTATAAATGCCTCTTCGTTTATCTGCAGTACATCTCACTGTTCCATATCCATTTAACATAAAGTGAGGTCTACTTAATCCTACAAAATAAATGGTGCCTCTGTTCCTGGGTCTCTCTATCTCTGCACGAAGCAGCACTTCCTCCAACATGTCCTTCCGAGGCTTGAAAAATAACGTGGTTCCCAGTACGGGGTCTTGGGCTCATTTTCTAACCTTACACAATTTCATTCTGGCCTGAGAAGGTAGAGTTGAAAGAAATTAATTGGCTTCAAAATTATTTCTTAAAAATGGGATATGATCACTTCTCTCCCTTTGGCTAAAATCAAGCATAAAAATTAGTCTATGGGCAGTTTTACTTACTTTTGTAAAATGCAAAATCCTTCTATGTCTCATATGAGCTGAACACACTAGCACATTCTCCAGGTAATAAGCAGGAATGAGTTAGTCTGCAAAAAATGTTTGTCTCACTCTTGTTAGCCCTTGACTCCATTTTGGAAGCCAATGACTCCTAACATTGTTAGTTTGAGGAACTATTGTTTTTTTTCATGCTGAGTCAAATTTCCACCATTTACACTCCCACAGACACAACCTTTACTCTCTTGGGCTCAGCATCTCCCAGGAAGATAACTTCTTCAGCTGGGCACCAGCAATTTTTATCTAACGATTCTCAAGAGGTGGCCACAGAAGCTGTTGAACTGATAGTCATTTTTAGCAGCTATTTGATTTATTTAAAAAGCCTCACTTCCACCCCGAAGCCCCGTATTTCATAATCCTGTGAATGTCAAACTCATTCTTTCTGTAACTGAGCTCTCAGAATACACATGCCATCACACACCCAGGACGTGCAGCCCCGATGGAGTCAGGAGACCCCTGGGCAGGTCCCGGAAGGAGAACTGCTCTGTGGAACAGCTGGCCTGGGCTCTCCAAAATTACCCGCGTCACTAATGACCAAGAAGGGTCTTCCAGAGAAGTAAAGCTGTGGCAACTAAACCCAACACGTGAGCCCAAACCGCATCCTGGACTCCAGCTGGGGAACGCCTCCAGGGACATTATCGGGATGACTGGCAAGGTTAGCATATGGACTGCAGATCACGCTGCTGTGTGACGGTCGGGTCCCTTGACTTTAAGAGCTGTGCTGTGGAAACACAAGGGAACACTCTGCTCCTTGTTCTTGGGAAAAAACCAAAGCACTAAGGGACAGAGAAGTGGGATGCCGACAACGTATGAAATGCATTTCCAAATGGCTCTAGGAAAATTTAATTTTTTCACAGAATCAATACCTCGGCAAATGACTCTGTACCCTCCTGGTGTCTTCCCGTTCCTTGTTTTGTGTCATCCTCACAGCTGTCAAATGAAACGACTCAGGCGAAGAGCTCCAACCACGGCCCTCTCCGTGCTGAGCATTCGCTGCCTCCACTGCCACATGCACGGATTCTTAAAAAGCGACGAAAGGGCGGAACCCTGACTTCCTCCAAGAGGGGCAAGCCCAGGACTTCCAGGCACAGGCAGTGGGCGACCTCGATGTCTTTCCAGGTGCTCAGTTCTCCGCATTCTGCCCTGAGGGAGTAGGGGTGATCCGACTGGCATCACATATCTTGAGATATTCATTTGCATAAACACAGCGGCACCCAGATCTTGGCTTCTAATCCCACCCTCCAGTAAAAGGAACCAGGGGTCCTTGGAGAAATGGGTCTAGGACTGGAGCAGGGAACGCACAGATGAGCCTGGGTGTCCTGCAGTGCCAGAAAACCAGGCTGTGCCCAAAGAGGCAGCTGTGAACAGACCCCGGAGGCCGGCAGAAAGGGCTCCCTGTGGCCAACACTGGAAAAACCTGAGCAAGAAAGTAGGCTGGGCGCGGTGGCTCACGCCTGTAATCCCAGCACTTTGGGAGGCCAAGGCAGGTGGATCACCTGAGGTCAGGAGTTCAAGAACAGCCTGGCCAACATGGTGAAACCCCATCTCTACTAAATATACAAAAATTAGCTGGGCATGGTGGCAGGTGCCTGTAATCCCAGGTACTCAGGAGCCTGAGGCAGAAGAACTGCTTGAACCTGGGAAGCAGAGGTTGCAGTGAGCCGAGATCGTGCCACTGCACTCCAGCCTGAGCAACAAAGGGAGACTGTGTCTCAAAAAAAAAAAAAAAAGAAAGAAAAGAAAGAAAATGCATGGCGAAACATGGGTCACATCCCAGAGCTGAAATACAGCACAAGAGTCCATACAGATGTCAGTAAATGATGGGATAAATAAATAAATAGGGAGAGGAGACAATCTTTCTTCCAGAAGAATTGCAAATAACAGAGGTAGATGCTCCTGCTCCAAGAGGTGAACGTGATTCCATGCTCTTGCTTCTTTGAGGGTGGTCTGGGCTGAGACAGGCTCCCAAGGAATAGAAGGAGAAGAGGAAAAAGCAGGCATTTCATGGGAGACAGCAGGCAGACATCACCTGAGCAAGTGATGAAGGTTAGCGGATGTCGGGCACCCCACATGACTCCTCTTCCCAAAAGCACACATCCCCAGTCTCATCACACGAAGATCGTCTTCCCTGGACTGGGGACCTGGATTGGGGAACATCCTACAAGATAACCAGCAAAACTCCTCAAAGCCACTAAGGTCATGAAAGGCAAGGACAGACAGAAACCATCGCAGGACGGAGGGGCTGGGAGACGTGAACAGCAAATTCATCTGGTGTCCTCGATGGGTCCTGGGACAGAGAGAGGGCACTGGGGGAACCCAGCGAGGTCTGAAGGCCACCCGGAGGTGAGGCCATCGTCTCGCCCCACAGCAACGCGAGACGTGAACAACAGGAAGACTGTGGAGTCCACTGGGCTCTCTGCGCCGTTGTAAAGACACTTTACTGCATGTCTAAGACTATTTCATTCTTTTAAAAAAAAAGTCTTTTAAAAAATATTATAACTCAAAACTATGGAGGCAGTAAAATGCTCAGTGGTTGAAGGGAAGATTTTTAGGGCAGAGAAAAGACTGTGCATGATGCTACAATGGTGGACCTGAGTCCTGATCACCCGACCAAACCCACAGAGCCAACAGCACCAGGAGTGTGCCCAGGGTAAACTCCAGCCCCCGGCAATGCTGACGCTTCAGTGTGGGTGCAGCAGTTGTAACAAGCGCCAGAAGCGAGCCCAGGGTAAACTCCAGCCTGCGAGGATGGTGACGTGTCAGTGTGGGTGCAGCGGTTGTAACAAGCACATCCCTCTGGTGGGAGGTGTTGGTAGCGGGGGAAGCTGTGGTGGGGGTAGGGGTTGGAGTGGAGATCTCTACCTTCCTTTTAACTTTGCTGTGAACCTAAAACTGCTCAAAAAGGAGGTCTATTAAAAATAGTATATATGGCTTCAAGAAATTCACAACCATTTGAATTATTTCCCATGAACCACGATTGCTAAACAAAAATGACTGTTTAAACTGGAAAATAAACAAAATCTGTTTAACTAAATCAAGGTCAAACTGAGACTGTCTGCGCCTACCCTTGCCAAGCACGCTTTGGAAAACGCGGCTGCCACCACGCAATAAGAACAAACTCCGCTCAAGTTCATCTGCACGACAGAAAAGGGAGAAATAACAAAAATAAAATTCTTGCTGATACTCACTTTACTGCCATGGAAACCAGCTCAGCCAGCTTTATGTTACTGGGGACATATTTAATTCTCAGGATTTGTATTATTACCTTAGAAAAATATAACAAATTCTCGTAAAATTTGGATTGCCCTTAATGACACAGAAAGGTAAAACATTCTTAATTATCAAAGCTTTTTCTGTTATAAAGCAACAATAAAACTAAAATATTGAAATGGGATTTTTATGCCAGAAGAATTTCAGCCTCTTTCCAAACAAAGGAGGAAAAAGTTCAAAGAGAGGGTATGTTCCTCCTAAACACGTTTTTTAACTTCACCAAGAGGCCTTGTGTAGGCAGCCAAGTTTTTATTTTTCCTCCATGGCTACTGCAGTGATCATTCTGAATGAGTGCCTTCTTTCTTTTGAAATCCCTTCCTAATTCATTAGCACACTAAAAAAGAACAGAGCCATCTTTGCATTTCATTTTCCTCTACAGAGACTTTTAGATCCGTGGTATAATCACTAGGTGGCCTTTCTAAGCCTTGCACAAAACGCACACTTCTTAGGACTGGTGCCGTCTTGGGTGCCGCTGGGGGCCAGCAGCCCAGCCCCGTGGGTCGGAGGGGCTTTGGGGGTGTGATTCACCATGCCCTGCTCTCTGGAGGGTGAGTGCACTATCTGCACCCCACCAGCCGTGAAAGTGCATGATAACCCATAATTAAACAAGCCAGGGGGTGAGCAGGGGCAGGTAGGTGTGATTTGGTACAGGAAAACCACAACAAGGTGATTTTTAAACTTTTATTTGCCTAAAGCAAGAGAAAACAAGCTTAACCAGGTAACACATGCTTCAAAGCCTCGACAGCCAGGATTTCAGAGATGCTAGATCTCGCGGCCCCCCAAAGAGAAGCACGGTGGCTTCACACAGACCGCCACATGCTGCACACGTCCAGGTGCCACACCCATGTGCCCACACCCGTGAAAATTCTAGTGTGTTGTCTGCCAACCCACTCTCTGTCAGGCATCTGCCGTCTACCCTCGTGTAAATACACGTTGTTCAGTCTTGTGGAAAACATTAGCTTTCTCCCTTAGACGGGTATAAAATATTCATCACCAAATGCAAAAATCAAAAGCACAATGTGTGATCAACTATCAGCCCACACAGGACACCACTCGGATGCCAGCTGCTCATTTGGAACAAGCACACAGCATTCCTGTCTCTGCCAAGCATATTTTCCCATCTCCAGGCTAGGAAAACGCCTTCACTGGCCTGCCGCTGAGGCAGACGCGGGGATGAGCTTGGGCTTGGCTTGCTGGGGCGGGGCCATGTCCGGGATCTTCTCCCCGTGTTTGTACACGCTCACTGTCACGTCGATCTTCTCCCCGCCATACTTATTCTTGATGTTGATGCTGTACTTGCCCGAGTCCTCGGAGGTCACGCCTTTGATGGTCATGCTGACGTACTTGGCCTGCTCCACCTTCACCGAGAAGTGCTCGCTGAGCTGGATGTCCTGGTCGTTCTTGAACCAAATCACTTCGGGGTCAGGGTTTCCAAACACCGTGCAGGTCAGATTCAAGGTCTTTGGACGGAAGAGGTTGGTGGAGAAGGAAGAGTTAGAAAAAGGAAAGTCATGTCACCCCCTCGGACGGTGGGCTCCAGGTCACACTCAGTTACATTTATTGGTCCTTCAATCGTTTGTTTAGAAACAAGCCTTTATGTACATGAGCGCCGCTCTGGACAGAGCAGGCAGAGGACAGCAGGGAACAGGTTCACCACTTCACAGGCGAGCTCGTAAAAAAATCAGTGAGCATGTGTCCTATTTATTCTTAGCTTTTATCCATAGCCTAAGTCAATTAAAGAATTTGAAAGTAATTTAATTAAGCTCTATGTTTTATAGTAGATATATCCAGTCTGCTCCCAAATTTCCTTTCTATTTAGAGTTATGGATCCCTCTTACCAGTTCCTCTGGCAAACCCATTGAATATATCGTTTTATAACTGGTAAATTGGAGGCAAAAAAATGCATTCTTGAAGCTTAGTTAAAACATGCTTTCAGCCTAGGATAAAGTAAAACGATTGCTAATTTCTCAATTACATCCTTAAGATGAGATCTCAAGAGCTCTCTAGGCTTCCATTAGCTACTAAAGAAGACGTCTATAAATTTTTGTCTTTTGGGCTAATAAAATTTTCTCAAGTATCTCTGTCCCTGTGACATTGAGTTAGACCCACTGAAGCAACCAGACAGCTATCAATTAGATATCAATAATTCTCCCGACAGGCAACAAATTAAACTCCAATAAGTGGCTTCCACGATGTGTTCCACAATGACCTTGAGAATAGGAGCAGAGATTTTTTTTTCCTTCGTGTTGTAAAAGCTGTGCTGTTTCACACTGGAAGCAGGGGGCTTGCACCTTCACACACGCAGGTAGGTCAGGGCGAGTGTGGCTGCCTCATCCTGCAGTTGCTCCTCTGGGTGAATGGCCACAGGGGCATAGAAACACCCAAAGCCACAGCACTTGCCTTGAGGTGCCTGAGTGGCACAACGTGTTCCTCTGAACACAGGTTTGTGGATTCGGAATGTTATGTGATTCCTTCCTTTGAGAATACAGGGGCTATTCCAAGCCGTCTAGGAGGGGCAGAAAAGTGGGGGGGACTCTGGGTTCCCTGCAGGCTGAGTGAGGACACAGAAGCCCCTCACTGGGTTCCCTCTGCTCCGCCCCAAGAGAAGGGGTTGCGTCCATCGCACCGTGCTGACACCCCCACCCCGGCCGAGTTTAGAATCCTCACCTTCCCTTCCATGATGGTCACCACGTCAGGCAAGCCGCCGATCAACCTGCCACGATCTGCAACGGGAAAGCACCTTGGTTAGGAAAACATCTGCGGGACGTTCCCACGGAGCAGGAGCCATGTAAGCAGCAGTGGGTACCAAGGTGAATGTGGTGAGGAGTTTATGCTCAGGAGAGAGCGAGCATCAAAGAAAAAGGTTTATATGTTTACAGTTGAGGGATAAACCAAAGCCAAGGGAAGGTAGATGAGGAGATAACAGACTCTGTGAAGGGGTTGGGGGAGAAACACTCCAGAGGAAATGTGAGATGGGAACTGGGCTTGAAGGGTGAAGAATTCACCGAGGACGGAAGGCCTGGAGAGCCGCGTGTGTCCCTGAGTTGGGCAGAAAGTGACGGGGTCCTGGCCAGGCGCAGTGGCTCACGCCTGTAATCCCAACACTTTGGGAGGCCAAGGCGGGCAGATCATCTGAGGTCAGGAGTTAGAGACCAGCCTGGCCAACATGATGAAACCCTGTCTCTACTAAAAATACAAAAATTAGCCGGGCATGATGGCGGGTGCCTGTAATCCCAGCTACTCGGGAAGTTGAGGCAGGAGAATCGCTTGAACCCAGGAGGCAGAGGTTGCAATGGGCCGAGATCATGCCATTGCACTCCAGCCTGGGTGACAGAGCAAGACTCTGTCAAAAAAAAAAAAAGAATAAAGGGAGGGAGGGGAGGAAGGGAGGAAGGGAGGGAGGGAGGGAGGGAGGGAAGGGGAGGGGAGGGAGGAAGGGAGGGAAAGAAAGTGAAGTGGCCCTGGGTGTCTGGGCTGCAGGTTCTGCAAGGGAGGAGGGAGGGAGGGTGTCCAAGGGGTGACGGGGCTAAGGCCGAAAGCAGTGCAAGGATCAGTGGTGCAGGACATGGGGCTCCAGGACAGGGTGTGGTGTTGGTGGCGTTGTTACATCAGGGTGGGGGATTGCTGGTTATTATTTAATACACAAAGTTGGTCCTCCAAAATATGGACACTTTTGCCCCACCCCAAATAATTCACCATCCTGGTTACAATCCAACAGGTACTTACTCTTCTCTGCAAAAGCAGCAGCTCTAAAAGTTAAAGGGGACAGAAAGGAGAGAATGAAAAGAGAGTATGAGAAAATGCTTCCAACAAAATGCACAGCTGAGAGGCTCACTAGCGATGAAGCAAAAGAAGAAGGAGATACGTTTGCATTCTCTTAGAAGAACATGTTCGGGTCACAGGACCCCAGGATGGATATCACTGATTTTTCCTGATGGTTCCCACTGCCCATTTTGAGGTGGAAAATGCCCTATTATCCAGATGCTAAAACCCACAGAAAAGTTTAGCATTCCAGCTCACAGGTTGAAGAGATTTTTTTTTTTTTCACAAATTCACTAGATTGCACTGGAGACTTGAGATATTTTCGGAATTTGTCAGTTTCTGATCTATCTTGCTCATCCCTGCACCCAGTCAACAAATGTTCATTAAATAAGCTAGCATGGGCCAAGGACTGCGGTCAGCTTCGGATGTGCGAAGACTCGATGGTGCATTTGAAAACCCCGAATTGTCCTTAAAAAGTTGCTGTGTGTGATGTGCTGCCCTGATGATGACTGGCAGAGCAGCAGCACCGCCATCTTGGACTAGCATCGCCATTTTAAGTCTTCCTTGATTAGAAACCGCCTAAGTCCAGCCCAAAAACATCAGCTTAAGGGCTAATGTCAGCATGGCCATAAACCACAAATGACACCTCCGACCAGAAACATACCAACCCTGGCATAACCTGCCCTCCAATCAAAAACATTCCAACCCTGAGATAAGCTCCCCTCCAACCAGAGGTATTCCAACCTCACAATAAAACTCTCCTCCACACAGAAACCTTCCTAGCCTGAGCCAGAACCCTTAAATACCCTTAGTCTGTAAAAGAAAGCGCTCCTGACCGAAATCGGCCAAAAGCCCCACTCAGGTTTATTCTCCAAAATAAACCTGTCTTTGACTGTTAATCTGCTTTGCGTGTTTCTTTTCTCTTTCTTCAACTCTCACAATAATGATTTCCGAAATTCATCCGGGGTTCCGATGACTCTGGACAGTCCGTTTATAAATGCATTTCTGGTTTAGGAGAATGCCCACCCCTCCATATACTGCATTGCTTAAATTCCCACTTCTGTCCCAGGAATGGCTCTTTCTTTAGGTCACCCAGGCTTCCATACAGATTCCCACATGCAGCCAAAACGACTGGGACTCAACTGCCCACAGGATATCATAGTAACTAAATACACAAATCTTACTTGAATTGCTGGAATTCTGCAAATGCTTCATCAAAAGCTGTGAGGAAATAGTTCATACGTTACTAACCATTTCAGTGTTCAGATTTTATTTATTCACTCAAATATTATACCAGTGAATCTGGTTCATGAAAACTGATATATAAAAAAAGAATAAATTTATTTTTTCATTTTCTCTAAATGAAAATTGTAAATTCATATTGTCTCTTGTATTCATATTGTATTCCCTCCCTTCAGCATCTAAATGGATTTCTAAATAGGAAATTATTAAATGCTAAAGAAGAATTCTCTTACCTTGTCCGGACAGGTCAAGGGAGCGTTGATGGTTGTCTTTGCCATCGAAAATCTCAAAAGTGTATTTTCCTTTATCCTTCTCAGTCGGCTCACATATCTGCAGCCAAGCCATCTCTTCACTCCCCCCGATTCTCATATGCTCACTGGATGAGATCTTAGCATCTCTTGAAAAGAGCAACAGGAACGTATCTGAGTTAGGGTCTCCATGTCACACGCACAATGTCTACAGGGCAATGTCCCGTTGCTGTGACAGCCTTCTCTAAGCTGCTGATGCCAATGTCACAATAGATTATTCTGGCTGTTACGAATGTATTGACCACATCAGTAACTCAGATCTGAAAACTTTCTAAAATTAAATGATACTTAATTTTTAAAGGTATATTATTATGTAATATATACTTGTCACGACATAATGGACTTAACATTACTCTATATAGTATGGTAGTTCCTCAAAAAATTAAAGCTAGAACTACTACATGATCCAGCAATTACTTGTGTAGATCCGAAGAATTGGACACGGGGTCTTGGAGAGATATTGTCACACCTACATCCTTCGTAGTATCGTTCACGACCGCCCCGGTGGGGAGGCAGCCCAAGCGTCCATTGGTGATGAATGGATCAGTAGAATGTGGTCCATAAATACATGAGGGAAATCCCAACACCTCCTGCAATGTGCATGAACCCTGAGGACATTTTGCTGAGTAAAATAAGCCTGTCACAAAGAGACAAATATGTACTCCTATGAAGGGCTTAGGGTAGTCAGATTCACAGAGACAGGAAGTAGAACTGTGGGTACCAGGGGCTGGGGGAGGGGAATGGGGACTGAGGGTTTAATGGGAACAGAGTTTCGGGTGGGAGGATGAAAAGGTCCTGGGTGGTGGTGGTGCCTGCACGATGATGTGAATGTACTTAACACCACTGAACAGTACCCTTAAAGGTGGTTAAAATGCTCACTTTTACATTATGTGTATTATGCTACAATATTTTAAAGTTTAGATAAAAACAAGGTGCTCATACATTCCCGCCTTCTAAGGTTCCACATCTGCAACATATAAGGCCAAACTGTTTACTGCAGACAAAAGTGTATAAGTTATTTCCTAACATTACTTCAGTTTAGAGGGAGCCTGAGAGATCTGTGGAAGTCATAGTCACAGGTGCATGAAAACAGGACGGACTCCAGGGCCACCCAAGAGCTGGAATGTGGACCTGTTTCTCTCGGGCACCAGCTCCAGAACAGCCGCAGCTTGGGGAAGCAGGCTGGGTCAGTTGCACAGAGAGCCAGCTGTGGTGCTTGTGGCATCTTTCCTTACCCTTGCCGGCAACCAAGAATGCCTATGTTCCATCGGGAAAGGGAATTCTCCAGCCCTCCTCACCATCATAGCCTTTTTCTCTGTTATTCTTTCCTTCAACAAATATATGTTAAGCCCATAATAAATGCACAGCTCAGGCCGGGTGTGGTGGCTCACACCTGTAACCCCAGCACTTTGGGAAGCGAAGGCAAGAGGAACACATGAGCCCAGGAGTTGGAGACCAGCCTGGAAAACAAAGCAAGACCCTGTCTCAACAAAAATAAAAAAATTAGCCGGGTGTGGTGGCAAGCACCTGTAGTCTCAGCTACTCAGGAGGCTGAAGCAGGAGGACTGCCTGAGCCCGAGGAGGTCAAGGCTGCAGTGAGCTGTGATCACACCACCGCACTCCGGCCTGGCCAACAGAGCGAGACACTGTCTCAAAAAGTATATATGTAAAAATAAATGCTTGGCTCTGCGTCCCGGTCTCTGGTGGTGGTGCTGGCAGTGTGTGTCGGGTCTCTGGTGGTGGTGCTGGCAGTGTGTGTCGGGTCTCTGGTGGTGGTGCTGGCAGTGTGTGTCGGGTCTCTGGTGGTGGTGCTGGCAGTGTGTGTCGGGTCTCTGGTGGTGGTGCTGGCAGTGTGTGTCGGAACTGAGTCTGTCCGGATAGAAAGTGGGAGTTCTGTGAAGGCACAGTGGGATCCTGGCGCACACTAAGCCAGAGAGGCCGAAATGGCTGTTCCCAGGGATGGTTTTGTGGGATTGGCTTCACCCTGAGACTTAGCCTCTGGGATCCCGGACAGAGAAGGGAGGATCTAACACTGCCCATGTGCGGTTGTTTTAGAATCCAAGAAGACATGCTCAACATCTACTGAAGCGACTTTGGAACATAACTGACACACATTTGTCTACAATAATCAGGTTGGCCTCACCTGTTGCCGATGTGGGAGCGAGTTCGTGCCGCCTTAGAAGGCAGGGCAGTGTGAGCACTTTGGTTCTATCTAAACTTTTAAAAACTGTGTTAGAATGCACATAATGTAAAAGTGACCCCTTTAGCCCTTCACAATATGTTAATTAGCTCCCTTTTCCCATAATCTGCCCCTCCCCGGAAAGAGGCGGGAGAATCGGACCAGGCAATCCTTCAGGAATCTCTCAGTCCCGCATCTGGAATTCTATACGTTGCTGACCTGGGAGCCTCACGAAGGCTGACCCCGCAGCAGAGCCCCAGGCTCCGCCCAGCTGCTCTCAGTCCACAGTCAGCATGGGCTGCCTGGGGAGCAGGAGAGGGAAGCAGAAGCGATGAGGCCATGACCCCAGGCCCCAGCACTCAGCAGCCAGAGCCGGCCGGGCCGAGAGTGCCATGTTTGCAAGCTGCAGGCTGGCGCTTACATTAAAGGCAACACGGACTTGCCAGAGTCTCCATCCGTGGTGTGTCTGAGGGCAGGTGAGCATCAGTGGCCACACCAGCCGTCCTGTGAGCTCACAGCAGGTCGCTATTACTAAAGGGATTGATGGGCCATTGCAGCACTCAGACCTACTCATCCCTGTGTATAAAAGGAAAATTAGACTTTACATGGTGATTCTCAGCTCTGCAGAAAAGAAAAACCTTGCACAGAACATATACCAGGCAGTGGATTAGCCACTCAATCCCAAACCGTGGCGTGTGAGGAGCAGCAAGAAGCCCGTCTGTGCAGAGACCTGAAGGCAAAGAGACACTGACACACTGTAGGGACATCACAGCTTGATTAAGAAAGACTTCTTTATCCCCCTGGATGCACTTACAACTGGACACTTTACAGACCAATCAGCAAATCAGAAATTGCAGATCAGTGGGGAACTGGGCCCACTGTAATCGTTTATTGACTAAATGTACCCCATCCAAGGAAACAGGGTTCCACAAGCATGTGGAACTCTTCTGTTGAGAGTCAGAAAAACTTGTTTTGCCAACACTGATAGGCCTTAGTCATCTTGTCACCCTCTCTTGTTGGAACTGATGAGGGTCAAAGTTCAAACAAATGCACACACACACACACACAACCAGGCACAGCCAACTTGGCTATGTGTGCTTCCTGCACACACACAGACCCGTGGGACAGGATTCCAGCCTGAACCTCCACACATCAGTAAGGCCCTCAGTCCTGCCTGGCCCCACCCTGCTTCCCTGCCCTGCAAAGCCTGGATACTGCTTGGGGATTTGTGATGAGCTCCCCGCTTGCGAAGAAGGGGACGATTTTTGTCATGCCTGGTGTCTTGCATCCTGCACGAAATGCTCTGTTCGTGCTGTCGCTGGTCAGTCTCACCAAGAGGACGCAACAATCGCTGCCACCCTGTGTGAGCTCATCACCCTGTGTGAGCTCATCCTCCCACACATCACGTGGGTGTTAGGGAGAAGACAATGTTTTCTTGATCACCATTAACTCAAATGTGTCTTCTTCAAAGAGCTAAATTATGTGCCAAAACTATTGCATCCTAGATGTATAGACGAAGATGTTCAAACCTCTGCTCTGTGTGTGTATATGTGTGTGTGTGAGAAAGAGAGAGAGACTAGAAATTCTTCCGTGGGGTAAAATTGCAAACAGCCCCAAAATCTCACTGTTTAGACTTAGAGCCATGAAGAAAAGCTAGTGGAGTTTCCACCGTATCAGCCACAGCTTTGTCCAACAGGTGAAATTCACTGGGCCACGAAAGTTGCGCTGCAAATGCTTCATGAAGTGGCAGCGTTTTAGCCTTTGCGGCGTTTATGTTCTGCTGGACTACGTTCCATTCCAGTGGTGATCCATTCTACTCACACAATTAGCAACTTGCTTACAGAAAAAGAAACATAATTTTATTTTGATATAGGTGACAAGGGAAAAAGGTACACCTTCACGCGATCATTCATAAAATAGCTGTAAATGTGTCCCACCGGCCTCCTGACTTTGGTGTAATTGGACACACCGGCTGGGCAGCAGTGGAGATAAGGGCCCCACTGCACACAATTGCTTCACTGGCCTCATGCTGACGGCCCTAGGCCTTTGGAGTGACTTATCATTCAAGTTTCACTTTTAAAAAGTGACCCTCTACTTCAGCGAGAGATTCTTTACAACAGCCACACAATCTGGGGGAAGAACACTTGAACCCAAATCTCAGCCAGTGACGAAGGGTAAAAACCACTGTAATGAAGGAATGGTGTCCACTGGACACCAAATCACACACTGGCCCACTTGGTGCACTTCTGGCACCCCACATGCTTCTGGCCCCACCTCCGTCACAGCTGCGGCCTCCGCTGCCACCCTGGGATCAGGGTAAACACATGCATGCATGCAAGATGCCCTGAGCCAGGACCCCACAGCCTGCAGCTGGGACGCTACCCTTCCCTGGGCTGCAGCTGCACAAAGGTAGCCATGAGCCGGGGATCAGCAGCCACCTTCAACCCCAATCCCAGCCTCGAGCTGCCCATGTTGGCGTTCTGACCCCAGGTTCTCTTGCATCACACACACTTCTCTTGGACTGGGTTCTAATTCTGTTCCCTCGATACGACTCAGACAAAGCCACTCACAGAACATGGACAGCCATTAGCAGAGCTTCCAGCAGAGGCTCCCGCTGTCCCTGCGTCTGCAACCCTGGCTGCTCACCTTGAGGGCAAATGCTGGTTTCCAGCTTCCCACTCCCAGCTTCAGGGTCTCACCCTAGACCCCACGCCCACTCATTTGGCTTCCCCTGAATGAGCAACTTATAAGAGGGCCAAACACGTCCTAGTGCTCAAAAATAGCTGTTAATTTCTTTGACTATCTAGTCGCTGAATTAATTATAACTGTTGCCTTACCTAGACAATGACTTGGACATATAGGGATATTAAAATTATTATTATTGTTGTTTAGAGACATAAATGGGCCAAATATGACAAAACCTCTTCTTCGTATTACTTGATTACAAAACATGACCAAATTCCTTCATTCCAAACTAAAGTTAAAATGGTTCACATTAATATAAGACAGTGGAGGATAGAAGAAAGCACACGTTTCTGCTCCTTCGTGCTAAAGCAACCAGCAGGATGGTCAACTGTGACGGGGTAGGTAGGAAGGAGACAGGTAAGGGGCGGGGGCAGGTGAGCAGGGAGGAGGAGAGAAGGTCTGGGCTCCAGTTCTGTAGCTCAGACTCTTACAACCACACTGCCTTTCACATTTCCCAAAACAAATGAGGAACACCAACCTGAAAGCAAGGGGAACCCAAAACAAAATACGAACAGTAACAAATGAACATAACTATGTTGCAAATGAATTGCTTACCACCCAGAACGTAAAGACATAAAGTAACTTTGGAAAGCAATATTTTGATTTGATACTGTATGGCTAAAGATGAAAGGAATTAATTGTAGGAAACACTGAACTCTAGTATGCACATTTGTTTCTCACAGAGATATGAGTTACTAATTCTGAAACTGCTTGATGTAAATACTAGGACTGAAAACAAAACAAAACAAAAAACAACAACAACAGTAGGTGAGAGCCAGGCTTTACAGCTCAGGAAAGGAACAAGGCTTGAATGAAGGCTGTGGAGTTGGGCTGGGATCCAATCAGATTCTAGTACACAGACGGTGAGATGCAGAAGTGGACACGGATGAGCGAGTGTGTGCCTCCGTGTGCACTCACACATCACCCAGTCCTGTCTCCAGAGCATGTAAGACCCGCGGCTCCCTGAGACATCGATAGTCTCTGATGCCAACCTTTGTCCAGGAGCCAGGACTTCTGGGATTGTAGCAATGGGGCAGAAGATATGAGATGAGTTGGGAATGTTTTACGGGCCCAGAAAATAAGGCATTGCTCCTAAGAAGATGCAGGCACACACACTGGAAAAAGCAGGCGACAACCGGAAGGAGCTCCCAAGGGCCAGAGCTGGAACAATTTGAGCAAAGTAACAGCTCACAGAACAAAGTCAGCATCCCTGAGTCCAAACGGATACAGCCAAGCAGCTGAATGAGGAGATGCACAGAGGAGAGGCCAGCGCCTCCCAGCAGAACAAATGTAAAAGGAAAAGGGAACTTCAGCCCCTCAGAAATCAGTGCTGAAGGCCAGATTCACTGCTGAACCTCAAATCCCAGCACACAGGTCTGCGGAGGGACAAGAGACTTGCCAAGTCCTGAAGTATTTACTAATTACCAAGAGAAAAATAATAACGTTCCCAGGAAGAGACGGGGCAGACATTGCCTTAACCCAGTGATCAGGTATCAGCATGGCTTTTGTTGTATTCCAGCTAAAACGGAGTCACCAACCCAATCATGGGAAACACCAGATAAACCCAGACAGAGGGGCGTGCTTCCGAGTGACTGACAGAAGGCTTCAAGGCACCCAGGCCGAGAGAGACGAGGAGAGCCTGAAGAACTGTCCTAGACAGGGGGGAAACCAGGAGCCAGGACACCTAATCACAACATGGGACCTGAGATTCAACACAGGAACATGCAAAAGGGCGTTCCTGGAAAAAAAGGTGCAATCTGAATTGGTCTGTAGCAGAGTTAATAGTATTACATCATCATTCAGCGCCTGGTTTTGATGGTTATAAGGTGGGTACACAATACACTAACCTCAGGGGAAGACGGTGGAGGTGGCTACACAAGGCGTTAACCTCAGGGGAAGAGGGTGGAGGTGGCTACAGAAGACGTTAACCTCAGGGGAAGAGGGTGGAGGATGTAAGGGAACTCCTTACTTTCTTCTCAACTTTTCTATGAGTCTAAAATTATTTCACAGTGAACGATTTAGAAATATTATAAATTTGTAACTGAATATTATATACAATAAAATAAATGGCTGGAAGTAACACAAGTGTAAAAATCTAAAAACTAAGTCTGAGATCAATGACTGACAGACCAGACACTGTGGCTCACACCTGTAATCCCAGCACTTTGGGAGGCCGAGGCAGGTGGATCACCTGAGGTCAGGAGTTCGAGACCGGCCTGGCCAACATGGTGAAACCCCATCTCTACTAAATATACAAAAATTAGCCAGGCATGGTGGCGCATGCCTGTAAACCCAGCTACTCTGGAGGCTGAGGTGGGAGAATCACTTGAACCCAGGAGGCAGAGGTTGCAGTGAGCAAAGATCATGCCACTGCACTCCAGCCTGGGTGACAGAGCAACACTCCGACTCTGTCGGAGGCAGGTAGATGGAAGCACAAGAACAGAGCCGGCGCCTCCGAGGCAGTGGTTCCGTCAAGTCCACTGAAGGTTTCAATAGCGCTGTGGTGTCTGAGCTCTTCTCAGTGTGGTCCAAAATTCAAGTCAACTCCACCTAGATCTTGCTCCCCTTTTGAAGGGAAATGTAGATAAAAGGGAGAAATTCCCAAAAGCTAGGAAATATTTGCTTCTAGGCTGGAGAGGACAGTGTTGAGGAATGCAGACCTCCTTTGGGAAGAGCCCCACAAGATGGGACAGCCTGAGGGGACCTTAACATACCCAGCAGCCTTTTGCTACTGCTGTCTAAATAGTGAACATCAGAACACATGCAGAGAACTGGAAACACCCTGTGCTTTCTGAGAGGGGACTGCACATACCTGGAGCTCCCACCCCTGCAGCTGTCACAGGCCAGGACCGCAAGGCACAACACACATCGGCTAAAGCCACGACCAGGACAAAGGGAACGTCCCGTCACCGCCCCAGCCCTTCCCACTGTAGACATGGCCAGCCACTGCCCCTCCCACCCTGTGGACATAAGGACGAAGATGTGCCGGGGAAGGTGTCTGGGGTGTCAGGCAGCCACCTCTCCTCCCAGTTAGTTCAAGAGTTAGCTGAGATTTTAGGAGAGCATTTACAAAGTCAGACTCTGCGTGTGAAATCTCCTGAAATGAATTAAAATACACATTTGGAGTTTGAAGCATGCACTTCTTTGTATGCCATAAAGACACTGTGAGGCATGTGAGGTGGCCAAGGCAAGAGGATTCCTTGATCCCAGGAGATCAGGGCTACAGTGAGCTAGAATGGCACCACTGCTCTCCAGCCCGGGTGACAGAGCAAGACTCTGTCTCAAAAAAAGAGAGAGAGAGAGAGAAAGAGAGACTGCAATTTCTTTAGTTTCTGAGATACTTCCAAGACTTCAGTGGTCAATATGTTCAGACTTTGAGATCTAGCCATGTCTAGATGATATATTAATCTCACCTTTCAGTAAGAGAACAAAATCTTTTCTCTTAAGAACATTTTTACTGAATTCCTCTTTGCCTGCTTCTAACTCACGCTGAATAAGTTTCTAACATTCCCTTAAAGTGACATGTTCTATAGCCTCTGATGTATTACTCAGCATTTTTAACTAAAGAACAATTGTCTTTGCTTACGTCCGCATTTCACAAAATTCTCATAGCACTCTATTGATTCCATGTCACCCATTAACACAAAATATTCCAGGACCCACAGCACCAGTCTTTGGCAGCTCCACTCCCTGGCTTCATAGGTTTTGTGAAGTGGATTATTTAGCCTCAAATGGCTAAAGTATATTGCAACAAATTTTCCAACTAATTTTCTTATTATTCTTTTTTTCCAGTTGCTATCTAATAAGAACGCATTTAGTCATCAAGAAGTGAATTACAATCATACATGATGACTACCTAATATAGTTTCATGTTGTTTAATAGTCAAATAGTAAGAAGTTAAGGTCTTATAGTTTAGTTATAAAGGTGTTAAAGAAATGCCTATTGGCCGGCTGCGGTAGCTCACGCCTGTAATCCCAGCATTTTGGGAGGCCCAGGTGGGTGGATCACGAGGTCAGGAGATTGAGGCCATCCTGGCTAACACGGTGAAACCCCATCTCTACTAAAAATACAAAAAATTAGCCAGGCGTGGTGGTGGGCGCCTGTAGTCCCAGCTACTTGGGAGGCTGAGGCAGGAGAATGGCGTGAACCTGGGAGGCTGAGCTTGCAGTGAGCCGAGATCGCACCACTGCACTCCAGCCTGGGTGACAGAGTGAGATTCTGTCTCAAAAAAAAAAAAAAAAAAGAAAGAAATGCCTGTTTTGTTGTATAATGAATTTGTTTGGGGAAGATAAAACATAGAAATAATGTTACTTTTACAAGTCTGTGGGATTTACAATAACACCTCCTTCTCTTTTTGTATCTAGGGATGCTTTCTTCTGATCCATGGTCACTGATGAGTCAGATGCATGAGCTGTGCCCCGATCTGCCTGCCTATCTAGGACCCACCCTCTTCACTGGGCTTGGAGCTTCTCGGGAGAGCACTGATGAGAACCAGACCAGCCAGCGTTCAAATCCCTGCTCTTTCACTTAGTAGGGGCGTGACTGACAAAATGACATGTTTCTCTCCCTGAACCCCAGTTTCCACATCTATAAAATGTGGGTATAAATACCTAACTCACAGGGTATTTGTGAGGATTAGATAAAAATAACATGTGTTGAACGTGTAACACAAAGTACCTGCTTGCTAACACTAACATGACCTACATCTACACACACTTCCTGTGTGGTCACACACATCCACAGGGCGTGTGTTTAATCCTGTGTGTGGGTGTGTGTTTAATCTCTGTACCCCCCAGACCCAGCACAGCGCATGGCCTGTACTACAAACCACACAAGGCTGAAGAGGGGGGTGGCCTTTCCCAGAAGATGAACGTGTTTATGACGGATGGCAGGACACACATTGCAAGTGTGTACAACTTACAGCAAGACAATATGCTGTAAATAAGAAGGAAGCTCAAAGATGCTGATGATTAATTCTCCTTTTCCAGGGGAAGGTTTGATTCAGCTAGAAACATAGATTTACTCATTGTCCCACAAAATAAATCCCGATAAACAATTATATCACAAAACTCACCAGAGTTCTAGTCCTGTAAGCTCCTGTTATCACAGTCCTTTAAAAAAAGACCCTGCCTTCAATACACTTTCCTAACAAATCCCTTAACATGGGATCTACAGTGACTCCATTTGAGTTTGAATAAACCAGGCTAGTAAAATTAAAGACGTGAGAGATTCCAAGCACAGATGTACTGACTCCATTATAAGAAAAAAGCACACTATGTCAAAATTGAAATAGGAAAAAAGCTAAGAACATACATGCTTTCAACTCTTCAATTTACTTACAGTCACCTAAGCAAACCAGTGATATTAAAAGTGAAATAGTCATAACCATTGATTTTCCTTTGGAAATATTCATTAGGTAACTATGATATCTAAAGGCAGGGTGTGGGCGCCCTGGGTATAGCGTACTGATGGGCGTTAACTAAAGGCGGGGTGTGGGCACCCTGGGTATAGCGTAGTGAGGGGCGTTAACTAAAGGCGGGGTGTGGGCGCCCTGGGTATAGCGTAGTGAGGGGCGTTAACTAAAGGCGGGGTGTGGGCGCCCTGGGTATAGGGTACTGACGGGCGTTAACTAAAGGCGGGGTGTGGGCGCCCTGGGTATACGGTACTGACGGGCGTTAACTAAAGGCGGGGTGTGGGCGCCCTGGGTAGAGCGTAGTGAGGGGTGTTCACTAAAGGCGCGGTGGGGACGCCCTGGGTATAGCGTACTGAGGGGCGTTAACTAAAGGCGGGGTGTGGGCGCCCTGGGTACAGTGTACTGACGGGCGTTAACATCTGGGTGCCTTGACACCATCAAATAATTGGCCTGAACACGTCATCCTTTGGATAGCGAAGAGATCGTTAAAAAGCCACCGTCCCTGCTCTGTCTGTCCTTCCCACCCACCTGAAGTCCACTTTTATCTGCGGTGATATCTATAGGGGTTGGTGACCCTGATGCGAGTCCTGTTTTGGGGACTCCTCGATTCAGCCAGCAGTTTGCCTGGTTGTTTCAGATGTCGGCTTGTGCTTTGCCTGGGAAGTAGCCAGAACCCAGAGGCAGGGCAGCAGGGACCTGCCCAGTGCTATGGGTTGCATGAGAAGTCTCTGGTAGTTTTCTCAGTGATCCGTACCGACCCAGAGAAGCATGAAATACAGAAAACCTTGCTGTGTCTTCAGGCTTGGTCTTGTTTTCTTCTGTTTTTAATTTTAATGATTGGGCTTGTTTTGGTACTTTTAATCAAGTCTAGCGGGAAACCAACTGACTGGAAATTTGGAGTCTGGTTTCTACAAATTATTTATTAGTTCTGCTTCAGCTCTCTGTTCGCTTCCAGAGAAAATCTGTGTTACCAGTAAAGCCACCTTTGGTGACTGAGACACTAGAGAAATTTGTCTGTAACACTATCAGGCATTTCTCCTCTGCCTCCTTCTTCCACGTCCTCCCCACTGCCGTGAGGGCCCCCTTCCCTGAGCTAAAGGTTGTCATCATTGCTCAAAATTATAAAATTTTGAGGGGAAATGGCAGTGCCTTGATGTTCCCCAGGGAGCGCCTGGTCCCAGCTGTGCGCCCTGGACAGCCCCATCTATGGCATGGCCTCCATCGGCTGCTGTCATACTTACTTGTGACACCAGTTCACTTTCATTTCGTCTGTAAAATACTTCATGAAACACTGAAGTCGTATTCCTTCTGGGGTGCAGAGTACCTTCAGTGGCGAAGCAGATTTCCCTGCAGAAAATAAAACATCCTCAGATCTAGGAAAAGGAGTGCCTGCTGTGTGATCACAGAAAGCATCGCGGCGGCAAGCCCTCCTGTCCCCACCTGCAATCCTGTTCTCACTTGTGTCTCTCATAAAGTCGGCCAGCCACAAATTCTTATACTTTATTCCCATGCTGTCTCCATTCATTAAACAAGCTCTTACCATGCTAGAATTATCTGAAAAGCTCTTTGCAGAATACTGTAAAAGATATAGAACTGTCTAAAAAGATTCAACATCTGCCCCTCAGCAGCTTTGCTTAAGAAAAGGAGGCAAAATAACAACAGTGCATGGCAAATGCTACGTGAGTTAACCCCAAGCTGAACTATCGTAGAAAATCTGCAAAAGGGACGTTAAGATTTAGCAGGACTCTTTCAGGTGGGAGTCAAGCAGATGGGAGCACCTCGGCTGGTTCTTCAAGACAAATGAAACTTGGGTCAGAGGAAGGAAAGCAGAAGAAACCCCAGGGGCAATAAGAAAATGCAATAAACGAGAACACACACAGTGTACTTGGAATAAAAATGAAGACTAATTCGCTTGAGGTAGATGATCTATGGGTCAGAGGTCAGAAAGGAGAAGATAAGGAAGTAGCACTGATGAAGGCAGAAGCTCTGAACTGGAAGTAGAGATTGTTATCAGATATTCAGCCTTGGAAATTTACATTCACATACAGTTACCTAGAAAACTAGATTTACATAATTAGCACAGATAATGGAAAATAAGATGATCACCAACTGTTGTGGAGGATAGTGTAACAAAGAGGCATTTTAAATAGTAATTTTTCATTTTGGGAAGCAACTTGAAATTTATATTATGAATCTTAAAATTACTTTTAGTTTTTACATAGTTATTGTGCTTCTAGGAGTTCAAAGAACATATTCCTAAATCCTGAAAGAGCCTTTGCTTGCCCAAAGGTGTGCATTGTACAATTATTTAAAATAATGGAAACTCATTAATTTCTCTATAGAAAAGAGCTTAAACCATGATATGTGGTTCCATGAAATAATAAGTAATTATTTTTTAAAGTGAATGTTAATATAACATCTATATAAAACAAAGAAAATTATAAAATATGTGGGGGAAAAAAACAACATGAACGGTATTTGTGACTCCGACTATGTAAAGAAATAGAAACCAAAATAGAAACTGTTATGATGGTGAAGCTCTTTGTTTTCCTTTTATCCTTAAATACACATGAGGAAAGAAAGAGCACCAACCAAAAATAAATAAACAAAGGCCCCCTCCGTGACAGAGTTGAGGAAGAACGAAGAGATGGTGTGCGTGAAGCTCTCTCCGGCTGCGTCATGGCGTCACGCCGAGGTACTGCCTGCCTGCGGCTGCGCCACCGCGTCACGCCGAGGTACTGCCTGCCTGCGGCTGCGTCACCGCGTCACGCCGAGGTACTGCCTGCCTGCGGCTGCGTCACCGCGTCACGCCGAGGTACTGCCTGCCTGCGGCTGCGTCACCGCGTCACGCCGAGGTACTGCCTGCCTGCGGCTGCGTCACCGCGTCACGCCGAGGTACTGCCTGCCTGGACTTCCACACCTCCCTAAACCCCGCTAGTCCACTGCAAAGGAGGAAACCACCCAGGAACCTGAGGGACAACAGGGGAGGAAATGACAGAATTTGAGCCCATCCCCAGAGCTTCTGGAGGTGGAGGGAGGGGCATGAGGTCTAGGGAACTGTGCGGGGCTAAGAAAGCCAAAAAGTGCGCAGGGAACCGAGTGAGCTCAGGACTTGGAGGGTCCCTGCATCTGGGCCGGCTGCAGACAGGAGGGTTATTGAAAATCTGTAAGGCAGAGATCCCTGACCACCATCTCCCCTCCCCAGTCAGGTGGGACTCTGTTTCCTCTACTCGGAGACAGGAGTTCACCCTTCAAGGAATCACAACTTGAAAAAGAGCTTGGGAACTGGGTGAAGTCAACACACTGCAGAGCCATATTCCCCCACCCGACCCCCCTTCCCTCTGCTCAAATTCCCTGACACTGACTCATGAGACCAACACCACCCTAACCAGGCAGAACACGGGAGGGTCGGAGCAGCCTGAGAGCAAAGCACACAGACCAGAAGCAGCTCCCCCAGCCTCTATCAGCCTCTCCCAGTGCTCCCCCAGCCTCCGTCAGCCTCTCTCAGTGCTTCCCCATCCTCCCCCAGTGCTCCTCCAGCCTCTATCTGCCTCCCCCAGTGCTCCCCCAGCCTCCATCAGCCTCTCTCAATGCTCCCTCAGCATCCCCCAGTGCTCCTCCAGCCTCTATCAACCTCTCCCAGTGCTCCCCCAGACTTTATCAGCCTCCCCCAGTGCTCCCCCAGCCTCCATCAGCCTCTCCTAGTACTCCCCCATCCTCCCCCAGTGGTCCTCCAGCCTCTATCAGCCTCCCCCAGTGCTCACCCAGCCTCCATCAGCCTCCCTCAGTGCTCCCCCAGCCTCCATCAGCCTCTCCCGGTGCTTCCCCAGCCTGTATCAGCCTCCCCCAATGCTCCCCCAGCCTCCCAGGGCTCCTGTGTATGAGTCTGTATGCATCAGTGTGTGAGTCTACACAAGTGTGTGCCCATATGAGTAAGTGTGTGTATGAGTGTGTGTGTCAGTGTGTGAGTTCACATGTAAGTGTGTGCATGTATGAGTGTGTGAGTGTGTAGGGTGTGGGTACACTGGTGTGTGTCAGTGTGTGTGTATGTCTGAGTGGGAAATCGTGTGTGTGTGACTGCTGTGTGAGTGTGGGGATGTGAGTGTGTGGGTGTGAGTGTGTTGACAACATGCCTTCCACTTCTTCCATTCTGATATGTCAGGGAGAGACTCCAGCCCATGGCGTCCAGTTTCCCATGAGAATAAAGGCTCCCTATTGATATGGGAAGTTCTGGGCCTGTCCCCTCTGTCCCTATCCAACTCCCAACATAATGTGCATGTCCCCTCAGCCGCTGCATCTCTGCTTCGAGGTGACAAGCACACAGTGAGGACTCTGCTTTTTGCATTTTCCTTATAAACACTCACTCTTCAAGACCTTCTGGTCAGTTCTATTATCCATGAGTGGCCCTTGGACACATTATGAGATATTTTAACACAAAATAATTTCATGAGTATAAGAGTAAAGCCACATTTTTACTACCCAAAGCAATCTAAAGATTGAATGCAATTCTTATCAAAATTTCGATGTTGTTTTTCACAGAAATAGAAAAATAATCCTTGTCCAGGCACAGTGGCTCAAGCATGTAATCCCAGCACTTAGGGAGGCCTCGGTGGGCGGGCGGGCGGATCACAATGTCAGGAAATGGAGACCATCCTGGCCAGCATGGTGAAACCCCATCTCTACTAAAAATGCAAAAAAATTAGCTGGGTGTGGTGATGCGTGCCTGTAGTCCCAGCTACTCTGGAGACTGAGGTAGGAAAATCGCTTGAACCCAGGAGATGGAGGTTGCAGTGAGCCGAGATTCACCCACTGCACTACAGCCTGGCAACAGGGAAAGACTCCGTCTCAAAAAAAAAAAAAAAAAAAAAAGGAAAAATAATCCTAAAAGTCGTATGCAACTAGGAAAGCCTCTAATAGCCTAAACAATCCTTAGGAAAAAGAACAAAGCTGGAGGCATCGCACTCCTGATTTCAAAATATATAGTTACAGAAACCAAAACAGCATGGCACTGACATTAGAACAGACAGATCGGCCAATGGAACAGGATAAAGAGCCCAGAAATGAAACTAAATATTGATGGTCAATTGATTTTCAACAAAGATGCCAAGAAGACACAATAGGGAAAGACAGTCTCTTTAATCAGTGGTGCTGGAAACACTGAATATCCACATGCAGAAGAGTGAAATTGGCGCTTTAACTTATGCCACATGGAAAAATCAACTCAAATTGGATAAAAGACTTAAACATAAGACCTGAAACTGCGAAGCCGCTGGAAGGAAGCTCGTGGGGGAGATGCTTTGCAGCATGGATCTGGGCAGTGATCGCTTGGATAGGACATCAAAAATACAGGCAACAAAAGCAAAAGTAAATAAATGGTACTGCACAAAACTAAAAAGCTTCTGCACAGTAAAGAAAACAATTGACAAAAGGAAGAAAGAACCCATGGATTGGGAGAAACTATATTCAAGCTATGCATTGGCTAAGGGACTAATATTCAAAATCCATAAGGAACTGAACTCCACAGGAAAAAAACAAATAACCCATTAAAAATGGGCAAAGGATCTGAACAGATATTTCTCAAAAGAAGACAGAAAAATGGCCAACAGATACTTGAAAAATACTGAACATCTCTAATCATCAGGGAAATGCAAATTAAAACTGCAGTGAGATATCATCTCACACCTGTTAGAATGGCTATTATCAAAAAGACAAAAGATAAAACACTGGCAAGCAGAGAAAGGAACACTTGTGCATGATTGGTGGCATGTAAATTAATATAGCCACTATAGAAAAGAGTGTGGAGTTTCCTCCAAAAACAAGCTGAACTGACATGTGATCCAGCAATCCCACCTCTGGGCATTTATTTGTAAAGATAACATATGGTTTAATGTGTACGACGCAAAGTGAGAGGTTTAAAAATTCATTACGGCTATTCAACATATGTAAAAAGCTGCTCATAGCAATTATATACAAAGCAGTCATGCCAATTAACCTAAGACAGGATGGAAGAAGTGGCTAATCAGGACGCCCAACCTGAGTTTCTTAAAGTAAAACTCAAACTCCAGACAAAACTGAGGGAAGTCCTTTAAAAAGCTTCATCGGCAGCAGATCACCACCCTGCCCTTCCATCCAGGGCCTCCCACAGAACACGCACCACAGCTCCATGGTGCCCTCTTTTGCAGCAGTGACTTCCCGTGTCAGGAAATAGTGATTTCAGCACCCCAAATGACTTGAAAATTAAAAGGCATTTACTTACCACAGACTCTACTCATTGCCAAAATCATATCATCATACACTGAAAATGAGAAGGGATACGCACCATTACGACATGTAACTTTAACCGAAAGCAGCATTTTCAATGTTTAATTAAATCGATGCAGGAAATTGTGATGTTCAGTTGAAAAATGAATCATTAAAATGGCAATATTTATCCATAAAAGACTTATGTGTGCGATAAATCCTTCTAACCTATTCACTTTTAAAAAAGGATCAAGAACGTTTTACTCAACATAAATCCAACTCTACATTCAACTGAATCACTGCCTCAGTGTTTCCATCATTTTAACTGCATTAGTAATGCGTTGCTTGGCTTCTGATGATGGACCGAAATGACGTTTCATATAAACCCAGAGTAATATCATACATTATTCTAAAACACTGAAAAAACTCTGAAAGCAACCAAAGAACAAATAGTTTTTTTCTACAGTGTTACTGCTAAAGACACAATGTGTGCTATAGCTGAGGCTAGACATAGACCTGCCTTCAGAATACATCCCATCCTGTTGGTGAAAGGAATTTCTTGTTCACAGAACAAAGGAGGTTTTCTTTTACCTTTGCCAGCTATTTCAAGGATGGACACATCTTGGCCTCTGTCATCTTTCAAGGTTGCCTTGTATTCACCGTGGTCCTTCTTTGACAACTACAAAGAAAACACATTCCATATTTATGTAAAGTCAATACTGCAATCTTAGAAAACGTAATAAACTCTAATACATTTTCTTTGCAAACCACCGAAATTCAGGATGCAAATTAGAGGATTGTAGAATTTACGAGTTATTTGAAAGTGCCGTTTTTGTTTTGCTTTCTTGTGTTACTCAATGCCTGATACCTTTGGGATGAGGAGCTCACAGATTCCCCTCTCCAGGTTAGGCAGTGTCTCCGTTTCATACAGAACATCATCCTTGAGCCATTTGAAAACGGTTTCTTTCTTGGTGTTTGCAACCTGTGAGGTAGAAAGCTTAAGTTTAGTGTGTAAATCATTCTGACTCATGAGAAAAAGAAAGTCTATTAGAATCTTAAATCACAGAGCCCCCCCCTCAAAAAACCTTAGTTTTTACTATAGACAGTCTCAGACGAAGGCTTATGGAAAAGCTGTCGCTCCCAATAACGTCAAACACATTTCTAAATTCCAGCTTCTAAGAAAATTAAGTCCTCACAGTTGCTCACAGAAGGACAAATGATTCTCGTCATTCTAGTCCATGAAATTAGACTAGGCATAAAGATCTTTTGGTCTATATGAAATGTCATTAACAAAGACAAGTCTTAAGCAATATATATGGGGATTTCTGAATAATAGAGAATATTCTGAGGGGTCTGTAAAGCTGGTTGGCAGCTGCTCTTTTAACAGCATCCCATTTCAGGTACAGGGACACAAAGAAAATGAAATCTTAACACAAAAATGCTCACTAGAGGTGAGGACCTTCCCTATACTGAAATTCCTCACAATTCAATCGCTGGCTAGAAACTAAGCTTTGCGGAACTCCGAAGATAAATGAGCATTCCAATTCACATGCTCCGGCATTGGTCTGAGGGACGAGGAAGAATTCTGATTCAGCATGGCAGAATGTTTGAATCCCATGAGATTATACAAGTCTCACAATTCGATGTTCACATCCCATGTGAATTCAAGAAGAGTGATGTTGATGACAAAAGAATGAAAATGATTCAACAGTGTCATCAGCTCTGCTAGAGTAACAGTGCAACACAGCTTAGAATTTCCACATCCGCTATGGGAAATGGCATCGTTCTCGACAGCACTGGGACTGAATCTCTGTGAAGCAGGGGTTTCGTCTGTTTCACTAACACTTGTCCCCAAGTGCATGGCTGCCTGCCTGGCACACAGAAGTTGTCCCATCAATGTTTGTGGAATACATAGATGGAAGGTATCCCACTGAGCTGCAAAGTAGTGTCTTCCTTCTAAATCAGAACCACTCCTTTATAACAAATCTTAGAATGGACTGCGGCTGAGGCTCCACGACTCTAGCAGACGATTCCCTTTACTTTAACATTTCAAAATTTTCTTTGGTGTCTGTTTTCAATGCCAATCTAATTGCTTACTGTCTCTTAAGTCAATACTGTTTTCTCTTCATCTCTTCTTCAAAAAAATTTTACATTGCTGGTCCTTTCCAATAAATGCCTTTCCAATGACCTTCAATTACTGTTTTCTGAAATAAATATCTGTAATTAATGTATTTGTCCTATAATTGGGGGAGACGGTTCTAATTCCCCAAAATAACTCATTTGTTTCTTCTCTGCACTCCCTCAAATTCTCTCTACCATAAACTCTTTAAAATATGGGCACCTAAACTGCACATGAATGTCTAGGAAAGATGATTACATCACCTCTTAGGCTACGTATGGCCCATGCCTGACTCACACTTCCTAAGAGTCAGCGCTAATTCTCCACTTCTGCTGTGTAAGGAATGTTTAACAGATTTTCTTATGTTTATGATTGTGGTTTCTCTGTGTCTGAAACTTTTAAAAATGGTTTTCTCTGAAGTTACAATGTGACTGCATCCTTGCATAAGTTTTTCTCCATCTATTTTTTCACGTTAATAATTTTTAAAATAACCATCTGCACCACATTATTAAATGAAAAACCCTGTAGACAAAATGGTGCACCGAATCACAGGCTTGACAGGGACACAAGTATGTAAATCAAATGTATTAAATTGCACAAAAAACCCTCAAACCTCAAGTAATATTAGTTTTCCCAATATCTGTGTTTAAAGATTTATGAATCACTTTAGTCAGGGAACCTAAAATAATTTTAAATATTTATAGACGGTTCTATCCCACTAAGATGATATCAGAGCCCATGGAAAGCAGAACTCGGGGGTCTCGCCACTGGCCTTGGGAGTGCACACACACCTTGTATGGCACGGTCAGAACAACAATACCAACAACAACAAAAAGAATAAACCAGCACCATAACCAAGTCACACTGACTTGCTCTGGGCTTTGAGTTGCTGACTCCCTAAGGAACTGATTTTTGCAGTGCTGATGTCTAAAATTTGGAAGAAACATACCTTTCTGTGCAGGGTAAATAATTTGAGAAAGTTGTTTTTGCAGCATGAATGGACTACATACACAGGCTATCATCAGTCACCTGGCAGGATTCTTCCCTTTAAATGTCCATTATGCTTTTCATTTGTTGAGCAAGACTTCTAAAGACCACTTCCCTTGCAGCTTCCTTGCAAGTAACCTTCTCTTCTTTTATAAATGTTTTCATTTCTGAATCTTCCTTTTAAACACACTAGTGCAAGAAATTCACTACCAAAAATAAATCTAAGTATTTTTCTATAATAAATTTACCACAACCTTGAGCATGTTATCGAACCTATCAAATCAAAGCCTTAGCTCTAGTTATCACTAATATATATATAATGTATTATCAATTATATATCTATATAAATTTCTTTCAAGAAGAGAGGAAGGGAAAACAGTATTGATTTAAGAGACAGTAAGCAATTAGATTGGCAATTAAAATATATATATTATATATTTATATATAATATAATATATATATATATATACAGGAAATCAAATTGCAAATTAATTACCAATACTGAGGATGGTCAGAATAGTAAGACGGTTCCTTTCATCACACAAATTTCTAGGAGTAACCTGCACCTATCTAGGGTGTGTTCAACAGCCACCTAGTTCCAAACCCCCATGCCCCATCCTCCTGCAAATCCCCTTGCCCGGGTCCACTCCCGAGTGCACTGCAGACCTCTGCTCCACAGGCACGCACTTGCTCTTCACGGCAGGTCCCCACCTGACACTTAGGCTCATCAACAAGCTCACACCCCAGTGTCCCCGCTGAGGTGGCCAAGTGGAGATCACCAAGGCTTAGCCCTGCCTCCTCTCCATTTATCCCGCCTGGCCTCACTTTCCTGCTCAACTTAGACAGCTGGTTGACCAACTAACGACAGTTAAACAAGACCCAAAGTTCCTATTCCATCTTCCCTTCTTGCAACTTCCATCCAGCAAGACCCCAATCATGAGTCTGTCCCCTGACTCACACTAGGTCACTGGCCACATCTGGAAAAATCAATCCCAGCACCCCTATGTGGGCCACTACGAGCTATCTCCACGTTGATGCACTCAACAATGATTTCCATTCTTAATAAGGAGCTGCTGTCTTGCCTCCTTCAGTGGCAATCACAGCCCACTCCTGCCACTCCCCCCACTGTGGGCTACCTTCCTCATCTTCAACACCCTCCAACCCTTCACTGGAAAGAGTGTGAAACCAACGGGCTGCACTGATGGATCTGCCGCTTGCTCTGCCCTGGTTTTTGGCATCCCCCCCGCCCCCTCATTGTCCTTCACAGGGAGCTGCCCTGGGGGCCAAGCAGCCCCTTGCATGGCTGTGCTGACCTGGTCTCATCTCCCTCCAGGCCAGCACTGCCCCTCCTGTGTCCCCATGTGCTCCCCTTCCTTCACCTGTGAGTCCTCTTCCACTGACCCCTCTGCCTATAAATAGGATTGAGCGTCTCCATCCAGAAGGAAAGACAAAGCCACCCTGACTCCCCTCGCTCTCCCTCACTGCCAGCTGAGCACCTCAGAGGGCAGCGGGCTCCTGCTCGTATCCCCCCTTGTGTCCCATCTCCTCAGCCCACCACGTAGAGACCCTGCCTTGCCAGGGAGTGGGGTTGGAAAGCCCAGCACCCAGCCCGTGCTGCCTCCAGCTGTCCCTGCTCAGCCGGCCATGCAGCGCTGCCTCCAGCCGCCCCTCCTCACCCGGCCACGCAGCGCTTCACTCCAAAGTCCCTCCCTGCCAGAGGCCACCAAGTCACTTGCTTTCCCTCTGAACTCTCTGAGGGTTTCTGCTTAATAATCCTGGAGCTGGTCTCCTCTTCTCCTCTGACAATCTGAATTTTCCAGAATGCCCCAATTGTTTGTGATGTTCCTGTCTCTAAAGGCTGTCCTTTGGCAGCTTGACCCACTTGCGTCATGTCCACAGCCAAGCATTCCCAATACCTCATGAATCCACACACGATATCTCATGAATCCACATGCTCCAGATGACTTTCCCATTGCTGCCAGGTTCACATGTCCTGTCGTGAGCCGGTTATGCCTTACTGACCATTCCACGGATATAACTAAATCTTTGTGAAATTGAATGTATTCTCAAAACCCTAAAACTTGGCCCTCCCCGTACAGTGCTGATCTCAAGAAATATCACACCCACTCGGTCCTCCAGTACACTTCCCTCTCACCCACACCCAGCTACTTGCCAGCCCCTGCTGGTTTTAACTGCTGGATGTGTATCCTAAATCTCCTTCTCTCGGTGGATATGAAACTGCCCTGCTGGAGTTACCATCTCTCAGCAGCCTACTGAAGCGTCGTCCTCCAGCCCTGCCACCTCCAGCCTTCCTTGTCAACCAGCAGCCCGTGTCACTGCACTAACAGCCCTCAGGTGCTCTGTACCCTCTCAGTCCATGGCCAGCCTCTGGGTCCTGCAGGGGAATGCCCCACTTGCCCACCAGCCTTGGGTTTTTTATTGTTTTTATTTTTAAGTGCACAGTTCAGCTTCTCTGTCCCTCCCTGCTGCTGGATCTTCCTAGAACCATCTTTTCCCACTCACTGGCCTGCATAATTCTTAGTCCCCTTGGCACACGCAGCTCACGAATCATCTCTTTATTGAAACTGTCTGTTTACTTTTCTCTCTTATCCAGTAGACAATAAGAAACTAGTTTGGGAGTAAAAACAATGCATTATTGATCTTTTTCCCCCATCCCCTCATCCTGAGACAGTCAAATAGTAGGCAGTTATTAAATTGAAGATTTGCTGCTTAAAAAACAGATTTTTATATTTAGTAATAAAACATATTTCATTACTACATTGTTAAACGAAACTGAAAGAAGTATCTTGTCTCCAAAGCATGCCTTTCCTTTCCTGATGAACTCGTATGAGCAGCACTTCTAGGTGTATTTCACCAGGGCACACTTTCTCATAAACTCACTTAATAATCGTTTAAGTAAAATTTTTATAATCCAACCTTCCATTGCATCCCACTACACTGTAATCTTTTCGTGAAGAAGAAAAGATAAGCACTGAAGTCCAAGTATTAAAAAGTCCACAGGACCCAAAAGCCACTCCGCCCATCCGCAGCTACACAGGCACCACACGTTTCCTCACCAGCATCACAGATCTGGCCACAGCTACTCCCTGAAAGGCCTCTCTGATAGGAACCAGAATGAGATTTATTGTTTTCCTGTTAGAACCGGGTTTCTCACCTTGCAAACAAGTCGAACTTCACATTCTTCCGTGACATCCCAGTGCAAGTACTCAGCAAAATGAGGGCCTAGGGAGGAAAAAAGGGAAGAAAACATATAAAAAAGGAAAAAGTAAACAAATAAATATATAGCTATTATATATATATACCCACACATATATGCATGGTGTGTATATATAATACATAAGAATGTATTATATATATTTATGTAATGCATTTTTGGCAGAACACAATAGCTGTGGAGGATGAAACTGAGATAGTTTTCAGGCCTGGGATGTCGACACGTGTTAACACTGATTCTCCACTGGAATCTGTGCTTCCTGGTAGGAGCGTACGTCTGATGGCTCCTTCTTACTGACATCTCATATCTATTGCTCTTCAGAAAGGAGGCTATTGAAATAATTATATTTTGTTTCCCAAAGTATATGTCTAACTGAACATTCGACAACATGGTAAATAATACCTTTAAATAAGAGAATAGATATGAGATAAAGAAACAACAGTTTGACCTAGCAATTTTGTAAAACACATTTTCTTTAGATAGCATTCAAAATCAAAGACAGGTTTATATATGTTTTTAAAAAATGTTAATCATTTTTATTTAAAATACATGTAGGAATAAGTCATACACTAATACCCTTTTGCCATTCAATGCAAAAATACAAAGCAGATTTGGAAAGTATGTGTTCACTTCTTTCATATACATAAATACATCCTACAAAGTTGGCCCAAAAATGTTCATAATGTAGAAGTAAGTAAAATATTTGTGACTATTAGAAATAAAAACAATGAAAAATAATAAAAATGAATGTTTTGATTTTATGTTTCATAATTCACATTCTAATTTTTCTCAAGAAGTTCAGAAATCCCATATATAAAAATGTTTTTTGAGGCTGGGCGCAGTGGATCACCCCTGTAATCCCAGCACTTTGGGAGGCCAAGGCGGGCGGATCACGAGGTCAGGAGATCGAGACCATCCTGGTTAACACGGTGAAACCCCGTCCGTCTCTACTAAAAATACAGAAAAAATTAACCGGGCATAGTGGCGGGCGCCTGTAGTCCCAGCTATTCGGGAGGCTGAGGCAGGAGAACGGCGTGAACCCGGGAGGCGGAGCTTGCAGTGAGCCAAGATGGCATCACCGCACTCCAGCCTGGGCAACAGAGCAAGACTCCATCTCAAAAAAGAAAAAAAATTCTTTGAATAAACCCTTGGGGTATGTTTGAGAATCTAAAGTGTATCCATTTTCCTTTGTATCTAGTTAACATGTATTTGTAAAAGCAATCTATTTAAAACATATTGTTTGTAGTTAGAAAGTTTAACAGCTCCCACAATCTTAAGTAGAATGAGCAATTTCCTGGTGATAGGAATAGCCTCTACTGCCTTCTCTACATTTCAAAGCCAAATGAAGCCACCACCTCCTCTACCCCCATTCTTTATTCTTTTCATTAAAATTGCTGGACTCCGTCTGGACATTAAAGCTAGAGGCACGCTTTCCTCTTCACTCCCCTGCTATAAAGCAGGTTCCTTTCCTATGCAGTTGGTAAGCCTAACCTCTTAATCATTTAAAACAGCCTTTAGGGTTGCTTGGGATCATGCAAGATCTGCTTCTGACAAATACTCCAATCATCTTTGCTTTATGCTAGGGGCAGGGGAGCCGGTCAGAGTGAGGAAACTCACCTTGTTTCCTGAGAAATTCTTTCCTTTGAAACTCAGCCTCTTCCAGCACAGTCTTGAATGCTAAATTCAATATTTAAAAAAATATATATGAAACATGTTTGCTTCTCTCCAGTCAAAAGAATTTCATTTGAATTATCTTGTATGGACGTGGAAATATTCGATATAGCATACCATCTCCAATAAGAACTAGAGAAGACTGACTTTTGGCTTTCCCATCATGAATCTGCACAGTGTAGGTCCCCTCATTTTCAATACTAAATCGATCCATCACCATCTCAATAATGCCAGTAGCTTTGTCACATTTAATTCTGTGTATCTGCAAGCAAAACAAGGGAAATGGAGAATTATACAAGGAAATCTCTCCTAGTTTTCCCTTGCAACATTTAACAATTGCATCAGCCATGAGATCTCAAGGGATTATGATAGGAAGAAACCAAAATGAAATTTTATCAAGGAAACCTCTGGGTGAACAAGGATCAAACAGTGGGTATGAGCTGTCACTCAGTGACAAAGCCTGGCTGTGTGAGGAGATCTGAGAGTCCAAACCAGGGACCTTCTAGGCAGAGACTCCACACCTACCCAAGAATGAGTTACTAACGTGAAGCAGATAAAATTCACAGGAGAAAATAAAATGATACGCAATTGATATGAATGATAACGATCACCAGCTGATGACAAAAATCCCACATGGATAGCAACAACAGGCAATCTCCACAGCCACTGTCATCTTCAGCTCCCGGGACACAGCACCCACAAGCCCCAGCCTGCTGTGGTCCATCAGGGTGCAGGGGTTTCAGGTGAGGAAAGGATAAATGGACCTCCAACAGGTGTTGACTTTTTTGATCGCTTTTATTTTTTAAATGTTTCATTTTATTCTACAGTACATGCACAGATACATATGAATGTGTTCTATTTAGGTAATCCTACAAGTCAAAGAACAAGTGTTTCTCTAACACACAGATGAATTGAGCAAATTTGATCTTTTGTTTCCCTCTGATTTTGTGATGTTTACTTATTAACTTTTTAACTTCACTAAAACCATTTTCCCCATCTTTATTAATGCTTATTTCTCTTTTTTATGTTTTGTTTGTTTGTTTTTTGTTTTTTTTTTGCTGGTTGCCTTATTTGGGGGCTTGATATTTTTACCTTTTTGTGCTTCTTGATAATTATTAAAGTTATAAATTAATATTAATACTTAAATTTCACTTTTTCACTTAAATAACTCTAATTCTAATGAAACCTTTCAAAACATCAATCAGCCTGTGTAATTTTTAGAACTGTTTCAAACCAATTTCATATGGTATTGGTCTTTGCCAATATATGTTCTTAATATATTAGACCATCTCTTCCTTGTAATTCTGAAAACGAGTTTTCCTGTGTAGCAGTATATAAATTTGTCACATCCCTGTGGTCCCAGCTACAGGGAAGGCTGAGGCAGGAGGATCGCTTGGGCAACAGAGAAAGACCCTGTCTCAAAAAAATAAAAAGAAAAAAGAAATTTTGTTAGGCTGGGTGCAGTGGCTCACACCTGTAATCCCAGCACTTTGGGAGGCCAAGGTGGGCAGATCACCTGAGGTGGGGAGTTCGAGACCAGCTTGGCCAACATGGTGAAACTCCAACTCTACTAAAAATACAAGAATTAGCCAGGTGTGGTGGCGCACGCCTGTAATCCCAGCTACTCAGAAGGCTGAGGCATGAGCTTGAACTCAGGAGGCAGAGGATGCAGTGAACCGAGATCACAGTCACTGCACTCCAGCCTGGGCAACAGAGTGAGACTCTGTCTCAAAAAAAGGGGGAAAGAAGAAATTTTGTCATATATAATGCATACAACCAAACCACAAACATTTGCCCACACAGTTCCCCCTCCCTGCCTGCAGTGCAGCTGTCTTGTTGCTAAGATAGGAGAAAGACTGGAAGGCTGTTGGTTGGTCTGAGAACACTACTTTGCATCACTTCATGATTTCTAGGTTACACTGTATCACAGGAACAGTCCACAGAAGCCTGGACTACCTGCCTCTCTGCTGCTTTGGTGATGAATGCAGGGATACATTTCATGCCTTGGAGTTCCCTGAGGGCCATGCCCCAAAGTTCTGAGCTTGCAGGCCTCTCTGCAACAGTGCAGCTTCTGCCCATCCTTGTCGTGGCCACCTCACCCGAATGCAGCCCTTGTGACTGGCTCCAAGGGAGACTTCCCTGATGCCCCCGGGTGAGGCTTGGTGTTTTATGGGGTTTCCACAGCTCTGCCTCCCTTCCCCCAATAGCACCCTGCCCTTGGGAGCACCCTCCCCACCCTACCTATCCACCTGCCGTCTGTCTGTCTCGCCAGACAATGAGCCCCTGAGAGCAGGCATGGCCTTACTCATCCCTGCAGCCTCACGCTGTGCCCAGCATCATGCCTGGCAGTGAGAAATACCAAACACATGTCCAACAAGGTTCTGATGAGAAAGTCAGCTGGAGGGGGCTTAGCTCACCCTGCCATCTGTGGCATTGAGGTGGCTGTGGTCTCTGACACTACTAAGTGACACTGAGCAATTTTGGAAGATAATTATGCTTCTAGGTGAGAGCCCGCGGACATGGTCAGGACCGGAACTTCCTTCCCAGTGCAGACCTGAGAAGCCTTCTTGATCAACTGAGACCTTCCCCTCCAGATCAGTCATCGGCTGAAACTATGAACCTGTCCCAGTCGGTCCTTCCTCCATCCCTGGCTGCAACTGTCACCTCTCTTCCTTCAACAGCTAACCCCCTGCACCACCCTCTTTGACCTCCCTGCCTTGGTGCAGCCACACCCTGGGCACAGAAGCCCCACCCCAGGCAGCATCTGGGGTAGAGACCTCCCAAGGCCTTCACCTGCTCCCAGCTCACCTTCCCCACACCTCTGCTCACTCAGCCTTTGGGATGTGCTAACAGATACTGAAAGGTGTTATGGCTGCTAGTGGATTGTGTTGTACTCCACCTGGATGATACAGTGTCTGACATTGAGCAGGGTCTTGACGGTAGAAGGACCACATCCCAGTGTGTGACTCATCCTAAATGCAGCAGTAATGCAAGGCACGATGGCGTCGAGGGAATCCAATGTCCAGCGCGGGACTCGCCCCAGCCATGCCACCGTAGAATCACGGGAGTGTGGATGCCCGGCCTCGGCTTCCTCGTGCCCAGCGTTACCAATACGGTAGTCTCAGCTGCTGTCAATATTTTCTGCAGATCTGCATCTACCTGTCGGATCGATCTCAGCTGGAATTGGGGCAAAGGCTTTCCAGCCTGAATAATGATCTTACCCAGGACCCAAGGAGGCTCTTGGGGCCACATGAGCAAAACAAAAAACTAATAACCTGTGGTGCTCGGCAAATGAGGCAGGCGTAGCGGGAGAAGACTCCGTCAGCCCTTGGAACCACACTCCTCTCACAGCCCTTGCCTTAGCAGCAATACTGCAGAGAATTTCTATCTGCAGGTGACAATGTAAGTTTAGCCAGAAAATCAGCAACCTTCTTCTGATAAATCACGTGCATTTGTTTTCACATGTTCTTCTTTCTCTCTGAGTTTACATTTCTGTTTTGATATTGCAAATGCCAGTGCCACCGGAGAGGCTTTAGAAGACGAATATTAGCAAACTGGCCACTTGGTTCAGTTTCTCTCTCTGTGTTCATTTTCTTCAGCATTGTTTCTAAGTTCTTCTGCCTGACATTCAAAGTCTGTATCTTCTGACCCCACTCCTATTCCCCAACACTATTTCCTAAGATCACTCAGGCAAACAGCCCCCTCCGTTGAGCCCACCCCTCCACTTCCCTGTGTCGCTATTCCCTGATCATTCCCCACTCTCTGTGCACTAGAGCGGCTTGGAATGTCTCATTCTCTCCCTCCCATCCCTGACCCCCACCCCCCGACCCATGATTTCTACCTCCTTAACACCCATTTCAATAACCCTCTACCCTTGAAATCCTTCCTGACTACTTCAGCCTCTTCAACTCTCTGCCTTCTCTGAATTCTGAGAGTGTTTACTGTACTGTTTTAATATAACCTGGGTTCTATCTTTCTTCTCTGTCCTCCTCTAATTGAAGGTGTATTTCTTTGACTCCGTGACAGTCTCTGTAAGGGCAACTTCACATCTGACTGTTCTGTCCCTGCTGGTGTATTGGCCAAGTGGATATTCAACAGGTGATGTACAGGGTAGGTGCTGCCGTCCACTGGGAAAGGAAGAGGACCGCCCAAGCTCCCAACAGCTCCCGGGGATGCTGCAATTTTTGTTTCATCGAATCTGACATTCAGGGTTTACGTGTGAATAAAGTCTGCTCCACTCCTACCCCAGGTTTTGATTTCCCATAAACACAAAAATCACCTTCGCAATTAGAAATTACAATATTATATCAGAGATGTAGATCACACAGCGTATACTTGTGTAAGATCACTGAGACTTTTTCTAAACAGAAAACTGGCACAGGAAATTGGTACATCTACAATGATAGAAAGTGACAGAAATGAATGAGAAGGCATGACCTCAGACTGTTTTTGAGGGAGGGAGATTATTTTAAGAAATGGCTCAACTGCAGGAAGCACAACAACTTTGTCCCCGTCCCTGGAGACTGACGTCGCTCTTGGAGGTACCATGAGCAGGAGAGGGACCTGAGATTCCAGTGGATACACCGTCCCGTGGACCTTGGATTTCTTTACAGTGTGGAGTGTTTACTTCCGAATATCAAGAGTAAACTTCAGGTTGATCAGATAAATGCACTGTCCTTATTTGTATGACATTATCCTCACCTCAAACATCTATGAGTAGAGAATGAATGATAGGAACTTACTTTAACTGGCTCTGAGTAAGAAAAAGGTATGATTCTCACTGAGTAGATTCTCAGCAATATAGCAGCTTTTTCCATTTTCTTAGCTGCTGTGCTGCAATGTCTGGGCAGGTTTTACAAAATAATTAGGCTTCTTGCTAATGCCATTATGCAGCAAGATGAAGTTGAATGATTTTATGAGTGCCATAAATACAGACTTTTATATGTCTTCCACAAAATAGCATCAATCTTCAAATGTAAAAGTCACCTGTGCATTGCTAATTAAAGAAGTGAAATAGTACAACCATATTCCAAAAGATTAGCCATGAAGCCAGGGCACCCATCCTGAAAGCAAGCTCTATACAGCAGGCAGGAAGTGCTCATCAAAAGATATCCCGCAAATAAAGTGCCATTCCCCTAAATTCCCTTTCATTTCATAGCATGGTCTCTGCTCAAAGAAGATTTCTCCAATTACCTGGATCAGACAGTAAGTCTCCCATAGGCAATAGTTATACCACTGGCTTTTTTGCAGCCCAAAAGAAGCTAGATGTTTTCTACTTTCTAGCCGACTCTCCCACGTAGGAGTGAGTCTTAAAGTGTGTCATGATTCTCATGGGAAAGACTGACTGGAGAAGAAAATTCTATGATCCTTACCTGCAAGACTTCTGTCTGATCAACATTCATCTAACTGAGTCCTGCTAAATGCCCATCAGACACAAAGGCTGGACTGCAATGAGGGGTCCAGCTTAGAAATATGGTAGGGGGGCTGCCCGGGAGCATGAGAGGCTCCTGCATCCCACAGTTCCCCTAAAACTTGTGTAATGAACAAACCAATCAACACTGAGGACTTAGTACACAGCTAAGGTTGCCAACCACACTCTACACTGGGCATTAAGGGAAAAAGGCAGAAGCAGTAAAGATGGGGGCTCTGAGAGAGCCCCAAGCCACCACTGAACAATAAAGTCCCCATGAAATAGGGCTGTCCTTTAACCGGGTCCCAGGCACGCTATAATTAGAAAAGAGGAAATTTATTGAAACACAACCATTGGCTTCTCAAATATTCTCCAGACAAATAAGGAGTACCTGACATAATTGTTAAGGTTCATTTTATACAATCGAAAGCAGAACCGAGGCGGTGTCTGGACCGTGACAGAGCATGTGCCTTTTTTGTTGTTGTTGTTTTGAGACAGAGCCTTGCTGTCTCCCAGGCTAGAGTGCAGTAGTTCAATCATAACTCACTGCAGCTCGGACCTCTCAGGCTCCAGTGATCCTCCCACATCAGCCTCCTAAGTAGCTGGAACTACAGGTGAGCATCACCATGCCCAACTAATTTCTTAAGTTTTTGTAGAGATGGGATCTCCTTATGTTGCCCAGGCTGGTCTTGAACTCCTGGGATCAAGCAATGCCCCCATCTCGGCCTCCCAAAGTGAGGAGATTACAGGTGAGAGCCGCCATGCCTGGCCAGAACATCACTCTTGACAGCCACACTGTCACATCAGTCTGCCACACCAAGATTGCTGCCCAAACAGGCAGAGAAGCCACAGAAACTTATTCCCCACGGATGCCTTCCATGGGAAGCTGTCAGTGGGGGGAGAATGCAGGGAGGCCTCTCTCACAATACAGCAAAAAATAGATACCTTCAAAACCATTATCAAGAATAAGTGAACTGATTCATCAAGGATATTTTCCCCCACCTGACCTAAACCTTTTCACAAAAAACAAGCTCAAAGTCATTTTTAATTCCAACAGGCTCAGATTTTAAAGACTCCTGATGTCTCCTGTAACCCAGACCAAACCTTTGAACATTGTAAGAATCAACCATCTCCATTCATCTTGTCAACCTTCCATGCCCCAATCTTTAAGGCTCAGAAAAGGATGGAAACAGACAGAGAATGTTGATATTCAGTAACTGACCTACCACAACAAAAGTGGACTCCCTGCAAAGCCAGAGATCACTCACACAGGAACTCACCTCGCTGTCAGAGACTTCTCTGTCGTTAATAATAAATCGGTAGCTGGCATCTGGTGATAAGTGCTCAGCCTGGAGCCAGAAGCGAACCCGCCCCTTATCAAAAATCTCATAAGCTAATTCCGATTTCAGAGGAATTGCTACAGGAAGAAAAGAAATCGCAAGTCAATAATGCATGAATCCTTGTGAGGAAGAATACCTGCAAATTGTAGGGAAATATCAATCCTAGTTATTAGATTTTTGAGAATGTGAAACCCTGGAGTATTAGATTATGGAAGCTAAAAATATAAAATAAAACTTGAGCTGGCCTGTTGTTGCCTCTAAAGCCTCATGCCACATGAGTTCTCAGTTAGCTTTGCAAATGTGTTCGATAAGTAAAGATGCCTGGATTCTTTCTATATTTAATGCAATTCAATAACAGAAGATTTCACTTGATAGGAAATGAAATCTTGGATCTCACTCGGATTAGCAACAGCTATACTAAACCCAAAATTCTAATCACTGTGTACGCAATGCAAGTTTCAACAAGCTATAATATAAGCTAATATTTGTTTTAAATCAATAGGTTTCAATCCTGTAAGCTGGGATCAGGAAATCAGGCCATCCTTTCCCCAAAGCTGTTCTTCCAAGAGCTCATGCATTAATGAACACGGCCCTCCAGCCAGCAGCTGCAAGCAGAGGGGAAGGGCTGGAGGCTTACTTACTGGGGTTCTTTATTTCATTGCTCAATGCCATCAAACGCTCGAGCTCTAAAACGAAGAAAAAGTATTTCAATTCATCTGGACCTGCACCTAGAGAAGTTTGTAGACAACAGCAAGGCGACACACGAGCAAGATTGGAAACCCCCAGGATTTAATTGGAGGACACGAAAGGAATTTAAACTACAAGTCTGAGGGACATAGAGGATAGCTTTAACCTTCACCATTTAAAGAACCCACCTAGTACAGGGGCAGCTGAGGACAAGGCAGGGCACAGTCATGGGGACAAAGGAATTGGGGGCAGGGGTAGGTATATCCCTGGAATATAGGAAGACTTGGAAGACGAAAGGTTAAAGGGAGTCTTTTCCAGATCCTTGCACTTAATGTGAGCTCTTTCCTAAAATTGATTGCACTGGCTGAGAACGTGCTTCTGGCCTGTGACTTTCCTTCCCCTCTCAAGATGTCCTTCTTCAATCTCATTAAAGAAAGATATACACACCGCTCATTTCATCACTATAGTGTATTACCATGAATTTAAAAAAAAAAAAGGAAAGAAGAAAATAACAAAAAAAATAAATAAATAAACAAAATACACTGCATTTTGCATTCCTGAGAAAGTCTCAAGAGCAAGGTAAGAAAATCTGGGCTCTAAGCCACTTCATTTTCTCTCCTTCCTTCTTAAAATTAGAATCAGAAAGAAGATGGTGATCTCCAAGGCCTTCAAGAACATGTCTATTCAAAATGGAAAAATGAAGTTAGATTTTTCTGCCCAAAAGTAAATTCATATTGGCAACTGGTTTCACAGGGAGGACTGGCTTTCCCAGTTCAACCTTCTGGTAGGAATTTCCATACATGGAATGAACTAAATCTTCAACTGCAAAGTTTTACCTCAAATATATTTGAAGTCTATACACAATATAAGAGAAGGTGGAATTTTTTCTTTTGCAAGTATTTAAAAAAGTTAAAATTAAGATGGAAACTTTGAAATGGTGCAGAGGAATGCACAGCTTTTCAGAAGTCCTTCAGGATGTCGTGAAGGTACAAAACTGTGTCAAGACCCTGGAGGCAGGGCCAACAGAGGCTGCTTTAAAAGCATGCAAATGGATTTTGGGTCCTTCCCCACCCTGCCTGTGAGTGGTGAACTGAGGACCCCAGAAAGGCGAGACAGTGCGGCCTCCTCATTTGTCTGCCTGTGTCTTGTTAAATGTGCATGAGTTTTCCTGAATTTCACCAACATTGAGCCAAACCTGCACACTCGAGAAGCCGAGAGTGTGATTCTGGCTTCCCCCTCCGTGGATACCTGCCCATCCTCCTGCCCAGCCCACAGCACCGATCCTGGGTCGGATGTTCTCAGATCACAGCCTCTGCATGATATCAACCAGGACAGTGATTGATAACTAAAGGATCTGCTTGTAAACCTTAGGACTCCCCTGGAGATCATTTATGCCATCCCTGGAGAGCACTTTAATAGAAAACTTTTGGAAATTCAAATGCCTTAGACACCCAAAGAAACCCAGAAATCTGAGGATACCATCCAGCCCTACGAGTTCACGCTGCACCACTGCCCCTTCGTTTAAAAATGTCTAAGGCTGACGCTGTCCTGTGGGTGGGGTAGATGACGGGCCACACAAATACACGTGATGCTAGGCAGTTTAAAAAAATCAGCCCTGCCTGCATGAGACTGTGTGCCTGGTGAACTCAGACCTGTGAACCTATCTAAGAAAACTATTGTTTTTCCCCTTGATCACTAAACAGACTTTTCTCACTTCTCTCTGCCGTCTTCCATGGGTAACACAGCAGCAGATTTTCACTTCGTCAGTTAAAATTATTTTACATGCATAAAAAAATTTTTCTTTGATCATCTGATTTCTCAGTGTTGGAAGGAAGGGAAGACTCTTCCACCCGTAGGTCTCTCATTAATTTCATGGATTTCTTAGTTAATATGTTACCCTCTGCATACCAAACTATTAAAATGTGGCTAAGACTCAACTTTAAAAGTACAAATTGAAGGCTATACAAGCAATATATCAGGACCAGAGACTACTTGGTGGAAACAGTATAAACTTTAGAGTTTGTTTAATTTCTAAAGCAAGTTTTGGCTTATATACATAGCCCCCACCGCCAGCCTCCTGCAAACATACGTCTTTTTTCTAAGCAAGTAAGTCTTTTCTATGTTGGTGTCAATCTTTGAAAGTGTGATAAAACCAAAACAGGCAAGGTTCTGCCATATAAATATTACCTTCTGGGTCCAGAACAAAACTGGAGGACACTCCGTCTGTATCACTTACAGACACGGAGTAAGTCCCTAAATCCTCCTTATCCGGATTCTTTAAGTACAGCTTGGAGCTAAAAAGGAAGAAGAGTAGGTGAATGTCGATCATTTCTGTTTGCAGGAACTTCTAAAAGTTTCCAGTATCCAACTTCCAGGCCTCACTTACTGATCCCCCACGGTTTCAATTTTAAACCTCTCATCATCTGAAATCTCCTCGTAGGATTTACACCAGGTGAACTGAGACGCGTCTGTCATTTCCTGGCAGTCGAAGCCCAGATAGATGTTGCCTTGTTCATCGACACCAGCACTGATTTCCTTGGTGCCTGCATAAGAAGAGTATGAAGTGAGCGGCTTAGGGACACGGTGTTCTTTCAACTCTCTTTTGGGAGAGGGTGATATGGTTTGGCTCCGCGTCCACACCCAAATCTCATCTCAAATTGTAATCCCCAAGTGTAGAGGGAGTGAGGTGATTGGATCACGGGGGTGGTTTCCCCCATGCTGTCCTCATGATAGTGACTGAGTCTTATGAGATCTGATGGTTTTAGAAGCACCTGGCATTCCCCCTGCTGGCACTCACTCTGTCCTGCCGCCCTGTGAAGAAGTGCCCTCTGCCATGACTGTAAGTTTCCTGAGGCCTCCCCAGCCACGAAGGACTGTCAGTCAATTAAACCTCTTTTCTTTATAAGTCACCCAGTCTCAGATATTTCTTCATACCAGCGTGAGAACGGACTAATGCCGAGGGGGTACCCAATGCAGAGACCTCATCTTACACCAAATCATCAGTTGCATTTAATGACCCAGGACTGATGAGAGAATCGTGAGAGAGAAAACACTTTAGGGAGGACCTGGAGGGGCTTGGTTGTTTTGTTGTTGCTAATTTTTTTTAATTTACCATATTTCTGCACACGTCCTTCCCTGCATCTCATACAACTGCAGAAAACCTCTTAGGGCTGCCTCTCCAGGCCCTGAAGATCCTGTTCTCTCTGGAATCTCCTTCTCTGACCCTCAGGGGAAGCCCAGCAGCCATGTGCCCACCATGAAGCTCCCCCTTCACACAGCTCTGCCTTCTCCATGGGGCCTTGCCTTGTCTTGTTTGGGAGTAGGGGTTGTTTGTGGTTTATTTGCTACTTTTTGACCCAGGTGAACATCTGGCCGTGTGCAAGGCAGAATCTATGTCGTAGGAATTAGGAATTGGACGAGACACATCTCAGCCTCTGCTGGTGAGTGGAACTGAGGCCATGAAGTGTCAGTGCTCTCGGGTTATGAAGAAGACACAGATGCAAGGAAAGCCAGGTGGCAGGGTGAGATGAAGAGGCCACCACAGACAGCCATCAGGATCTTTACAGTCTGAGGCTGCACTGCTTCCTGACACTCAGGTCACACTCTGGGGCTGTGGTTTGGATGTGGATGATCCCCTCAAAACTCACATTGAAATGTAAAAGCCAGTGCAACGGTGTTGGGAGGTGGAGCCTTTAAGAAGTGATTAATGACTGGGGGCAGCACTCATGCCTGTAATCCCAGCACTTTGGGAGGCCGAGGCCAGAGGATCGCTTGAGCTCAGGAGTTCAAGACCAGCCTGGGCAACATAGTGAGATCCTGTCTCTATAAAAAACAGAATAATAAAAATTCTTTTTAAAAGAGGTGATTAGGTCGTTAAGATAGACTCGTGTCTTTCTGGAAAGACTGGGTAGATTCTTGCTAATAACCACGGCTGCTGGTTGGTTAAACTGGAATGGAGTAGTTCCAGTGAGAGTAAATGTTATAAAGCAAGGCTGCCTCCCATGCTGGGTCCGTTTCCGCACACACCCAGTTCTCTACCATGTTGTGGGGCAGCGGGAGGCCCTCACCGGAGCCACCAGAGCTGCCGGAGCCACCACAGCAGATCCCGGCACTGTGCTTCTTAGACTTCCCGCCTCCAGAATCATGAGCCAAATAAACTTTTTTTTTCTTTTTTTTTTTTTAAATGGAGTCTTGCTCCGTTGCCCAGGCTAGAGTGCAGTGGCGCGATCTCGGCTCACTGCAACCTCCGCCTCCCAGGTTCACCCCATTCTCCTGCCTCCGCCTCCTGAGTAGCTGGGACTACAGGCGCCCAACACCATGCCCAGCTAATTCTTTTTGTATTTTTTAGTAGAGACGGGGTTTCACTGTGTTAGCCAGGATGGTCTCGATCTCCTGACCTCGTGATCCGCCCGCCTCGGCTTCCCAAATTGCTGGGATTACAGGCGTGAGCCACCACACCCACGCCCCAATAAACTTTTAAAAACAATTACCCAGCCTCGGTGTTCTGTTACAGCAACACAAAATAGACTGTGTATCCTATGAGTGTGTGTCCTGCCTTCAGAAGTATTTGCCCTTTTTAGGTTGACTCCAGGGAACTTTTATTCGTTGAAATCAAGAAAATTACCAACAGCTTTTTAAAATTTTCTGATAAAAATCCAGCAGTAATATTTAAAAAATGCCCTCCTTCCTGCACGTGGCTTGACGATTCGAAGAACAACCCCTGCCAAGCATGAAGATGACCCAAAGTGCTCTCCTTCTCATCCAGGGCCATTAGTGCACAGGCAGAGATTTAATTGCATACTTCATTTGCCATCCAAATCTTTTTAAAATAACGGCAAGACATCCGTTCATTTATCCGTACACCCATCCATACATGCACACATAACACATGCACTATCTCCCACTCATTTATCCATATACCTGTACATACATACACATATACACATAATATATGCACACTCTCCCACTCATTTATCCATATACCTATACATACATACACATAAACACATAACACATGCATGCTCTCCCACTCATTTATCCATACACCCATCCATACATACACATATACACTAATACATGCACACTCTCCCACTCATTTATCCATATACCTCTACATACATACACATATACACATAATACATGCACGCTCTCCCACTCATTTATCCATACACCTCTACATATATACACATATACACATAATACATGCACACTCTCCCACTCATTTATCCATACACCCATCCATACATACACATATACACAGAATACATGCACACTCTCCCACTCATTTATTCATATACCCATCCATACATACACATATACACATAACACATGCACACTCTCCCACTCATTTATCCATATACCTATACATACATACACATAAACACATAACACATGCACGCTCTCCCACTCATTTATCCATACACCCATCCATACATACACATATGCACATAATATATGTACACTCTCCCACTCATTTATCCATTTACCCATACATACATACACATATACACATAATACATGCACACTCTCTCACTCATTTATCCATATACACATATACACATAAAACATGCACACTCTCCCACTCATTTATCCACACACCCGTCCATCCATACACACAATACATGCGCAATCTCCCATTCATTTACACACACACCCACCCACCCATACATGAACACATAATACATGCATTTATCCATACACCCATCCACACATCCACACATAATACATGCACACTCTCCCACTCATTTATTCAGACACCCATGCATAAACACATAATCCATGCACACTCTCCCATACATTTATCCACATACCCATACATACATGTACACGTAACACATGCACACTCTCCCATTCATTTATCTACAGACCCATCCACACATACACACATAACACGTGTTCACTCTCCCACTCATTTATCCACACACCCTCATCCATACATCCATAATACATGCACACTCTCCCCACAAATCATTGCTGTTTTGTAGTTTTTGTTGTAAGCCTTACCTGGTCTCGCCTCTACCAGCACAGGCTCCGACGTGTCTGAGGGCTTCCCCACGCCATTTGCATTGACTGCCCGGACCCTGAAGACATAGGTCTTACCTTGCTGCAGGTCAGAGACCTTGAAACAACAGAGGAAACACCAGATGTGTGGAGGTAAAATAAAGATGACTGTGGAGTTTTTCACATTTTATTGTGAATAGGGCCTTTTCAAAAATAGCTTATTTTTCCAGTTAGGAAAATGATACTTAATGAGTTAGAAAAGGAGGGAAGAGGAGATTCACAGTGGTGCAGAATGTGACTTTGGAGGAATAAACGCATTCGCTCCCAATCTGATGGAACCTCTTTCATTTTTTTATCTCTGCATATTTTAAAGCAGAAGTAAAATCATACTGACTAGTTTATAATCTGGTGTTTATATTTAACATAATTCTGTGGAACCAAATACTATTTTAAGTGTGATATTTAACTGTGTAAAGTCATCATTGGGGCATCAGAATTAAATCCATCTCTACTTGTACATACATGGGTTATTCTTATTAAAACCTGCTTGGATAAACATCTATATATATTTACTAAGCTTCTAGTTGATTTATGTAGCTGATTCTTAGAAGCTGACTCATTCATTCTAAAGACACTGGCTGTTTCCTGTCATCAAAGGGTTTCCGGAAGGTGTCACCCGTGGAAGGCCCTCTCAGCCTGTGCTCAGGTGCCGGACCCAGACGTGGCTGTGCTTTAGGGAAGGAAGCAGGCCCACCCCACCACAGGGCCCAGCACCCAGAGAAGAAAACCTCTGGGTTAAGGCAGTTGGCAACTCAGCTGGAGCATGTAGGCCTCCTGGGGCTCAGTCCTTACACCTGACCCAGTCACTGAGGAACCGCAAGTGCTAAAAACAGAAACATTTGGAGAAAGAGAGGCTGGAGGAAGTCACACATGATAGTTTTGCTCCATGTATGAAAACTGTGTGTATATCTGTGTGTGGTGCTTATCAAATGGACTTTAGCGATCACATGAATTAAGTAAATTAAATGCCCGGCGTGAAGTGGAAGGACATAATACAATAGGCACCATCCCTTTGGAAAGCACACAGACATAGCCCATGAACAGACAATTAACAGCTATTAGACTGCAATGTGGAAGAAAACAGGCGTGTCTGCGCAGTTCCCCAGGAGCAAACAGCATGTTGGTGTGAATGGAAGGAGGGCTCTGCGTCCTCAAGGCACTGTTCTGTCATCTGCTGGGCCCCACAACGCGCATGGCGGCTGCATCCTCAGCAGCCACGCCCCGGTCATCTGAACAGGTTCACCTCGGGGCTCGGTGCTGGCTTGCGCAGAGATCAACAGCACTTTCACACAGAGGGAAACGCCAAGACGAAAGACTTACCTTTATTTTTTGTGGTTAGTTTGTTTTATTTTTGTGTGTGTGTTTTGTTTTTGAGACAGAGTCTCGCTCTGTCAACCAGGCTGGAGTGCGGTGACTCAGTCTCAGCTCACCGCAACCTCCGCCTCCCGGGTTCAAGCGATTCTCCTGACTCAGCTTCCCGAGTAGCTGGGATTACAGGTGCCTGCCACGGTGCCATGCCCGGCTAATTTTTTTGTATTTTTAGTAGAGACGGGGCTTCTCCATGTTGGCCAGGCTGGTTTCGAACTCCTGACCTCAAGTGATTGGCCCGCCTTTACCTCCCAAAGTGCTGGGATTACAGGCATGAGCCACCACAGCCGGCCAAGACTTACCTTTAAATAACGGCTGGCTGTTGTCGTCTGATTGACAGTGATCCACTCTCCAGCATCCTCCTCCCTGAAGTCCACGAAATATCCAGAAACAGGGCTGCTGCCGGAGTACACAGGGGCCTTCCACAGCATGACCAAGGACGTGTCCCTGACCTCACAGAACGTCAAGTCGTAGGCAGGACCTGTGAAGTCAGATGCCACCTTGTTTCTGCGCGCATAGCCAGTCCAGCACACCCACCGCCCAACCCAGCCCCGGGGACCCACTGCTCCTCTGGGAAGCCCCCCACCAGGACCATCCGTATCTGTTCCCCATCTGATGTTTATCAGCCTCTCTTGCAGAGCAGGGTAAGGAGGGTGCTCAGCATGACGTTGGGGGTCAGGGAGGAGGGCCCAGCCTACGTGGATCTACGTAGAATCATTCAGAAGTCCACACTGCATTCTCGGGACCAGCAGATGCGATCACAGAGAGGAACGGTGTGCGGGAAAGGACAGGTTCTCAAGTTACCCTCCACGGGGCTGGACACCTGGCAGTCACAGTCACTCAGGGAGCCTGCCTACCTGGCCGGAAGCACATCACTGCAGCCCTGTCCTCTACGAACACCCGCGGCAACTCTGAGGGCATGTGGTGCGGAGGCCCAGGTCCAGGCAAGCACCAAGCGGTGCAGGGAAACAGAGAGGCAGCCCCGCCCCATCTTCAGCTAGTCTCACTGTGGCCTTGAGCCTTGAGAGGCCATCTCCTATCAACCCTCAAAAGAGGCTCGGGAAACTAGAATGACTTTTTTCTTCTGTTGGTTTTCTAAGGTCCAAAATTTAATTTCATTAAAAGAAGAAAGGTAGGAAGGCAGGAAAGAAGGCGGGAGGCAGGGAGGGAAGGAAGGAAGGAAGGAAGGAAGGAAGGAAGGAAGGAAGGAAGGAAGGAAGGAAGGAAAGAAGGAAGGAAGGAAAGAAAGAAGGAAGGAAGGAAGGAAGGAAAGAAGAAAGGAAGGAAAGAAGGAAGGAAGGAAGGAAAGAAGGAAGGAAGGAAAGAAGGAAGGAAGGAAAGAAAGGAAGGAAGGAAGGAAAGAAGGAAGGAAGGAATTTTCTAATTGGCTTATTCATCTGGCTTCTTAGCAGCTGATTTGCTAACTCAAAAGACGCTGACTAAAAGGAAAAAGGCAGTATACTCTGGCCATAACATTGGAAAACACTCTGAACTTTGAACTTTTTCAGCTTCAACTTTCAGGATTTACTTTCTCAAAGTATGAGCATATTATCCATTGCACTTAATTCCTGATAGGTTAGAGACAAAGAAATCAAGGTCTGGTACTTGAGAACTTTTGAAAACAGAGAGAAAATGTTAGCAGGGCATGGTGACATGAACCTGTGGCCCCAGCTACTCATAAGGCTGAGGCAGGAAGATGGCTTGAGCCCAGGAGTTCAAGACCAGCCTGGGCAACATAGAGAGACCTCATCTCAAAACAAAAAACCAGTAGAGTGCGAGCTAAATAAATGCAGGTCTGCAACAATGATGCCTTTTAGAAGCAGAAGCCCCGAGATCCCCAGATGGCCTGAGAGGACAGCAGGAGCTCACCCACGAATGAGAACCCTGTCGTGCCTCCCCCGAGATCCCCAGATGGCCTGAGAGGACTGCAGGAGCTAACCCACGAATGAGAACCCTGTCGCGCCTCCCAGCTGGGGCCGGGGCTCGCACCTTCTCCTCCACCTGTGACCCTCTCTGCCTGCTCCTTTGGGGTAGGTGACCTGGGCCAAATCCGTGTCATAGGTCAGGGGATGCATGGGAAGCTGTCCCTCTCCCCACAGTCTGGGTCCTCCTGTGCTCCCTCCCACCTCACCCTCAGGGCCTCCTACTCTGCCCTCATCACTGGCCTCTGGACCACGCACAGCCCAAACTAGATGCTGGGTCTGCCTGATTCACAGCCCTGCACGGCGCCTGGCGCACGGTGGCTCTGCGGCTGCGGGTGTCGGAGGAACAGACACGCTGTGAAGGCTGGCGAGTCCAGAGTCGCAGCCACAGAGGCCCCTTCCCAGCCAGCCTGTGCGCTGGAACGCGGGTGTCCTGGGGGCAGCGACTCACCGGGCTCCGGCATGGTCCAGGCCTCACACTTGAAGTGCTCACTGGGATCTGAGGGCTCCCCGATGCCGGCCAGGTTGACGGCGGCGATTTTGAACTCGTAGAGTGAGCCTTCCGTCAAGCCGTCCACCTATTCAGATTTTGTTTAAATTAATACATGAGATAAAGGATGCCTTACAGCCCACTGAGGGGGAGGAGTTGTTATAACTGGCTTGTGAAATAAAATATGAGAGGAAGGAACCTTGTCGGGAAATTGGACCAAATATTTCAGGAAGGACCTCGATGTGGCCGACGAGCTGCAGCCGCATGAAACCTTACGTGTCCTTCACTCAATCCCCAAAGTGATTTCCCAAAGTGATTGAGTCCTTCACTCAATCCCACTCCTGCGGGGGTAGGGGACAGGTGATACCCCAGCGGCAGGTAAGGAAACTGAGGCCCAGAGAGGCGACGGTTGCCCAGGGCCAACTCAAGGGCGGAGGCTTCGAGGAAACAGGCACTCAGGCCACGCACTGTCCCCTGAGCGGGCCCTGCCCTGCACCCAAGGGGGGTCACCCTGGAGACGGAGCCCACCACGTCCCCCATACTTGGACTCTGCATGACAAGAGCCCCCGGGCTGCCCATGTCCCTGGGGTGCTGCAGTCTGGGGCCACCCACCGGGCCCTCAGGGACGCTGCCTGGCTGGGGGACAAAGCACCAGGGAGGCCTTTGACCAACACTACGAGCCTCGACTCCCCCGGGCTTGTGGCACAAAAACGCTATCTGGGTAAACACTGTCTCAAAAAATAGCTTCCGAAGTAAGATATCTGAGGATAAACGGCTTCAGTTTATCCTCCTCACTGGACTAGCTGTGAAGCACTCAGAAAGTAAGCAGGTACTTTTCTCAGGAATCTCGGACCGAGTAAAGAACTGTTGTGCTGAGTGAGATGACCCAGGGACAAAAGGACAGACACTGTGTGATCTCGCTCAGATGTGGAATCTGAAACAGTAGCACTCACAAAGACAGGGAGCTGAGGGGCGGGTGCCGGGTCGGGGAGGCGCTGGACAGAGGGACAAAGTTCCAGCAGCAACAGGAGGGGCGAGTTCTCGTGCTTCCTGCACAGCGTGGTGATGATTTAGCCCATAATAATGTGTTGTAGACATATTTGAAAAACATTTTTTAAATAGATTTTAGGCTGGGCACAGTGACTCACGCCTGTAATCCCCGCACTTTGGGAGGCTGAGGCGGGCAGATCACCTGAGGTCAGGAGTTCCAGACCAACCTGGGCAACATGGTGAAACCCTGTCTCTACTGAAATAATACAAAAATTAGCCGGGCGTGGTGGTGGGCGCCTGTAATCCCAGCTACTCAGGAGGCTAAGGCAGGAGAATTGCTTGAACCCAGGAGGCGGAGCTTGCAGTGAGCCGAGATCGTGCCACTGCACTCCAGCCTGGGTCACAGAGTGAGACTCTGTCTCGAAAACTAAATAAATATATAAATAAATAGATTTTAAATGTTCTCACTGCAAAAAATTGTAAGTACTGGGAGGCAATGGAGATGTTAATTGGCTTGATTTAATCATTCCATAATGCAAACATATATTAAAATATCACATTGTACCCCATACGTACAATTATTATTTGTCAATTAAAAATAAAATAATTTTTAAGTTGAGAACATTTAGACATTGTAAGGGATCAGAACAGAGGTTGAACGTGGGCAAAATATCAATAATGTCACAGCAAACTAGAAAGTTGCCTATATATCATCATATGTGTATAAAATATTAACATATATTATAAAGAGATAGATTTATAAGGCAGAATTTTCTAGTAGACAAAGATTAGATCTTCTAAGGCCTTACACTCTCCAAAAAAGAAAGCCCTCCTGTTGGAGTGTAAGTGACTCCCCTGAGGTCTGTGGCTCCCCACAGTCCGGACGGGAGCTGTAGTGTGAGATGAGGGTCATTCATCTATGCTCAGATGAGGGGTCAAGGGCCGGACAGGGAAACAGAGCAATGGCTGCCAAGGGGGTGTCTGGATCTGACCCCAGATCTCTGAGCTCCAAGTCGATGTCCTTGCCACACTCTGCACCTGAGCACCAGGGGCACTGAGGCAAGGGACTCTCTGGGAGGCCTGAAATACAAGAATGTCTCAGGGAAATGGTGGGTGACAAGCAGAGAGCCAACATTACTCTCTTCCTAAACAGACATTCAGCGTGACCCTCCCCTCAGGCACACATGTGAGACTCCGTCCCTGCCCTCAAGGCCTCAGAGCCTAGAACAAGGGACATTACCACAGGTACTGGGACCAGATGCTGGTCACACCAGAGGTCATGGACTCACTGTCAGGCCCACTCCATCACTGAGCTCCCTTCTTCACTGCTTCTCAGAAAGAAAAAGAATATGATTCCTAGGATCTTTTTAGCTCCAAAACTTCATGATCTCATGATGCTATTTTTTAATCCATTTTTGTGTCTGTATCAAACTATCTAATGTCATCAAACGCAGAAACATTGCCAAAAATGTAAAGAACCACCCAGGCAAAAATAGACGAAGGAATAAAAACCAACTGACCGTTAGGATTGTCGGTTTGCTGGGTGAGGAATTGACCTCGTGCCAGTTTTTATGGTGAACTTCACGCTTGTCCAGGTAGTAGCCCAGGATGGGCGAGCCACCACTGAATTTCGGGACCTTCCAGCCGAGGGTCATGGAGTGGCCGTCACAGTTGAGGAGCGTAATCCCATAAGGATGGGACGGGACGGCTGCAAGGAAGCACAACCAGGGAGTTACCGAGGGCCTCAGCTGGGGGCTTTGTCCCCGGGGCAGCCAGCTCCAGTGTGGCAGAGGGAGGAGGAAGCAACGTGGAGACGGGCCTGAACACTGTGCCCTCTGATCCCTCTCAACCCACACTTAACCACCTTGGTCTTTACACCTTTTTAAAGGGGATGAGTACAAAAATAAATAAAAATTTATCTCATATATATGTATTGCTATTTCTAAGTGTATCTACTAAGGCTTCCATAGGATGAACGGTTTAAATCTGGTATGAACATTTGACACAGCAGAAGATGTTCTGTCTTCTCGGCCCCTTGAAAGAAGCTTGGCGAAGGAGCTTTCACTTTTACAACCATAAGGAATAACTATTCTGCATCTGTGGCCAGAGATGACAGATACGATTCCAGTTTGTTTTAATTTCCTGCACAGTTAGAGGAACTTCAGGTTCCTTCAAATGAGTGTGAATCCGTGTTTCCCTGTTTGAGCAGGGCATTTGAAACGGACCGCCTTCTCCTAACAGGTCGAGAACGGATGGGCCTGAGTCTGCTTGCCCCAGCTCTGAGTCACCTCAATGTGGCCATCCTCTGTTACCTGAGACACAGGTGACTGGAATTAAGTGATTCTTATCATAGAATAAAAACAGGCCAGGTGCGGTGGCTCATGCCTGTAGTCCCAGCACTTTGGGAGACCGAGGCAGGAGGATTGCTTAAGCTCCTGAGTTTGAGATCAGCCTGGGCAACATAGTAAAACCCCATCTCTACAAAAAAATCAAAAAATTAGCTGGGCGTGGTGGTGGTGCCTGTGGTCCTAGCTAATCAGGAGGCTGAGGCATGAGGATCACTTGAGCCCAAAAGCTCAAGGCTGCAGGGAGCTGTGATCACACGACTGCACCCCAGCCTGAGCAACAGAGCGAGACTCTACGTCGAAAAAAAAAAAAAAAGAAAGTGGTTTTCCTTTAGTAGGAATGACATTAAAAAGAAAATGGGAATGTTTGAAAGTCCCTCCTGGAAAAAATTGAGAGGAGATTAATCTTAAAACAAAAGAGTCAGCGCTATTGTACCTAGCTAGATGTTATCAGATTTGACATTCCTTGGAAATCCAACAGCAATATCATTAGAAGATAAATTTTAATTTCTGAAAATGTTGCAAATTTAGTCAAAGATGAAAAATCATCAACGAGCCACATAGTTCCCTCTGAAGTGGGAAGATAACCCTGTGAATCCAAGGGTGTCCCATGTGGCATTTGTGTTTCAAAATGTTTCTGAGTATGCGCACTGACTTCCTGAGGTGCATTTCATGAGAAAACAGAAAGCCACGAGGCTGCAGCACAGCTTGATACAGCAACTGTTCTAGGGACGGTCCCTGAGATTTAGGATCCCAATTGTCTCGTTTGATCAAAATAATAAAAACTGTTAAACACCACTATTTACCAACAAAGTCTCAAAGTTACATAAATATGACATTCTCTGAAGTGACTAAAGTTCCTAGAACTGAGAACAGCTAAAAAGGTCATGGATGTTGCTGTATTTTAGCACATATTTTGAAAAGAGAAATGTATCCCCTACAGCATATATATATTTTTGAGACGGAGTCTTGCTCTGTCCCCCCAGGCTGGAGTACAGTGGCACGATCTTGGCTCACTGCAAACTCCGCCTCCCAGATTAGGTGACTCTCCTGCCTCAGCCTATCGAGTAGCTGGGACTACAGGCGCCCGCCACCATGCCAGGCTGATTTTTGTATTTTCAGTAGAGACGGGGTTTCACCTTGTTGGCCAGGATGGTCTCAATCTCTTGACCTCATGATCCAGCCACCTTGGCCTCCAAAAGTGCTGCGATTACAGGCATGAGCCATTGCGCCAGCCTACAGCATATATTTTAACATGAGTACAGGTATTTGGCAACAACAATGTTTTCTATTTTTAATTTGCGTTTTATTAGTGTATTATCATTTCTCCCTCTCACACTGTCATTTCCAAGACAAGCAGCCAACCGAGAGGCTTCAAAGAAACTCAAGTTCTCTGTTCAGGAATTTAGTCCCCTTTTCCCCTTCAATGACATTCCAAATGGCATCACAAATGTTTATTCATGCAGAAATGACAGTGTATGGGAGCAATCGGCACACAACAGCCTGTGAGTGACTTACTGAGTGCGGCCTGCACTTTTATGACGTCTGATTCCTGGGAATTTTCACTCATCCCCACAGCATTGACCGCCTTGACTCGGAAGATGTACTGCTCTCCCGTGGTTAAGCCGTGCACCACGAACCTGAGAAACACAGGGATCAGGGTCAGAACTGCCAGGCTCCACTTTTTCTCTCCTGCAGCAGAAGCAAAAATCACCCTGAACGCGCCATAAAAAATTTTTATGGATAACATACATCCTTCATTTTCAATTCTAGTTAATTAGCTCAACATGTAGAGTCCGACAGTAAGGTCACAGCACCTAATTATAGCAGGAGCTGACTACACGTGGTGCCAAAGCCACTTGTTCTGTGAGTTCACCTTTGCTTTTGTACTTTCTGGGCCTCCTCTGGATCAGAGGTCTATTATCCAACAGTATGCCATTTCTTATCTAAAAGAACCCGTGTATGTAAAACTTAATTAGCAGTAATTACACTGCAGTGGTTACAGGCCAAGACTTGGAAGTCAGATGGACTAGGCTCGAATACTGGGGCTTTGAAACCTCACAGATTTTATGGTCTTAATCAACCTCCTTAACCCCTGTAAGACTTTGTTTTTCTATTTGTAAGATGGGGATGATAATTCCCACCCCACAGCACTATTGCAGGCACTACATGGAAAACTCTAGGTGGACAACTTAGCACAGATGCTTTGTGTATGATAGATATTCAGTCCGTGTAAGCAATTATTATTTATCATATATAGTCAATAAATATTCACTAACCATTTCCCTGTACTGGAATCATGTTTTAAGTTTCTTATTCTGATCGATCTTTCTGCATTTGCTGTGGGCTGTGAAGAACATCTAATTGTTATTCTTTTCAATGACATCTCTTCTTGTTAGCCACCACTTTTTACAGTGTATTTTTTTCAGATTTTAAAAGGAGAAATGGCTGAGCCATAATTGATCATCTATCCACAAGGGTGGTTCTGACAGCTGCTGACATTTTCCTAAGACGCGTATCGCAGAGAAGCCTAATAACCTCAGACATCCCTGCACACTCAGCAGGCAGCAGGAGCAAGTCTCTCCAAAGGCAGGGTCACTGGCTTTCCCCTGCAAAGCAACCAGCATCCCCCGAGGCTGCCCCCACCACAAGCGAAGAGTCGGCGCCCGGTGGGGTCTCCATCAGGTGCTGGGGAATAGAACTACCAGGCACATGAACAAAGCAACTTTCAAGTTCAAAAAAATCAATACGAAAAAAATAAAACGACTTTCACATCGTAGTCACTATTTTTAACTCTGCTATTCAAAGAAAAGGCCTAAGTGCTAATTATGTCAGGGGAAAAAAAAACAGGTTCTGGAACTCTCCTTTCATCCATAAATAAATCGTTTCGGTCGACATGAGCAAGTGCAGTAACTAGCTCATCCAAGTGGTCAAACTTTAAAATTATACAGCCCTTGTGTGTGGCTAAGACAGACTCATTTACGCAGAAGCCTTGCGGCCATGGTACTCCCTGTGCCAGGGCCACAGGGACCTCAACGGTCTTGCTACTCCTGCAAGGCTGACTCCAGGGCTGGGGAGGGAGGCCGCACCTGTTGTATCCGATGGGCTTGTGGTTGCAGGGCTCCCAGAGGTTGGTTCCGGCCACACAGCAGTCCACGTAGTAGCCCAGCAGGTCCTCCTCATGCTTAGGTCGGTCCCACTGCACCACCACCGACGTCTTGGTGTTTCGGGAAGCAAGAACCCGACCCGGAGCAGAAGGGACAACTTTTCGTAGGAGACAAAAGGAGTGGTGAAATGGCATCAGAGCTTTGGAAGCTACAGCAGAGATCTTCCGGCCCTTTTCACAGGGAACTGGACAGCCAGACTGGGGGCTTTGGAAGAAATTCAGACAAGGGGTCCAGGAGTAGGAGAGGAGCCCCGGGCCGACCACCCGAGGGCCATTGGGAGGTGCTGGTCTCTCTGATCTCTTCCCAAGCTCCACACAACTCCTAGAGACACAGGATGACATCCATCCTGAATCCTCCTGTCTCCCATCAGAGCTGTTTAAAAGACTCTCTGTTGGCAGCAGGGATGAGGCTACCCGGGTAACAACTATTTTTTGGACTGGAAATTAACCAATTTTAAGAAAGTAAGACTCAATTTTATCAGATCTGTTGAAATCTCCGAGGGGCACTCAAAATTCGATCATGACCTAACCATCAGATCCTGTCATGTGGTGCCAGGCCCCACTAGTGGACTGCGGACTGAGGTCAGGTAAGGCCTTGGGGCCACCTGTGTCCTCCGTGCCGGCCACCTGGGCCACACACCCCACAGTGTGTCTCAGTGATGGACACTGTCATTTTTCATATGTGTCATAAAGCACAAGAAGGCAGGGCCTTGCTCAAAGACAGCTGGTCTTGTCAAGCCTGTGGTTCTGGGTATGAGTTCTAAGAGCTTCAGTTAAAACCAGAGCCAGATAGAAACTTGAGGATGCCCTGGAGGCAGCCGGCCTCGTGACCTTGTTCATTTCCGTATCTGGCTTTCTCAGGAAACACGACAGAGAGAGGGTGGAGGGCACCCAGGCACTCAGAACCGCGTTCCTGACACCAATGTGCCTCCCGTGAAGGCTTCTGGGGATTTCCAGGGTGCCTCCGCTTACATGCTAGTTAACTGCCATCCACGAAGGAGTTATGACTCCAGGGATTGCAATTCAAAATTTCTGTAATTTGTATTTGAAACCTTCCAAGAGGGACCTTCAAGCCAGATGGGCAAGAAACTCTAGTGCCTGGCTGGGCACCCTGGCTCACACCTGGAATCCCAACATTTTGAGAGGCCAAGGTGGGAGGATCCCTTGAGTTCAGGAGTTCGAGACTGGCCTGGGCAATATGGTGAAACTCTATCTCTACAAAACAAAAATTTTTTTAAAAAAGCATTAATTAAAAAAAGACAACAACAAAAAAGTCTAGTGCACTTAAAATTTGAATTACTTTAAAAGTGACCATTGCAGAGAAAAGGGAACACTTAAACACTGTTGGTGGGAATGTAAATTAGTTCAACTATTGTGGAAAGTAGTGTCATGATTCCTCAAAGAGCCAAAAAAAAAAAAAAAAAAAAGAACTATCATTCAACCTAGCAATCCCAGTACTGCATATATACCCAGAGGAATATAAATCATTCTACCATAAAGACATATGGATGCGAATGTTCATTGCAGCACTATTCACACAATAGCCAAGACATGGAATCAACCCAAATGCCTGTCAATGACATTGGATAGAGAAAATGCAGTACATATATACCATGGAATACTATGCAGCCATAAAAAAGAACAAGACCACGTCCTTTGCAGGAATATGAGTGAAGCTGGAGGCCATTATCCTTAGCAAACTAATGCAGGAACAGAAAACCAAATACCAAATGTTCTCACTCATAAGTGGGAGCTAAATGATGAGAACACATGGACACATAGATGGAAATACACACGGGGGACTATCAGAGGGTCTAGGGTGGGAGGAGGGAGAGGAGCAGGCAAAGTCACTAATGGCTACTAGGCTTGGTACCTGGGTGACGAAATAATCTTTACAACAAACCCCCATGACACAAGTTTACCTATGTAAGAAGCCTACACATGGACCCCTGAACCTAAAATAAAAGTTTTTTTAAAAGTTTAAATAAAACAATAAAAGTGACCGTTTCCTAAACATATTTTTCAACTCACTTACTGGTTTCATGAAAAGAAGATGGAGCTTTGGAGAAATGTCAAGAACCAAACAAAACATGGCAGAGAGCTCTTAATCTCTCGTAAAGTGAAGTTTTAAGTCCACTTGAACTTCAACTCGTTTATAACATTAATGTCTTTATTCACACAATTTAAGGCTATTTGGTGTCACCCCACTCTTAGTCCATCCTGACTTGGGGCCACCCAGTGTGACAGCTCACCGGTCACATCCTGGGCCTGAATGGGGGACGTTATCTCCGAAGGTTCGCTCAGGCCATGCCGGTTTGCTGACAGCACTCGGAACACATAAGACTTCCCTTCCATGAGGTCAAACACGGCATATCTCGGGGATCTCACAGCCGTCTGGGCGTTGACTCTCTGCCAGCTGCCGCTCCCCACCACGGACTACAAAGAGAAACAGAAACGAGACTGGCAGTGAAAACCGCGAGGTCCCCAGAGGCGTGTGGAGGAGGAAGAAATGCTCTGTTCTCGCTATCCCAGGACCACCAGGCGCGCCCGCTGCGTCTCGCACACAAAGGATGGTCATGCATCTTTTTTGAGTTTTATGAAACATGATGCCAATTTGGAGAAGGAAGTCACAAATACCCAAAGTTGATCATGTTTACTAATAAATTTTTTTCCATTAAAGTAAATAATTAAACCATAGAAAACATAAGGGAATCAATACATAGGTAGTAGTTTTAGCAAAATAGAACTAACCTGCAAATAATGAAAGATAATTTAGAAGTATATTCATAAAATTCTGTCATAACTCAGTGGTTCGCATTTCAATTTAAAGTTATTACCATATTGCAGCTACTTGCAGTAGTGATTAAATGACAGCAATCTAAATGGCTGTCAATACGGTCAGACACATGATGATATGTTCATAGATTAAAAACCTCATGGCCATTTAAATTATTGTATAAAGATCTTTAGTCTAATAAGAGGAATTATGTTATTTTGTGAAATCTAATACAGAATGCAAATTGTATGATACAACAAGAGCATTAAAATCTATGGAGAAAAAGACTATAAATATATGTACCACACGTTAATGTGGCTATTTTATATGGTGGAATTATTGCTCATTTTAATTGCATTCCATGTAACTTCTCTGTCTTTCCCAAATTTTATATACTGCTTGTTTAATTTTTATCTTTTGTAATTACTTTAAAAACCTTGATTACATGTTTTATCTTATTTTTTCACATAGAGATAAAACGCCTTTTTCGAAAGTAGTTTTGTGGTAGTAAAAGTTGGATATACACTGACCCTGGTAAGCCTGCTGAAAATTCAGATAGCAACCCAGACTTCTAGAAATCAGACTCATATTTGAAGGAGTTTTCTCTCATTTTGGTGAAAGTGAAAAGCCGCTATTTTGTATCTGCCCCGGGCGTTTGTGGTGGGAGCCCCCAGGGCGTCATGGGCCTCAGGCCCTTGCGACCCCAAGCGAGCGCAGTCCAGGTGTCTATAGGAGAGCTTCCTCTCCTACATCAGAATATGGGTCCACAAAGGGAAGGCTTATCCACTGCTGGGGGAATGTCATTAGCTCAGTCACTGTGGAAAGCAGTTTAGAGACTTCTCAAAGAACTTAAAGCAGAACTACCATTCCATCCAGCAATCCCATTACTGGGTATATGCCCAAAGGAAAATAAACCATTCTACCAGAAGATGCATGCACTTGTATTACCATCACAGCACTGTTCTCAAAAGTAAAGACATGGACTCAACCCTGCAATGGTGGACCGCAGAGAGAAAATGTGGTGCCCCCACACCATGGAATACTACACAGCCATAAAGAGGAAAGAAATCATGTCCTGTGCAGCCACATGGGTGCAGCTGGAGGCTGTTATCCTAAGTGAATTGACACAGGAACAGAAAACCAAATACTGCATGTTCTCACTTATAAGTGGGAGCTAAACACTGGGTACACACGCACACGAAGATGGCAACGATAGACACTGAGGCCTACCAGACAGAGCAAGGGCTGAAAAACCACCTATGGGGTGCTGTGCTCACTACCTGGGTGACGAGATCAACTGCACCTCGAAATCAGTATCACACAACATACCCCTGTCAGAACTTGCACAGGTACCCCCTGAAGCTAAAATAAAAGTTGAAATTATATTTTCTTAAAAATGTGTGTTTGCTGCAAAGGCATAAGAATGACACAATAGACTCTGGGGACTTGGGGGAAAGAGTGGGAGGGAGGCGAGGGATAAAAGACAACAAATATGGTGCAGCGTATACTGCTTGGGTGATGGATGCACCAAAATCTCTCAAATCACCGCTGAAGAGCTTACTCATGTAACCAAATACCCCCTGTACCCAATAACTAATGGAAAAATAAAATAATAAAAATTACAAAAAAAAAAGTGTGCCTGCCATGTCATCAATACTGACAGCAGGTAGTTCTGCCCACACACTGGCTCCACGGTGGAGTCCTCTCTCTAAAAATGTGTTTGCAGGACAGGTGTTGTGGCTTGCCTGGCCTGTAAACACACTAAAGTGTCTGTAATCCCAGCACTTTGGGAGGCTGAGGCAGGAAGATTGCTTGTGCCAGGAATTTGAGACCAGCCTGGGCAACATGGCGAGACCTCGTCTCTATAAAAAAAATTTAAAAATCAGCTGGGCGTGGTGGCACACACCTGTGGTCCCAGCTACTCTGGGTGTTAGGGGCCTGGGGCAGAAGGACTGCTGGAGCCCAGGAGGTGGAGACTGCAGTGAGCCATGACTGTGCCACTGCACTCTAGCCTGAGTGACAAAATGAGACCTGGTCTCAAAAATAAAAACAAAAAAGTGTTTGCAAACTTGGTGTTTCTGGTATTGGTGGAAGATGAGGGGAATGAGGGGCCTGAGAAAATACCTTCCACCCTAGGAGACCCCACAGAGGGACTGACCACTTGTATTTTCGTAACACAAATAACTATATTTTGTCACCCAGAATTAATGATGTAATGCTTTACCCTGAAATATTTCTAGTTTCTACCCCCCAGATAGCATACATTGCAAATAACCAGAGAAGGCCAGAGGGTCCTCCTCCATGCTGGAGTCTGAAATATGGTTCGTTTCCATTCCTGTTTCCGCCATGCTGCATTGAGTGGTGCTAGATGCGATTATTGTATTAGGTGGCATAAGCTTCTATATGTTATATTCTCTGTTACTTGCATACTACATATTGTATTACATATTACATATAAATTTTGTATCGCAAAACCCTAGTTACAGCCTTTGTAGGACATTGGAGTCTTATCCAACTATGGCCTACAACCCAACAGGGGGTCGTCACCAAGTCAGATTAGTGGGTCACAACCTGTGCCTTTAATGTCACCGGACAGGGTAAAAAGAGAATGTGTGCTGGGTGAGATTATCATTTGTGAAATTCTGTAGGTTACATACATATACGTGATGGCAGAACTGCAATATACAACGTCTTTTGTATTTCTTTGTATGCATTCAGGAAAAAAAAAAAGCTTTCTATTGGATATCTGGCGAGTCTAACCCTTCTGCGTCTTGTGTGCATTTCCTCTACACGATTGCCACCCAGTGGCCATACGGCTTGTGCACAAGCATGGCCATCGAGGAATCTGGAATCCCCAGCATGTAGGCGCCTGGAATGTTGCAGCAGGAAGGAGACGCTAGAACCCTCAAGCTCAGTCCTCCACACGGCAGTGAAGAACGCGGGCGCCCAGAGAGGGAAGCGACTCCCTGCTCACACCGAGGGGCAACGCCCAGCTAGGACGCAACCCAGCCCCCTGGTGCCAATTTCCGCCCCTGCTGCCGTGTGACCACAGCCCTAACCTCATTTTCCCCAGCAACGGTGCAGGGTCTGGACCCACTGATGAACTAGTAGGTCATCTTTAAAACACAGCAAACACGACAGTGTGGGGCCACGCAGAGATCACGACAGTGGGGGGCCACACAGAGATCATGACAGTGTGTGGCCACGTGGAGATCACGACAGTAGGGGGCCACGCAGAGATCACAACAGTGGGAGGCCACGCAGAGATCACAACAGTGGGAGGCCACGCAGAGATCACAACAGTGGGAGGCCACGCAGAGATCACAACAGTGGGGGGCCACGCAGAGATCACGACTGTGGGGGGCCACGCGGAGATCACGACAGTGGGGTGCCAGAGATCATGACAGTGGGGCCACGCAAAGATCACAACAGTGGGGGGCCACAAAGAGATCATGACAGTGGGGCCACGCAGAGATCATGACAGTGGGGCCACGCAGAGATCACAACAGTGGGGGGCCACGCAGAGATCACGACAGTGGGGGGCCACAAAGAGATCACAACAGTGGGGGGCCACGCAGAGATCACGACAGTAGGGGGCCACAAAGAGATCACGACTGTGGGGGGCCACGCAGAGATCACGACAGTGGGGGGCCACAAAGAGATCACGACTGTGGGGGGCCACGCAGAGATCACAACAGTGGGGGGCCACAAAGAGATCACGACAGTGGGGCCACGCAGAGATCACGACAGTGGGGGGCCACAAAGAGATCACGACTGTGGGGGGCCACGCAGAGATCACAACAGTGGGGGGCCACAAAGAGATCACGACAGTGGGGCCACGCAGAGATCACGACTGTGGGGGGCCACGCAGAGATCACGACAGTAGGGGGCCACAAAGAGATCACGACTGTGGGGGGCCACGCAGAGATCACAACAGTGGGGGGCCACAAAGAGATCACGACAGTGGGGGGCCACGCAGAGATCACGACAGTGGGGCCACGCAGAGATCACGACAGTGGGGGGCCACAAAGAGATCACGACTGTGGGGGGCCACGCAGAGATCACGACAGTGGGGCCACGCAGAGATCACAACAGTGGGGCCACGCAGAGATCATGACAGTGGGGCCACGCAGAGATCACAACAGTGGGGGGCCACGCGGAGATCACAACAGTGAGGGGCCACGCGGAGATCACGACAGCGGTGGGCCACGCAGAGATCATGACAGTGGGGGGCCATGCAGAGATCTACTTTTCCAGGACACGGGCCCGGAGTTTACCTTCTCAATGAAGTACATGAGCGGGTCCTTGCCACGGGGAGTGGGTGGCTCCCAGCTGAGGACGACATAGTTTCTGCTGATCTCGGAAGCGTGCACACCGGTGGGAGGCCCTGGAACCTGGGCGTCACCTGGAGGAATAATAAATTCGGTGAGTGCTGAAGGACCCCCATCAGCCTCGCTGCAGCCCACCTCGGGGCACTGGAGGACTCTGCCACGTGGGTGTTGAACTTGTTTTGTTTCTATTTGGGGAAGTCAAACAAACCCCAAAGATGCTTCCTTGGAACCAGAGGATAAGGCACCAATAAAGATCAGCCAGTTAGTTTTGCTTCCAATACAGATATAAGCCTGTTCATAGGAAAGGAATCTCACCCGAAAGTCTTCCAGAGATTCTGTTGGAAGAGGGGGAAGGATTTACCAGAAGAAACCAGGCATTGCACCCGAAATGGGGCTCTGACTGTGTTGGGAATCTGTGCAGAGAACATATTCACAGTCTGTCTTCTGAAATACAGAAGCACCGCGGATGGAGGCGGCCCCACCTCTAAGGATCCCCTCTGGGTTCTTTCTTTATACCGTGTGCCCTCAGAGCACTTAAATGACACATCTACTTCTAAAACACCTTGCCTGCTCCTCCCTCAAAAGCTCAGTACCATATTCACAGGCACTGTATTCTATGTCTGCATGTTTGAATTCTGGAGTGATGTTGATAAGCCTTTTGCAAATAACTTATGCTAGAATATTTGCAGTCAGAGATGCTCCATATGCCTCTCTTCTGACATACATCTTTTTTAAATATACTATGAGGTGTGGGGATTTCTGTTTGAATTTATAGGAGATTTTCATAAGGAGTGGAGGTGGAGGTTTTTCCAGACCCACAGTTCTTGAAATTGTGATAAAAAATATTATGAACCTTCAATTAGATTAGCACATGATTAAAACGGTCTGAAACCTCCCCGGGACATCTCTGAGCCATTCTCAAAACCCAGTTGCTCCCTCAGGACTCTGTAGCAGGCCAGGAACTGAACATGGAAATAGTACAAAGCAAGACTGGGTTTCGTTTCCTGAGCCCTGTTGCACAGCGCATTACAGGTCAGAGGCAACGCAGGCTGAGCTGGGCTCATTCTGGTAAGGTGCTGAATTTCACACAAGGAGTCAGTGTGTCTCCGGAAAATGCAGAGGGTAACTGGGGCGGGGGACACCCCACAGGCCTGCTCTCCACCCGTGCACCGTGTCCACACCTAGATACCCACAGAAAAAAGCATTCCAGAGAGAAGATGCAGAAAACTCATCTTTCTGTAACACTTGCCGAAATTCCAAAACTGAATCCTGGTTTATTTCAGAGGTGCTGATGAGGGAAGCAAACCAAGGGGACAGAAGGAACAAGGCAATGAACAGAAGCAGCAAGCAGGTGTGAGCCGCTGACAGCAGCATCTCGTTCACACTTTCGGAACTGTCTTGCTGCCTTTGCCCCTGCATGTAGCAAAAGGCCCCGAGAAAGTGGAGTGAGAGACAGTTCCTTTGATGACAAGGTGAGAAGGAAGAACACAGCTTTGTCAGCAGGGGATCCCCGGCTGGGGCAAGACATCTGACTTATTCTTCACATCTTCATCAGCCTGGGCAATGTGATCACACAAGCCTTGCGGATTTGCAGATTCTCCAACCATGGAGAGAGGAGAAAAGGGTTCAAAAGGGTCCCTCGAGCCAGGGAGAGGGAAGCACAGGGGTGGGCATGAGTGATGACCCTGCCCTGAGAGGGGAGCCGAGGGAAAACAAATGAACGTTAAGCACACATGAGACACCACTAGGCACATGTAAGATACTGCTGAGCACACGAGAGACACCGCTAAGCACACGCAAGATGCCGCTAAGCACACGTGAGATGCTGCTAGTCACACATGAGATGCCATTAGACATATGCGAGATGGTGCTAAGCACATGCGAGATGCCGCTAAGCACACATGAGATACTGCTAAGCACACGTGAGATGCCACTAGGCACATGTGAGATGCCGCTAAGCACATGCTAGATGCCACTAAGCACACATAAGATACCGCTAAGCACACGTGAGACACTGCTAAACACACATGAGACACTGCTAAGCAAAGGCTAGACACTGGCCAACGGTTCTACCCCCAGGGCACTGATGCTGCCCTCACCCAATTGAGTATTGGGCCAAGTCAATACTAAATGAACCAGTGAGAGATATATAAACACACATGCTTTTTGTATTATTATATGTTATATGCATTATTAATATATAATATATATGATTGTTTTAAAATGCTTTCACATTCAATATCTTATTTTGGGTTCTGTTCATGTGTGGAGGAAGATACTATTGGTTTCCTCCACTTAAAAATCCAGAAATTGATCTCATAAAAACATATCACTTTCCTAAGATCGCACAGCTACTGGGTGGCTGAACTGGGGTCGAGGCTTAGGTCTTCTGGTTCCAACTTCTGTATTTTGTTCCCTCATCCACCTAAGGAAACTACAACCTCCCCAGGAGATTTTTCTCTAAGTAAATGAAACACCGAGTTTATTTTAGGTTTGACAGAATTGAAGGGTCCTGCAGAGCACAGAGCAAATGACTGAGCATGTGGGCTGCAAATGCCCCGGCCCAGGAAAGCACAGCCAATGCTTGCATACATAATTAGGAGAGAATAACACAGTAGAACAGTAGAGTAAAAACGCTCTTATTATATTCTGTGAGGGTCTATTCTGGCCTTTCCAAAAATACAGTGTCCATTTTTCAACGGAGCAATTCAACAAATACTGGGCAAGTTGGGTTGATGGTAAGGCAAGCGCATGGATAGCCATTCAAATGTGTGAAGGAAGACATTGCCCAAGATTAAAATGGTGAGAAAAACTCGGCAAAAAGTCAAAAATAGCAGAGGAGCCATTTTTAGCCAGCAACAGTAATGAGTTTCTGTTTCATTAAAACAAGGGGCATTTACCAAGTATTTTCTAGCTAAAGCAATGGTAAAAGAAAAAAAAATCAGCTGAAGAAAAAAGACACAGGTAGAAAAGGGAACTTCCTAATAGCAAATTCTTGAATCCCGAAATGGTTCGCTTCGAAACATTATAGATCTCTTTCTTTGGCTAAAGATTTTTTTAAGTTAGAGGACATATTCCTTGTTTAAAATGGCTGAGGTGAACAGATAAACTTTCCAAAACCCCATATCAACACAGCAGAATTTCAATTTCATACCCAGTTTGTTTCTGACCATGGAAATTGCCTGTTCAATGCACACAAAGCGTCACGTCAGAGAACTGAAGCCGGGGAGGCTGAGCCTCAGGCAGTGTCCACGTCTCGTCAAGCAATTTTCCATCTAAGTCTCACCCTCAGCCTCCCATAACCCACCGCATAAACACAGACTTGGAAAAGTCCCCTGAGGATGAATAAATCCTGCCACATTCACAACCGCCTCCCACGGAGGAGGACACAGGCCCAGTCAGCCAGAAACCTGCCTTGCTGAAAGCAAGGAAAACACGAGACCATGGAAAAGAGCATCTGTGTCTTTACTCCAACGGGAAATGAGAGCTACAGTGTCTGGATGCCAAACTTCCACTTTATCAACTGGCAAACCAAGCCTCAGGACACGCGCTCTTTCTTCATTTGACACCTCATGAACAGCGGGCTTCGTGTACCCCACCACAATCATGTCTCACTAGAAAGATAGACTCTCTCCAAAAAGGCAGGGCTTCTGCCCTGGGGAAGGTTCATTCCATTACATGATTTCCCTTCCCCAGTGCTCTTCTCAATGGCCTTTACAGAAGGCAAATTTCATCACAGATAAGTGACATTTATAAAGCAAGTTACACCTTCTCACCGTGGGTCATTTTTGCCAGGCTGGATTCCTACACATCCACTCAGCGTGATCCGGGCTGCCCACCTCCTCCCTGATCTGTCTGCTCGTGAGGAGTGAGAAGGGGGACTGCCTGTTCTTCCCACGTGGCAGAACCAAACCTCATTCTGCACGGGCTGGGCTGCCTGTTCCTCCCGCAGGCCAGAACCAAACCTCATTCTACATGGGCTGGGCTGCCTGTTCCTCCCGCAGGCCAGAATCAAACCTCATTCTGCACGGGCTGGGCTGCCTGTTCCTCCCGCAGGCCAGAACCAAACCTCATTCTACACGGGCTGGGCTGCCTGTTCCTCCCGCAGGCCAGAACCCACCTCATTCTACACGGGCTGGGCTGCCTGTTCCTCCCGCAGGCCAGAACCAAACCTCATTCTACACGGGCTGGGCTGCCTGTTCCTCCCGCAGGCCAGAACCAACCTCATTCTACACGGGCTGGGCTGCCTGTTCCTCCCGCAGATCAGAACCAAACCTCATTCTGCACGGGCTGGGCTGCCTGTTCCTCCCGCAGGCCAGAACCAAACCACATTCTGCAAGGGCTGGGCTGCCTGTTCCTCCCGCAGGCCAGAACCAAACCTCATTCTGCAAGGGCTGGGCTGCCTGTTCCTCCCGCAGGCCAGAACCAACCTCATTCTGCACGGGCTGGGCTGCCTGTTCCTCCCGCAGATCAGAACCAAACCTCATTCTACACGGGCTGGGCTGCCTGTTCCTCCCGGAGGCCAGAACCAACCTCATTCTACACGGGCTCGTCGGCCTCAAGCAGGCCTTCTTTTCTAACAGTATTTGGAGCCATTTTTCAGTCATTCAAATATCCATGTTTTAATCATCCGAAAAATGGGGAGGGTTTATCATGCATGAGACAGAATACCAGGCTGACTCAAAAAGCCAGATGCCCAGGAGACTGCAAGAAGTTGTCCTCCTCAAATCCCTCACTTTCATTCCTTATGTATTGAGTGTCCTTCCTGAGTTCTAGGTCCTTCTGCAGCCAGAGGATTTGACTAAGGCTTAAAGGTTCCCTTGGCTTGACCAGAACTCTCAACGGTCTTCTTTTGGGAGTTTATGTCCCTCATGGGAAACATAGGGACATACATTTGTTTTGAGATCCTAGAGAAAAATCTTCATGTGGCAGAACATGCAATGTGTGGATACTAGTTGGGGATCCATCTGCTTCAGATGTAGAAAACCAATCCAGAAAACGCTTTTGAGTCTGCAGCTCTAGGAGAGAGAACACGGCTGTGATTTTAGCGAGCAGCTCAAAATCACCTCTCTCTAGCCAGTGGCTCCACACTGATTTGAAATCTTTCTTTTTATGTTTTCACCCATGGCACTCTATGAACTCTAAGTCCAGTTAAAACCTTTTGATTTCTAGTTAATAATGTTGGATTCTCCTTAACACGTCATTCTTTCTAAAGGTCTCTAAAAGGAAAATCAGGAAGAAGAAATATCCACAAAATCAAATATACATAAGGACCAAGAACATCATTTGGCAGGAAAGACTCAATCCATTTCAGTTAAAATGTCAGGAATAAAATTTTTGCTTAGAAAATGTAAAATGAAATCGATTTCACAATGCAATCTGTGAGAAAGGATCTTACATCACCCAGGAACCAAGTCTGAGCTTTAGTTTGGTTTCTTCTCTACAAGTCCCTGAAAGAACGCCTTTGTAAACCCCAAATGAAAGGTGAGTCTAAGAGTCACCAATCCTTCACCCTTTCTCCCACCCTCTCACTCTGTCTTGCTTGATTTTTTCTTTTTTTTAACTTCTATGGACACTGGGCTTGCAGGCCTGACCTGCGGTTTTCATTTTTCCATGCAGAGGCCGTGCCCAGTAGGGGGCGTTCTCTGTCCATCTCTCCCATCTCTAATTACAACTCCAAATCCCCAGGGGCTGAGCAGCTGGGGTGATGAGGTGCTACTTACCTTCAAGGTCATCCTGATAAATGGCAATCTCCTTCTCTCCCTCCAAATGAACGGCTGCGGAGAGAAAGGTTGACACTCGATTTGACATGCGAAGTTTTCCCCAAAAGCCCGTTTTCCCTCATTCTGTGCCAGCTCTGCATCTCCTCTGCATTAGGACTACAACCTGTGAGTCCTCTGGGGGCATCAGAGCTGATTCTGGAAGTGTCCTGGTAACAGTTAGCACTTCTCAGCTCTTGGTGGTGGATGCAAAGGACCATGTGCGTAAGGAAAATATAGTGGCTCGCTTACAACCATAACGAAGGGCCCAGTCCCATTAAGGAATCTGTGTCATGCAAAATTAAAACTCAGAATAGGATGGCCTTCTAAGTGTCATTATGTGTTGAAATTATATCACCAATGGAATAAAAAAAAGGTCTAATTCTGAGCCAATTTAACTGGATGCCAGCAAAGAGCTTTCTGGAGGAGAGGCACATTCATTTTAGAGTGTACGTCAGCCCGTTTTCATTCCTGTAGTGATGTTGGTGGAGATGTCAGAGAACGTTGTAACAGCCTGTGCTATGCTCTGCACACAGGGCATTCTCAGGGCTCACATCGAGTTGGGAGGGAAAGAGACAACAAATCACACACAAAACAGCCAAAGCTTCCTGGGCACAGTGGATACTTAGGCGTGAGCAGCTTACCTTGTAACCTTCTGAGGTCCAAGGGGTCAAGTGCAGCCACCGCATCAGAGACCCTGGAGGGTCGGCTGATGCCCGCACTGTTCACTGCCCTCACTCGGAATATGTAAGACCTTCCTTCAAAAAGCCCTGTGACCGGGTATTTGCAGATTTTCACCGGTGCATCATTGCACTGCACCCAATTATTCGTTCCTACTTCACATCTTCAAGTTAAAAAAAGAAAAACAACAGAGAATAGCAAATGTGGCAACCTACTAAATATACATAGGTATATGCATATATGCACACACTGATTATAACAGGACAATATCTCACGCCAGTAAAATCTTTGCTGCTAAGATATTGACTTGTATAGATAAACATTAGAAGACAGAGCTATTTAGAAAATGCAATATATATATTATATGTAATATCTATTATATATGTAATATATGCCCATGAATCTTAATAATTTATAGCTGAAGATCAATTTCTGTCATCAAACACATTTAGGCAAAAATCTCCTCAAAAAATTATTTTAGACGCATCCTGAACAGTTCTTGTTCCGACTTACGTGACATAGTCACGGCACCCCTAAGCTGCGGCTTGGCCCGTCTGAGGCCCAGGCTGGGGAAACAGGCTCAGCCCCCTCTGCCTCCAGCTCCCGTCCCACTCTGTGAGACCAAGGGCCCAGGTCCCTGGGAAAGCTGGCTTACAGTCTCCTAGAATAATGTTAGGACATTTCTTTCTAGAATGCCTCTCATGTGGAATTTAGAAGTCTTTTGAAAATATTAATTCCTGACCAGAAACCTGGAAATATAGGAAAGATTAACCTCTGTTTTTCACAGGTTGAAAAATGTAAGAAAAAAACCTTCACATGAAATTCCCAGGAGAAAAGAGCTAGTTCAGAAAATCAGTGTTGGGAGGGAGCACTTCAACCCCAGAGTGGTGCCTTCATCTGGGAAAGAACCAGCTCTCCTCCTAAGTATCCAGCACTTTTAATGAAAGCTGTCTGATCCACATGTCATGGGCTGTTTTAGCCGAAGAGAACAACAGGTCAAAACCAAAAGTCTGATGGGAAAACCTGCAACTTCAGGCAACAGCTGGCAAGTCGTAAGCCCAAAGGAAGGGCAGAGGAGGAGCTGCACCCCCCACTTCCAAATGCACCCTCATTCCCAAAGTGTTCCGTTGCTTTGAATTTCATGTTTGCGCTTTTTGTAATGAGGGGAGGAGCGTGGATTGTTAGCTGAGACAGTGCAGGAAATGGTTTTTGTCAACATGGCGGGAAAACTTATCAGCTGTCCCAGGAGAAAAGAAGATCGTTTTGAGGGTTTGTTTTTCTTGCTGTAGTTGCTTAATTCAAGGTAAGCCCGGAACAGCACTCCCTGCAGAACTGTCTCTAGCATATCAAAATATTAGTTTGATGGCACAGGTCTCAGCCAAACAAGTAGTTTTGTTGGAAGAGAAAAGAGAATTTAATCAGCATAAACAAACAAACAAACAAAAGCCAATTCCCTCATTTTTTCCTAAGATAATCACCTTATTTTTCTGTTTAATATACATATAAAATTTTGCATTTCTACCAGGAACCATCCTTTGTGGTTTTTTTGTTTTGTTTTTTTGTTTTTTGTTTTGTTTTGTTTTTTTTGATGGTGGAGTCTCACTGTGTTGCCAGGCTGGAGTCCAGTGGCGCAATCTTGGCTCACTGCAACCACCGCCTCCCTGGTTCAAGAGATGCTCCTGCCTCAGCCTCCCAAGAAGCTGGGATTATAAGCACATGCCAGCACACCCAGCTAATTTTTGTATTTTTAGTAGAGACAGGGTTTCACCATGCTGGCCAGCATGCTCTTGATCTCCTGAACTTGTAATCCGCCCGCGTTGGCCTCCCAAAGTGCTGGGATTACAGGCGTGAGCCACCGTGCCCAGCCAGAACCATCCTCTTTTACTCTCTGTCTAATTTCTAAATTCATTTTCTTCAACTATAATTTACTCCAAGAACTGGAATTTGTATTTAGGGCATAAATTACATATCCAGTAAACCCACTGGCTCTGTGCAGTACACTTCCCAGGCTCCAAGCGCTGTCCCCAGTACGGGAAGTCAAAGAATTCAAACTCCACTGGCTCCAACGATGACCTAAATGTAAGTTATCAACTCAAACACAAACTCCAGTATTTCGAAGCTCAAGATTTTTCACTTGGAAACAAGAAGAACACCTTATTCCTCAGTAGAGAAAAGGAAAGAACTTTGTTAGAAATGAGCTGGCATTCTTCGCAGCACTTTGTCTCTCAGGAGGGAAGGACAGTTCCAAGCTTTAATTCTGCTAAAGCCAGGGCCCTGTCCGGTACGGGGCACAGCCCGGACCTCAGCAGAACCACAGCGCGGGGCTCAGAGTGAGCCTGAAGACGTTGGTGGGATTGGTTACTGGGTGTGCAACAGGCAAACGAGCCTCCACTTTCAACAAAAAGAAACCCAGTGTGGTTATGCTGGGCTCAGCCTACTTGGCCGTATTTACCAATTACCTAAATAGGAACTTATACAACCAATTAGCCATGTACCTAGAGCCAATCAAAAAATGGGAACGTCAACCTGCATTGAGAAAAATTTCTCAATATATTGTCCATGGTAAGATTCCATGCGGAACGTTCCCATCCCCGGGAGAATGCAAGACGCTCACCGGTCCACAAAATAGCCCATGACGGGGCTCTCAGTGGTGGTGTTGGGCGGCTTCCAGGTCACGATGACGTAGTCCCGGTTGGCGTCGTGGCACTGCAAGTCCATGGGTGCACCGGGGGCCCCTGTGACCAGCGGGTCAGCATCTTGGGGCAGGGAGAGAAAAGGCACACGCCTGTCATTTAAAGGCTGGGGTCACTGCAAAGCCTGTTTACAGCTCCTCCAAGCTCCAATTCTATCCCCTTGATTTGACCACTGTTTAATTCTCATGTTCAAAGTACTAGAATATTTCTTACTCTGGCGGGTTGGTGACAAGAAATATAAAATTATGTATGAATTAAAAAGCTTCAAAACATAGAATCCTTGATAAAACACTGAGTCTACAATTTTTCGTCATTAGATCCTGAATTACAGGTCATCTTCTCTTGGTCCTGCTATGGTGCATAACGGCACGTTGGCAAAAATGTGCGGATGAAACAGTGACAATAATCTGGCATTTCTAACACCTGAGAAATATCACCTGAGATACTCTTCTATTTCAAAATCCTTAGGAAATTGGGCGATTTACTCTTTTCGCCAACTTTGAGCAAATATTTGGGACAATATTGCATCATTCGTTTCTCAGTCTATTGATGACCCTAATGCAATTAGGTTTAATTACAGCTGCATGAAAACCAACAGAGCAACATAGAAAGTTAATACACTGAATGTGAACCTTCTTATCTAAACTATGTATTTATTCAGCAGCCCTGGCTGCCCTGTGACGCATGCTTAGCAGGGTGAGCACTATCCAGTTTCCTGCTCACATATCTTCAGGGTATTAAAAGCTGAGGATTTCCTGACATTGAGCCAAATGGTTTCCTCTCACATTCAAAAGCCTCAGAAAGCGATGAAAATGGTTAAACTCCCCACCTTTGCCTTATTTTCCTCCTGTTGCTGGTGCTGAGTGAGCAAGGCGATTTGAGCCGTGTTGCATTTATTGCCTTTTTATGGGGCGGAGCATCATACCAGCAGGCACATGCAGAAGACGGAAGGGACATTTAACGCCCGCCTAACAACAGCAGTGAAACTTGGCGGGAGTGTCTAACCTCACAGACTCGCAAGCTCAGGCTATCGTGTGGGAAGTGAGGAGGGTGAGATACGTTTGGTTGACATTTCTTCTCTTTCTTTTCAGATGAAATATTCTTTAATGATACAGTCCTTCCTTTAAGCTCTGATCTAATGGATGCAATGGAAAAAGTAATCATGAAGATGTATGGATGCGTCCTGCACCCCACTGGAGCTGGAGGCAGGTGGGAAGGTGAGAACTTGGGCAGCAGGTAAGGATGCCCGGCTGATCGGGATGGAGCCGGGAGCCCGGGGACCCGGAGAGCAGCAGCAGCTACATGGCGCAGGAGCGCTCTGACGCCTTCTTTGTAGGTCAGCTGTGCCTCAGCAAGGAGGCTGCCCCTAAACCCAGAGGCTGCTGAGGTGCAGCCCAGGGCAGAAGCAGGAGGGGAGTGAAACAGACACTGATAAAAGCGTAGGTGGGGCCGGGCGCGGTGGCTCACACCTGTAATCCCAACACTTGGGAGGCCGAGTTGGGGGGCCAATCACTTATGATCAAGAGTTCGAGACCAGCCTGGCCAACATGGTGAAATCCCATCTCTACTAAAAATATAAAAATTAGCCGGGCGTGGTGGTACATGCCTGTAGTCCCAGCTACCGGGGAGGCTGAGGCAGGAGAATCGCTTGAACCCAGGAGGCGGAGGTTGCAGTGAGCCGAGGTCGCGCCACTGCACTCCAGCCTGGGCGACAGAGTGTTAATCCATCTCAAAAACAAAACTAAAAAAAAAGGAGGAGTGGGAGTAGGTGGGCCCCTTCTGCTCAGTCACATGATGCCAAAAACACTACAAAGTTATAACAGGAACTCAGGTTCCAGGCTCCAGCAAAATTTAAATCTGAGCTTCTCTACCCTAGAGACATTTCTCCTGCCTCTGAGCCTCCATGGATTCATCTGGAAAACTGAGAACAGTATTTCCTTTTGCTATCACTGTAAGAATTCCAGCTTATATATACATGGATGTTTATGTAAGTATAGGCACATACATGCACACCTATAGGCTGTATACAATAGGCATTTTATAAATATATATATCTGTATATCACAAATATTGTCTTTCTTTTCATAAATGGAATGAGTGAAGCTTCCCTAGTGAGTCTGCTGTGAAGACGAAATCCGTGTAGGACCCCAGCACACTGCCTGACATAAAGCGTCTGGTGATGACAGCTGTCATGGCCACAAGTGTCTTAAGCACGAGTTTCACTGAAGTGGGTGGTGGAGGTCACAGCACTGGCTGTCATCATCATCACATCTGCCTCTCTTAAGCCAAAGTCCAGAGGGAATGAGTCGCTGGCAGGAGAGTAAGGAAGCTCTTCCCTGGGACTCCAACACTGTGCCCCTCTTCATCCTCGGGCTACGTTCCCTGAGAATGAGTAAATCTGGGGCACTCACTCTTGGGAATCGTTTTTCAAATGCTAATGACTATATGAACGATTCAAGAGACAAAAAAATGATGATTCTGGTCTATTCCGGATTGTGTCCCGATTCTTCCGTCTGCTCATCGGCAGGAAGCACCTGGCGTGCCCATGCACTGAGGGAAAATCGGGGCCGCATGGGGTCTCCAAGGAGCAAAGTGGTCTCACACCCTCTGGACTCCTTTTCCCAGCGCCTCCCTCCTCCCAGGGCTGCCTCCCCTCCCCGGGCACACACAAGGTCTGCACCCTGAGAACCCTGCTGCCCGCACCTCTGACAAACAGGAAGGCGCTGTGGTCGCTGACGCCGCCCCGAGACACGATGCGCAGGGTGTACAGGCCCTCGTCGTCCTTGTGCAGGTGGCTGAAGGACAGGGAGGCCTGGCCTTCTCCAAAGAACATCTTCGTCCACTTGGACTCTTTCAACAGCACGTCTGAAAGAGCGTTAACACGGAAGGTTTGCATCCAAAATCACCCCAGCAGGCAAAGAAAGCCTCGGGGACACCAGCGTCGTCTCAGAGCGGGACAGGACAGTCGAGCTGGACACCACGGAAGGCAGAGCCTCAGCCTGGTAAAATCCCAACAGCTGCACTTCGTGGAAGCACACGCGTGAACTGAGCACCCACAGCCCAGAACACAGGCTGCCACTTGAGTGGGTCAAAGTGGGACGTGCTGCGAGCGGCCGCCAGCTTTGTCCTCAGGTAAACTGGGTTCACCTGGGGGCCCGCTGCTTCTCTGCTGGACGGCCACTGCCCCAACCGGCTTCCCCCCGCCCGTGGGGGATTACAGGGGTGTGCAGCTGAAGGGGCTACTGTCACATCTCCAAAGAACCCAGCATAGACCCTCCATATCATCAAACTCTAAAAACAAAATGACTGGATGGAAGGAAGAAAAGAATCTCAATACGACTAAGGTAGCATTTCTGTCTAGAAATAGTACACAAGCTGCTAACCAGCCCCTTCCATGCAGTAATGTGCATTAAACTGAATCTAAATGGCACGAGATCATTCTTTCTGTCACTGTACGAGCGCTCAGTCTCTAAGTGGCTGCTCTAGGTTCGGGGTCTCCCTCTCCAGGATTCTCCTGGATGAAGTTCAAGGCGAACGGTGGGCCACCAAGTCCTCTACAGTCCCTCAGTTTGTTTCGCTGTCTGGAGCTGACCCAGTGGTAGAGACAAAAGCCACATTGACACCCACATTTAAAGGACATTTCCGTCCAAAAGCCTCCTGGTGTGTGCCCGGGTCTGGGCCGTGTCCTACTCACCATCGCGGTACCACTCGGCGCGCGGCTGCACCCGCTTCAGGTCCGGCGTCACCAGCATGGTGCACTTGAGAGTGACCGTCTCGCCTTCCCTCCTGAAGGTGACCCCAAACTTCTCCAAAAACTGGACGTCGAAGTGCGTGTACGGAATCATCGATGACAGGGGCACTGCACAGAAACGATGGAGGCTTTCAGGGCCGAAGGGCAGAGAGCATGAAACGATGGAGGCTTTCATGGCCGAAGGGCAGAGAGCATCTTTCTTTTTTGGGGGCGGGGGGCGGGGGGACGGAGTCTCGCTCTGTTGTCCAGGTTGGAGTGCAGTGGTGCGACCTCGGCTCACTGCAGGCTTCGCCTCCCGGGTTCACGCCATTAGGGCAGAGAGCATCTTTGACAGCAGACACACTCAGACCGTCACCGCAAAAGCACGTCTTTGTCACCGCCCCACAGCATGGAACACCCGTAGCCAGGTCCGTGCTCCACACGGAATGTCTGTGTCCCCCCAGAATTCCAGTGTTGAATCCCTGACCCTCAATGGGACGGTGTAAGGAGGTGGGGCCTTTGGGAGGTGATGAGGGTGGGATGAGATCGTGAGAGTGGGACCCCAGGGGAGAATGAGCGCCCTTGGAAGAGGAGGAAGAGGCCAGACCTTCCTTCCTTCCACGTGAGGACACCGTGAGCAGGTGCCGTCAGCAACCCGGGAGGAGGCTCCTCACCAGAAGCCATGCCTGCTGAGTGTCAGGCTTCTGCCTCCAGAACAGAGAGGATAAGTGTTTGCTGTTCGTAAACTGCCCCGGCCATGGCGTGTTGTTCCAGCAGCCGGAGCGGAGACAAGCCACTGCGGAAGAATTAAATGTCACAAAGTCGACTTTGCGGTGTCGTCAGAGGCAGGGCTGAGAACCTGATCGTGTGTGAAGACCAAAGGTTTAAGTCCAACCTCAGCCCCAGACTGTGGCTTCTGGCAAGTCACATGGACTTGGAAGCCACGGCTGCCTCCTCCTCAAAACAAACGGTGGTATTTGCATCCGTAGAGTTTAGAGTTCACCCAAATGAAGTAACTAGATCCAGAAGCGTCAGCCTGGTTAAATTTCAAAAATATGTGTGGTAGGGGGAGAAGTACATACATGTCAGGAAAAAAATCTATACTGAATTTTTAAAACCAAAAAAAAACTGTATGGTTTACAGACACATGCATGTAGGGAAGTTTAAACAACAGCTGCAGGCCGGGTACAGTGGCTCATGCCTGTAATCCCAGCACTTTGGGAGGCCAAGGTGGGAGAATCACTTGAGCCCAGGAGTTCGAGAACAACCTGGGCAACATGGTGAAACCGCATCTCTACAAAATGCAAAAAAAAATAAAAATAAAAAAATAAAGAAAAAACGAGCCGGGTTTGGTGACACACGCCTGTAGTCCCAGCTATTTGGGAGGTTGAAGCAAAAGGATTCCTTGAGCCAGGGAGATCAAGGCTGCAGTGAGCCAAGATCGCACCACTGCACTCCAGCCTGGGCGACCGAGTGAGACCCTGTCTCAAAAATAAATAAATAAATAAAAATAAAAAATTTAAAAAGCCACTGCCAATGCCAGGACGGTGTGGGAGACGGGCAGGAGCAGCACTGGCTGCTTCCATCATCTCTGTCATTGTTTCAGTTCTTGGAAAATAATTGAAGCTACCCTGAGCTGTACGCTGTACAATGGTTAACATTGTGTTATGTACAATGGTTAATGTCGTGTTATATAAATTTGACTTCGACGAAAAACAACTGAAGCAAAAATAGCAAGATATTTCCCTCTGTCAAACACGGGTGGTGAACACATGAGCATTCTTCCATGGTGATCTATGCTGTAACTGCGCCACAGTTCTTAATGAGGAAGATAAAATGTTAATAGATAGGAGAAACCCCGGGATGGGACCAGGTGACTGCCAGGACCTGCCCAGCTCATCAGTGCCTGGGGCAACTCTCCACACAGACTCTGTGCTGTCCTGAGGGCCAGAGCTACACACAGACACCCAGATCTCCCGGGCTCCCCAGGCTCACTTTGGACTGATCCCTGCCTGCCCTTTGGTGGTCTTGGGGGCTCACCGAGTGTTGGATGTAGCCCAGCAAAAAAAGTCACACAGAAATCGCGAGCAGAGGCCACGCCCACAGCGGCCAGCAGCTGCCAGGAGGCTCCACCCTCCATCGTTGCTTCGGTCAACTCTCCACTCCCAGCACGTGGCCCAGAGCAACTAAGCCTCGCATTACAGTAAAATCAGTGCTTCCATCGGAATGTACGGTTCCTTCCTGGGAAGTTCAGGCCAATTCTAAAACTCACTCCCAAGCCATAAACAAGCTGCCTCGAAAGGGCATCCATCATGTCCCCGTCCTCCAGATGCCCTCATGGGGACCGCCTCACCTCACCCAGCATGGGTCACCCAGCACCATGGGACTGCTAGGGTGAAGCCAGCTCAGGGCCAGAGAGGGCTTCGCCTCATTACAGGGCCAGGGCAGGTCCTAGGCCTGGGGCGGGTCTCTGGACCAAAGCCTGCTGCACTGCCCTTGTTTTGACCTGAAGTCATTTGTTACAAGGACCAAGAGACTTTTGGAGAAAAAAAAAACATCTCCTTAAACACGAAACAGCAACATGATGCATTCAGGTCAAGAATTTGGATGTGTCTCTTTTTTTCCAGTTCAAAAACGTAAAGTCTCTCCAAGTGATGTTTTCACCAGTCTAAAAATACCACCTAGCCATAGAATTACATGGGAACAAATTGTCAGCATGCTAACACTGGCCAGGAGAAACTTGGAGGAGCTCTCTGAAATGATTTTTGTAAAAAAGATTTGACCCTTAGGTGTGAACCCGGGAGGCGGAGCTTATGGTGAGCCGAGATGGCACCACTGCACTCCAGCCTGGGTGACAGAGTGAGACTCCGTCTCAAAAAAAAAAAAAGATTTGGCCCTTAGGAAACCATGTTTTCAAATTGTCTGCTATGTCACTAAACATTTCACCACACAGAAAAGAAACAAAAACCCACTTACATCCAATCGGGAGTCCCACCGAACGGAATGGTTCCTCGTCTCCCCGGAACCCTGCAAGACAGCAAAGTGAGTGCAGCAGAAAAGAGAAAAGGAGGCGGGAGGTGCCCCGTGAAAGCCCACCCGGCACTCACTTCTCACCACCACCGCCGCGTTGGTGGACACTTGTCCGTGGGCATTGGTGGCCACTGCTGAGTATGTCGCAGTGTCGTCAAAGTCTGCCCTTGGAGAGAAAAAAACAAGAGAAAGTCTGCGGGACTGTTGTGTAAAAGTCAGTGACCCGAATTGCACAAAAGCATTCCTCGAAAGCAAATCACATGGCGTGGTTTATTTGTTCATGAGTGATTTGTGCAAGAACAATGCCAGCTCTGTCCTTGGAAAGGTGAGGCAGCACTCGGTATTAATTATAGACACAGATGAAGGCCTGATCCCAGAAGATGGTGCAGTTTCGGCCTTAAGAATAAAAAGGTACTGGCACTCCTGAAAATCCTTTGTTCATTCTCAAGGAGAAGTCTCTATTCCATTCTGGTCCTATTTTTTCTACCTCTATGGAATGCGCGGTTTCATCTTGTCAATGGACAGCCTCCCGTGACCTCAAGCTCCAGCAGAACCAGTCGTGATGGGATGATACAGAGCCTGCCTGGGAGAGCCGTGGACCTGCTCCGTGTAGGAGCCAGGATGCTGCCAGAGGAGAAGGCAGAGTGCTGCTTCAGGGAGGCCCTGAACCATGGCGGGGGGGTCCATTCCATGCAGGAGCCGTTCCCATACAGGGAGTCGTTCCCATGGGGCAGTCCATCCCATGCGAGTTCTAAGGTGGTCCGGGAGCTTGAGCTTTGCTCCACTCTCCAGGTGATCCTGGTGCACACGTGCATTGAAGAGCTGCGCCCAGGATGCTCTCTGCCTAGTGCACATGGGCATTGAAGAGCTGTCCCCCGGGATGCTCTCCGCCTGGTGCACACAGGCATTGAAGAGCTGTACCCAGGATGCTCTCTGCCTGGTGCACACGGGCATTGAAGAGCTGCCCACGGGATGCTCTCCGCCTGGTGCACACGGGCATTGAAGAGCTGTCCCCAGGATGCTCTCCACCTGGTGCACACAGGCATTGAAGAGCTGTCCCCAGGATGCTCTCCGCCTGGTGCACACGGGCATTGAAGAGCTGCCCCCGGGATGCTCTCCGCCTGGTACACACAGGCATTGAAGAGCTGTGCCCAGGATGCTCTCTGCCTGGTGCACACAGGCATTGAAGAGCTGCCCCCGGGATGCTCTCCACCTGGTGCACACAGGCATTGAAGAGCTGTCCCCAGGATGCTCTCGGCCTGGTGTGCACAGGCATTGAAGAGCTGCCGCCCCCCGGTATGCTCTCTGCCTGGCGCACACGAGCATTGAAGAGCTGCGCCCACGATGCTCTCCATCCTTTAATGCCCCTGGGATGAGAATCCTGGGATGAAACCACCGAAAACCCATCGAAGCCCTCAACACAGCTTGTACCTGGCGTACACAGAGGGTTCCAAGGTGCAGAGACCGATTAACTTCTAAGTGACAAACTCCCTGTTCCAAAAGCAGATTCTACAACCCTACCCAGCTCCCCAGTAGGATTCCCATGCTAATAAGAGGCTACATCCAGAATCCCAAAGTAATATGATCCCAAGACATGAATCACCCACTCAAGGGTGTATTGAAATGTCTGAGTTGGACTCCACCTGAGACACTGATGTGTGTTTATCCCTGGGAAAACAAAACAAAACAAAAAAAAACATGACTTAGGAATAGCCAGGCTCACAAAACCCAAGTACCTGTGGGGGTGGGTCTTCTGCTTCCCCATATCCATGGTACTAAAGCTAAAACTTCTCTTCTTGGCTGTGAACTGTCTTCCCACCAGCTTCCCCAGGAAATGGAGACAAGAGGGGGTAAGGAAGAGGCGCTAAGATCAGCTGAGCTTTTACTCAACACCAAGCCCTCCTCAAGTCACTTCACATCAGCATTTCCACGTTCATCCTCAAGTAGCCTGGAAAACAGACATCACTATCCCACTAGGATGGTGAGCAATCAACACAGTAAGGTAAGAAGCTAGGTAAACAAGGTCCACGTGACTCCAAAATTGCATTCTTTCTGGTAGCTCCTTTCCAAGCCATGGACACCTGAGCAGAATCTTAACGTGGGAAAAGAAACAACACAAAAAGTCCCCACTTTTGAGAAAAGCAAGAGTTACTCAAGTCTCACTTTTCAAATGCATTAAGAAGCCAGTGCCTCCAGAGACAAAATCCATTCCTGCGAAGTCATTAGTAATTTTATTTTCTTCTCTGTTCCACTATACGTGCTGAAAATATTTTCTTAGATCAAAAATTTCCGTTTCTCCAACAAAAGGGAAAGAACGTGTCCGAGAACTGTGCTATCTACTGAGAATTCTTTCCCCTCCTGCTGAAGTTCAAATCCAGTTTCAATATGTCAGATAAAACCATCTGACCTCCCTAACTGCCGTTGCTCAAGGGACAGATCACACACCAGAGCCCAGTCTGGGTAGATTTTCAAACCAAGAACATTATCTTCTAGTTCACCGTGGAGGAATACAAGCCGAACTACAAAGCCATCAGCAAAGCTACAATTCTAGCCTGAACTCATTAGAAGCTACGCTGCTGTCCTATTTCCAGATCACCACAGGCACAGCCATGTCCCCAGGTGCAAAGCAACAGTGTGTGTAAAACACATAAAAACCCCATAAGTAGAGGCTTTCTCCAATGCTAAGCATTAACAACCTGTGCTGATCTACCCATATAATTCACACATAATACTCACATACGCATCCCCACAGGGAGCGCATTGTGCTGCTGCCTCTCAGAACATGCCTGGGACTGGGGTCCGCGGTGGAAGGAGGAGGTGCTTCTCTGCAGGACCCGTGGGCATTGCTGCATTTTGTTTGTTTGTTTACTTTGTGCTCATGTTACTTCTTCTAAATAATAAAACCATTATGTTTTCAAAAATGCATTCTCCAAACCCAAATATATTCTTCTTTTGGGATTCATCCTAACCCTTCCTCTACAACGATCCCACCCCCACTAGCAATAACACAGCAGATGAGAGAAACAAGGGCGACAGCCTCCCACAGGCACCGCTGGAAGGATTCGAATGCCAGAGTATATGGAAGTGAGCAAGGCGGTCTGTAAAATCTGCTTGATCGGAATCTGCTGACCTGGAGCCTGTCCTGTGAACGCACAAGCCAGGTGGACTCAGATTCTCAAGGAGGGAGCCATAAACCAGAGAAGCACAGAGCAGGTGCACGGGCAGTTCCCGTGCAGGAACCGCTGCACGTGACCCTGCTGGACCAGGGCAGGACTCACGGGATGTGACCCGGCTGGACCAGGGCACGGGCTGTCCCCAAGCCCAGCAGGTCACCGTCATGACCAGTTCCTCAGTGAGGAAGGGTGAACGCCTTGACCCACCCTTGTACTCGAGGAGCGGGAGTGTGGGCTACATGGACAGGGCTCCAGCCAACCCCTTGAAAACCCTGCTGCTGCCTGTTAAGTAACATCAACAGCGTTCACACTGCGCCCCACGGCTCTCAACTGGAATCTCCCCCGTGTGCTGCACATTTCTTCCTCCGTGTGTTTTAGCCGTTTTTAAACTGTGGTGTCAGTGTAGACTCAGCTCATCACACACCTGTCAGGCACGAAGCCCAACATGAACCTTACGCAGCCACTTAACTCATGGGTACCGGGGCCTCAGGCAGAGCTTCTCCTACTACCTCTATGTAATTGGATAATATTCTGAGATGTCAAGGTAAAAATGTTTTCATTTGAAACTACTTGTCTTGGATTCAGGATTTTTTTCAATATTGGGCAATGAGAAGAATAGAGAATAAGAAGAAACACTGGGCAATAAGAAGAAATAAGAAGAAAATCCAGGGCAAAAATAGTTGCCGAGGCTCTTTTTTGTTGAGATGGAGTCTCACACTGTCACCCGGGCTGAAGTGCAGTGGCGTGATCTTGGCTCACTGAAACCTCCGCTTCCCAGGTTCAAGCAATTCTCCTGCCTCAGCCTCCTGAGTAGCTGGGATTACAGGTGCGCACCACCACACCCAGCTAATTTTTTGTATTTTTAGTAGAGACAGGGTTTCACCATGTTGCTCAGGCTGGTCTCAAACTCCTGACCTCGTGATTCACCTGCCTCGGCCTCCCAACATGCTGGGATTACAGGCATGAGCCACCGTGCCTGGCCTGCCAAGGCTTTTACACACCTGCAGCTGCCAGCCTCAAATTCTCCTTCCAAACTGGTGCCTTCATGAGACCAGCCCGATCATTCTTATCTACTGACTATATAATAAACACATTGTGGGTATTTTAGACTTCTAGAATACATGTATTGAGCACCCACACTTGACTAGGGTGACTTTGATGATTAAATAAAACAATGTACTTGAAAACATTTTGTGGTTTTATCATATAATGTTAATCTTATATATTAGTAACTAAGAAATAATAGCTGAATTCCTGAACCAAAAGTTCAAAGATGATTCCTTCTGGCCTCTCCTCTACGGAAATCCCTCCTTGCCCTTACAGTCCTATAAAGCAACACAATTTCTAAGTCTTTTGAGAACTGCAATGAATTGCTGTTTCACAGCTCCTGGGCAGGGGATAGCTGGGAGGGGTACAGGAAGGGGATAAACCTTGTCTAAGAATGTAGGAAATAAGATCACTGGTGCCAGGAGAGGAGAAGGAGGAGGGGGATGGAGGAGAAGGAGGAGGGAGATGTGTTCCCCAGGCCACGGCCCCCCTCGCCAGCCAGCAGCCTCTCCCAAAGGGCAAGGAGCTTGTTTTTCAATTGACTTCAGGCATTAAGATCCCAGGGGAGTGCAACCTCGCGCATTAGCACTGATTAGCTCATCAAGTCACCAATTAGCACTTGGTGCTCAGAGGCAGGAGCCACTGGGGGAAGAAGCCCTCCATCCGCTTGGCCTCCCGCAGCGACTGCAAAACACGTGGGCTCTCCGAAGAGAGCGCTCTCCTTCCTTCTGTAAAGAAACCCGTCACCGGAGCAAAGATCCCGACCCACTGACGACGGCGGTGGCCCCACTCCATGCAGGAGGCGCCCCGCTAAGGAGCTCGCGGTCACCCCCACGGTGGGCACGGGTAAGTTAGGCCTTCTGTTTATGGTTCCCGCTGTCTCACCTTTTCTCTTTCGACCTTGTTTCATACTGTATGAAGTGTGTTGGAACACAGGTCCCTGTGTAGGTTATAAACAAACGCAAAGACCTGCCCTGGGAGGGAGGTAAGGGCACCCTTGCCCTGCCTCCCAGGGTTTGCCCCCTGCCTGCCCCGAGGCCGGGAAGCAGGGGGCCTGGGCAGACGACGGAGCAGATGCAGGAGGAAGGGCGGCCACTCTCGCGGAGACTTCCTCAGCTTAGCCTGTGTCCACTTGGGATTTGGAGGCAAATCACAGCTTTGGCCCATGGGCAGTTTCCAAAGGACCCCCGTCTTCCTCCCCTTCCCGAGGCCCCACACAGGCACTCAGCTCACCCCCAGTCTAATTCCAGCCTTTGCTTCATGCTGTGAGAACTTGCAAGCAAGTGAGGGAGAGGCAAGGGTTTTATTTCCTGTTCTGACAGGTTCCCAGAATAGATGGAGAGAGTCTTCTCTGGTCTCAATTTATACAAACGTCCATGGCGCCCTTTGGCATCCCAGAGTATCTGTTTGAAGGCCCCTAAAACAACCCCCTGGGAGAAGCTGGTTCTGTCCTGTCTTAAAGATGGGCAGCCATAAGGTTAAGTGCCATATCAATTCTCATGGGCAGCTGGGGCCTCATGTCCTCAAATTATAAGTGGTGATGACGCTGGATTTATAATTTAATTAAATCAAAATTTAAACATCAAGCTCTAAAAATAAAGTACAAAAAACGTTTCACCCTAAAATCACTCAGCAAAGAATGAATGGGGAGTGAGCACGTTACTGATAGAAAACCAGATAGATTGTTCTATTATAAATACTTTCATAAAAATATGAGAACATCATATTCTTTGAAGAATGAGGGCTCACATCATGAGTCCCATGGGAAAATCTTATGAGCATATAAAACAGTGTCAATTACAAATTTAAAATAAAATAGTACCAAGGGGGAGCTTCTTTTTCAGCACTTTAAGAATCCAGCTACCGTGGCCAAGGAATATTCATAGGAATAAATGTCACTCATGTCACAGAAGGAAAAGCTCATTCCTGAGCCAATCAAGAGGTGGGTGCCAACACATTCTGCCACTGAAAATGGCCACAGATCGGATGACCGGCGGCTCAGCAGTTTGGTATGAACAGCTGAGACAAGCTGTAATTTGTGGGTTTATCTCATTGCTCTTTTCCCGAAGAATATTAACATTTCATCTGTTTGGAGCTTCCTAGGACCAACAAGAATACTGAGACAAAAGGTGGTCTTGGAAGTTTCCTTTTCCCAAGTTTCCCAAATATTTGCATATGCAAGCAAAATCCAAGTCCATCAGAGGAGACCTATATTAGGGGATCATTGACTTGTGGTATTCCGGGGCGGATTCAACGACTTTATCTCACAAATTAGTCCATTCCGTTCGAAGCCCATGTGGTGCCCAATGTAAAGTTTAAATGTTGCCAACACCGATGTCAACGCAACGTTTTTCATTCTTGAGAAAGGTATATCATTCTTTTCTTTTTAAAACAATTATCAGAACACAGCTTGGGAACAAGCTGATCTGGAACTCAGACCAACCTACTTACCCCTAAACATTCACAGCACACACAGGGTAGAAAGCAGACAGCCCCACATACCCATGAGCTGTCCAAAATGAAGGCAGGTGGTCTCTTTCTAGACATGACGGCCTACGGTCTATTAAAACTCCCACAACTTTCGGAAATCCAAGGAGAGAAAGTTTCTCTCTGAAAAACTTGGAGAGGGCCCCAGGAGAGGCATCCTTTGCAGCCTGTGCCTAACTCCACTGCCCAACCCAGGCCTACCCCGCTGTGATGGCCACAGCTCTGAGAATACTTGGACCCCTCTCTTTCACTAATGCCCAGTCGAGCCCAGCAGCAAATCCTGCTGGCTCTACCCTCAAAAGCTGCCCAGAGCACCCACTTCTTCCCACTCCCCTGCTCCCTCCCGCTCCCAGGCCTGTGTTCCTTCCCGGATTCTAGCAAGGGCTCCCACCAGGCCTGCCAGGCCCTGCAGCCTGTCTGCAGTCAGAGTGATCCTCTAGAGGTCAATGTTACATCCTTCCTTCTCCCCTCAGCCCTCTGGGGTCTCCCCGCCTCCCTCCAGCAAAGCCAATGTCCTTACAATGGCCCACGGGGTCCCCGTGATCTGCAGGGCCACTGGCTATGCCTGTGACAGCTTGTCCCCTGCCAACCCCCCAGCCCAGGACCCCCAATGCACCTCTCAGAGCCTTTGTGCCAGGGGGCCCACCCACTCCACAGCTCTGGGTCCTCTACTGGCCTTCAAGCCTTGCTCATGTGATATCTCCATGAAGGTCCACCTGGCATCTATTTCACACCACAACGGGCCACAGCCCCCTCCCCTCACCCACAGCTGCTGTGGCTGGCTGTGTCCTTCACTCATCAATTGCCTCCTGATGCCAGAGAGTGGGACCTGGAAGGCGGCATCCTTGTCTTGGCCCCTGAAGCCTCTCGAACATCCAGGATAGCACCAGGCACACAGCAAGCTCTCTGTGAGCAGGGCCAAGGAGCCCGCCAGAAGGAGAGCTTTCCTAGAGAAACCCGGATTTATCTGGAGAAATGAGGTAGGATGCCCTGCAAATTTCAATCTCAATTATTGCCTTTCAACACCCAACTCTAGTGAATCTGCAGAGGGTGGACCATTCCAGCAGGACAAAGGCCCCAGGCCCCATGCAGGCTCCTGGGAGGAGGAAGCAGGAGGGAGTCCCACACACAGAGGAGCTGGTGGACCCCCTGACTCGGGGAGGGGCACCACCGGGCAGAAGCCATGCTCAGGCCACCAGGATGAGCATCAGGAAGAGCTGGCTGAAGCCACCGCCCCAGGTAGAGTCGGGAACAGGAGGAAGGGAAGGCAGGAAGAGGAAGAGTTGGTAAGGATGCTGGGGGAGGGCACAGGGCAGGAGCCAGACAGAGGGAGAGAAGCCAGGCAGAGCCCAACTTTCTGCCAGGCTGGACGGGGACAAAGACTAGTCCCTTACTAACCACCAGGCTGGAGGGGACAAAGACGCCCTCCCTCACTAAACACTGGGCTGGACAGGGACAGAGACACCCTCCCTCACTAAACACTGGGCTGGACGGGGACAGAGACGCCCTCCCTCACTAAACACCAGGCTGGATGGGGACAGAGACCCCCTCCCTCACTAAACCGGAGACAGCTCCTTTCAACCCTCTTCCCAACCAGGCCCCAGGCTTGGTGGGCCCTCAACAGTAAGAATCCCACCAGCTCAGCCCAACTCAAGCCCCTCCCTCGATAGCAGATGGGCTCCTCAGCCCTCCATCCCCAGGGATGTCTGATGGCCCCAGCCTGCCTTCAGCCAGAACCCTGCTGGGGAGGCTCGGCCGGAACCCCCTCACCCCCATCTCCCCCTAGTAATTTCCCATCCGCCCTACCCTACTCCTTGGTCTCACTCCCACTTTCCTGCTGTACTCAGAGCTGAGCCCGGTTTCTCTCCCCCAGAGCAAGAATCCCTCCCTGTGGTCCTTGAAGGAAGTCTTCCTTAATGTCCTTAACGAGTGTCAGGATAACTTTTTAACAGGATCCAATGTATAAAAGCTTTAAAAAAACAAACAAACGAACAGAGCAAGACTTTCCTTCCAAGCAGGCTTCTGGGGAGGGGAGGCAGGATGATCAATCAACATTTGTGTTCACCCTCCTGAGCTCCTCTGAGCTCCCTCTGGGAATTAGCAGGCACCTTTTCCTCTGAAGAACAGAGGCCTAACAATGATGCACTCACTGCTTTACAGTTTAGTCAGAATAAAATCAATAAAATCGTATGTTCCAATGTCTCACTTATTTTTTACCTTATTTATACAAACATCCCTCATGTTTTCCTAGAAGGGATTTGATATAACTGACTACACACACAAGCACACACACCCCACACCTCCCGTTATATATATAAACATATATAAACACAACATGCATCTTCTTATTGGAGTCTCACAGTAACTCTTTTAGTCCTATAGAGAAGATAAAATTGTTACTATCTGTCTCTTGATAATTGTTTTCAGGAGGCGTTAATGGCTTATTCAAAGTCACATGGTAAATGTGGCCTTCTGGCTCCTGGACAAGCGTGTGCTCCTTAAGTTCAAAAACAGGCAGTCAGGTTCACTGGAAAAATTAACATGAGAGCCATAGGAAGGTGCCACAAGATACTACTGCTGAAAAAAGCTGACTTGTGTAATGTCAGGGTCTTTTGTGAAAAGTAAAAACCGTGTATGCACAGAAACAGAAAAAGAACAGCAGTGTCTCACTTTTATTTAAAAAATGAAATGTGTGGGCCGGGGGCAGTGGCTCATGCCTATAATCCCAGCACTTTGGGAGACCGAGGCAGGTGGATCACATGAGGTCGGGAGTTCGAGACCAGCCTGACCAACATGGTGAAACCCCGTCTCTACTAAAAATACAAAATTAGCTGGGCGTGATGGCCCATGTCTGTAATCCCCACTACTGGGGAGGCTGAGGCAGGAGAATCGCTTGATCCTGGGAAGTGGAGGTTGTGGTGAGCCGAGACCATGCCATTGCACTCCAGCCTGGGCAACAAGAGCGAAACTCTGCCTCAAAAAAAAAAAAAAAAAGTGTGTGTGTCGCGTGAGGAAAAAAGAAATGCCAGCTATACAGCAACATACTGACCCTGGGTGCTGGATGTATAGATGATTGTTTTTCTTTTATTTGTCTACATTTCATATACTTTTTTGATTTGTTATAAAAGAAAATAAAGGTTATCATTCTTTGAAGAGTCTGAACTTAGGGTGTGTTTCTCGAACCTGGCAGGAGGTGTCAATGAAAGCTTCTTGCACTGCATGGCAGCCTTTCCACCCAGATGCCATTACCTTTCCCTGAACTATCTACTGTCTTTATTCCCAGAGTTTGCATTCCTCTGGCCAGACACTAAAGAAAAACAAAGGGAAGCTTCCAACACCAGTACCATTAACTCATAAATGCTATTTAAAGTCACCCGGGGTGCAAACAGACAGGTGTGATTTGGCCTCCAGTTACCCATCTGACTTCTTCTTTGGGGTCTGCAATGCTGATTACTGGACGCCAGCGTCCAGAGCCCCCACCACAGCCATACCTGTTGATCTCCAGTGTGTGTACGCCATAGTTGCTCTCAATCCTGTACTTTCCCGGTTCAGCCGCCTGGCAAATCAGACTGCCATCTTTGTACCTAAATGAGGGAGGCATGTTTTTAGTTTAAAGGCAGAGTTGTATTTTGTGTGTGTGCAATTCTGCCCCAGCTCCCCCGCGCCTGCTGCCCATTTCTGCAGGTTTCCCTTAGAGCCTCAGGCGGGAGGAGGACAGAGCCCTGACGGTGAGGCCCAGAGTTCGCACTGGTTTTGCTTTCTAAGGCGAGAGCAGCGCTTTCCTCGTTCAGACTCTCAGGGGATTCCCCATTCGGCAGATCAAACACCTGCCTGACCTTTGTTAGGAATTCAGGACTTGTCATTCCATAAGAAACACTGGGTGCTGGATCCCGGACCCGCCTACTTAAGCTGCAGTGTAGCTAGTGTCTCAGGGAGTTCTGCGGGACCTAACGCACTGACCCTGGTGAAAGGAAGCTGGCTTCATGGCTCCATCCAGGAGGCAGGACCACATCCACCCCAGCACCTCCGCATCAAGAGCAGGCGAGCCTCAGCCTCCCAAGCCTGTCTTCCAAAGAACCTCAGGATCCAGCCATCAGCCACGATATGCCTGGTCTGTGGCTCAGAGTCCCAACCCCACATATAAATGCACATAGATATATACGTATAACTTTAGCAATATATGTTGATACAAAAAGGGTCTTGAGGGCTTAAAGATGTAATTCTTCAATTACCACAGCTTCATTAACTGCAGATCTGCAGTCCCAAAACTTTAGAGTTTATGCTTTCCACTTATGAGTTTTCCATATTGAAAAGCAGACTTTCCAGTTTTGTGTACAGTCAGCAATCATGCACGTGCTCTTGCAAACAGGACAACAGCCATGATCATTTCAGGGTAGTGACTTTTAAACAATACACTCTGGTCAGGCGTGTGGCTCATGCCTGTCACCCCAGGACTTTGGGAGGCCGAGGCAGGTGGATCACTTCAGGTCAGGAGTTTGAGATCAGCCTGGCCAACATGGTGAAACCCCATCTCTACTAAAAATACAAAAATTAGCCAGGCGTGGTGGCGTACACCTGTGGTCCCAGCTACTCAGGAGGCTGAGGCAGGAGAATCACTTAAACCAGGGAAGTGGAGATTGCACTGAGCTGAGATCACACCATCACACTCCAGCCTGGGCAACAGAGCGAGACTCCATCTCAAAAAAAAAAAAAAAAAAAAAAAAAAAAAAAAAAAAAACCCTCTGAAAAATTTGTTGACTCAATGTCATGAAAATAAAAATGTTTGCATATGAGTTAAAGTGAACGTTCAGAGCTTCTATAAACATATTTCTGCTTAGAGTTTCAAGGTAAGTGGCCTCCAGCACAGGTTCAATGGCGTTTGTCTCCTTAACTGGGGTCTTTCTGAAAGAAAACGCAGAATGGACTTCTTCACCCCCTGGGAACAGAGCCCCTCACCACTGCACCACGGGCGTGGGAAATCCTTGCACGGTGAAGCAGAGTTTCACAGACATCCTCTCCCAGACGGTGTGGGATCGCAGCCGCACCAGGATCTCAGGAGCCCTGCTTATCCGCTCTTCAAATGTGTGTCTCTCCCAGGCCAGCTTGTCCTCCATCTGCCCCGAGAAGCAAGGATGGTCAGGTTCCCAGGCAGCGAGCCAAGCTCCACCCTCGGCCCCTCAAGCACCATGCAGACAAGCTAAGATCTAGTCCACGCTTCCCAGACACCCAGCCACCCTGAGACCCTCCTACCATCTGCTGAATGGCGTATTTGTCCAGCTTGTCGCGGGCCTGGGAGCGTGCCAGGTGGACATCCTCCTCCAAGTGGGCCAGCTCGCTGAGGAAGCGCTGTCGCTTGGCCTCACCATAGGCGGCCACCAGGGACTGGTACCTGCAGGAGCCGAGAAGCAGCCTCAGTTGCAGGAGTCACGAAGAAAACCACGTGGCCCCCGAAGGCCGGAAAGGGCATGCCCATTCTCTCCCTAGGGTTTCCTTAAGTGCGTTCAAGAAGAGAACAGGAGAAATGCTACTTCTGCTCATTTGAATCTATCTTCAAGAGTATATTTTGGTGTGTGAATGCCATGCATGATGAAGTTGTAAAGAAGAACATGTATGTGATTTATTAATAAAAAAATACAGGAAGTGCCTGCCCCAACTTTCTTTCACCACTGACAGTGCACAACTGCAAACCGCTTGGAGGCCCTAAGAGATGCTTTGGAGAATTACCGTGAGCAGCAAAAGACAACAGGCACCCACTCAGAGAGTCGGGAACTTAATCTGAGGCTCTTAAAAACAGAGACATTGTTACTCATCTTCGTGTGCACAGAAACTCACATGCAGCAGGTGCTCAGTAAAGACAGGGCAACTCGGGAAATCAGGGAACTTCTGTGGATTTATCCGATAAACGGCTTGATGCTTTCCCAGGTCTGAGACTCAAAACTGTTAGGTGCTACTGGGCTAACGGTGCTATTGAAGTCAGTTCCATGATTTGAAAATGTAGGAAAATGGTGAGCTCCCCATGTGTGAGTTTTCCTCTGCAGGGCAGCAAATAAAAGCCATTTATTTTCCTGAGAAGGATGCAGTTTCTGAGTGATTTTAAAACTGAATTAAAGTATTTTGAGTTTAAAAATATACAGATAGGAATGTCTGAATACTAAAAATAATAATAATAAATAAAGGATTAAAGGATTCAGCATCTTCAGTCCTTAGGGACTCAGAAATGTTCACATCGTCGCGGCTCACATGCCATTTTGTGAACCCCACAAATCGCACCCCAACACGGCCAGGCCTGGCCTGCCTCCATGCTCTGAGATGCTCTGGAAACCCTGCAGGAGCTCTTTCAGCCTCATCAACCTCCCTCACCATCGCGTTCCCAAGGTCCCACTGAAATTAGGACGCTCGCTGTTCTGCTCCCCTCTTGGGATTCTGTCCCACTCGTGAGAAACATCTCACTGCCATCCCTTTCAATCAAAACTCCATCCTTCCTCCAACACCCATCTCAGATGCCATGTCTCCCACGGAGCCATCCCTAATCCTCTCCCCTGTGTCTTGAACGCCAGACCTCCTGTTATTTCTCTTAGGGCCTTTATGATCGTAATTTGCATACATTTTATCCTTCCCAGGAGAAAGGATTGGCTACTTCTCACCTCTGTATTCCCCAGCTTCAGCACATAGAAGATGTCTCATAAATACTCAGTAGTCTAAGTTAGGCTGGGGGAGGTTCGTTCCCGAGTGGCAGGGACAGGAAGCTGCACAGACGGCCTGGGAAGGAGGCGGTGGAGGGAAAGGTGGCCGAGCCGGAGCGCCGCCTGTGGCACTGTGCACGAGCCACCAAGAGGCTTCTTGGCCAGGGCCACATCGCACAGAAAGTCCCGGTATCGGAGCTGGAGGGGACCGTAGCATCACGGCTGTCCAGAGACCTGGGGAGAACTGAGACCCGCTGCAGGTTGGCGGTAAGGCCTGTCCGAGACCCAGGGTGCAGGGCCTCTGTCCGAGGTGCTTCCACAACCCCACACGGCTCCGATGGACCAGCGCTTCCCCAGCAGCGATTAAGACTAAGGCCTGGTGTTAGGCATTTGGGAAGTTCGCAATCAGAATTGCAGAAGTCTGCAGCCTCTTCGTACAGAAATGAGGTGGGAGGAACCCTAAAATCTAACCATGAAAGGAATGTGGATTTATCTCCTTAGGAATCGGGGACCTCACCTCGCACCTCCCTGTCCCCGCTCCGACCACACACACAGCCTTTCCCTACAATGTTTAGGGAACAGTCTGTTTGGGCCTCAGCCATTCTGCATGCCCTCTTGCCTGGGGTAGATTCCTCCCAACCTCTAATGGGCTGGCTTCTGCTCCTCCTGCTTTCAGCACAGGGGTCTCTCCCTCAGAGCCTCTCCCCTAGGGCCACCCTCAAATCACAGCCCTGTGGGTCTCTTTCATACGTCCTCATCCTCCTCCTGCAGAGCACGTGCCACCTCTATAAGCACATGCATGTGCATGTTGAATGACACCAGCCCTGTCCTGTAACTCTGAATCCCAACAAAGCGGGAAAATGCCCTCTTCATTGCCCCAGTATCCAGGTACTTGGTTCCCCCAGTATCCAGGTACTTGGTTACCCCAGTATCCAGGTACTTGGTTACCCCAGTATCCAGGTACTTCGTTCCCCCAGTATCCAGGTACTTCGTTCCCCCAGTATCCAGGTACTTGGTTCCCCAGTATCCAGGTACTTGGTTCCCCAGTATCCAGGTACTTCGTCCCCCCAGTATCCAGGTACTTGGTTCCCCCAGTATCCAGGTACTTCGTTCCCCCATTATCCAGGTACTTGGTTCCCCAGTATCCAGGTACTTGGTTCCCCAGTATCCAGGTGCCAGGTGCCAGGAGGAGTTCTAGGAATATGTGTTCAAGAAATGAACGATGGCGTCAGATGTCCTGCAGGGAACAAGCCTTCTTACAGGGGAGTGAATCCCACCAAATTGCAGGGATCGAGAAGACAAAGCTTGGTCTGCGCCACGCAGCACTGTGATGAGTTTAAAGGTTCAGATGTCCTCTCTTGACACCGTTTACTTTTCTATGGGCTCTTTATGTTTGAGTAACAAGAGCCTCAGCTTATTCTTAGGTCAATAGCACCACTATCCTCTAACCCTCCATGATTCAGAATAACTAATTGGTCTGGAATTCCTCCCACAGCCAACCCCAAGTCAGGACATTGAGGAAATATTTCTGCCGGCTGATGATCAGTTGACCGTCACTTCAGCCCACGTGTGCACAGTAACGTCATTTGTCATGCACTGATTGTAAATGACAAGCCCCGGGACAGGTGGCTTGCAAGATTCAGGGAGGCCCATTTTTCACTGGGACTGAAGGAAGATGTCAGAGGGACATTTCCAATGGGCCATATCTTCCAGAAGGATGTGTTGAGTGCCTTCAGAGCATCGGGGTCGTATCTTCCAGAAGGACGTGTTGAGTGCCTTCAGAGCGCCAATGTCTCTTCAGTATTTATTTGACACAGGGACATCAGCAGTAACTCACATCAGTGAGCCCACAATTTCATCTTTTGCAAAGGACCAACTTGTCCAGCACGCTAAACTAATATCCACGTTGGGAGGTCAGGGATAAATACATGCTTGTGATGATGCTTGCAGCCCGTGAGAGTGGTGAATTCTAATAAGGGCTGGAATCCATGGAGCTGCTCACATCACTCAGCACGGGGCTCACTCATCCCTCCTGGGCCCTTCTGCATGACGGTGATAGAGCAGGCTTCACAATAAATCTCAATTAGAACTTGCCCAACTCACTGAGATCCCCACGACTTATGTTTACCTTTAAAGGAGGAAAGAACTGATTTCAAAACGATCTTCCCCATGGAAGACATGCACATGGGTTAGGAGAATACAACACTCGGGGGCTGCTGAAGAAAATCTCATGGAGAGCATGAGCCGTGGGCTCCACACAAAGCTGAGAAAGTGCCTAGCCTTCGTCCCCCGTCTCTACTACGTCTAAGACAGACTGGCATTTAACGTGAGGATCAGAGGTGCCGTGAGAACATAACCCCTTCACCAGTCACTCAAATCCCTTCTTTGAGTCAGATTTGGTATTGCAAGAGCATAGACCAATGTGTTTTAGGACAATTTCCAGCAGCCAAGGCTGTCTTGAAAGTCATTGCTGCCAAAACCATATGAATCACAGTAAGCCACTCACTGTTACCATTTTACCAGCAGGGAAATTGAGCGATAGGAAGTTTATGCAATATGTTCAAGTTCACATCAATGTTTAAATGATAAAAATAAAATGATAAGCTCAAGTATTCTATTGTAGCCCCCAAAACCTAAATATAGGTAGAAGAACCCTTTAATCCAATACATAAAAATCTGGATTGTGTTAACATCTACATTTCAAAGAGATTCTTTCACAAAAGAAATCTTCACTTTACACTAGAATTCATTTACATGGCAAAATTATCCTATGACATTTAAAAAAATTCAATTTTTTAAAAATAAATGTTAACCTTCGTTAACCTTCTTGGCTATACATTGTTTATATTCAACAGATGACTTCATCTTTCTGAAACTTTCAAAATGAAAGATGTTTACTCAAATCTTATTTTTCCTTCAGGTTTTAAATGCTTTGAAGATATAGAGAAAATTCCCAGAAGTAGCAGGGGGAGATGAGGGAAAAAATACAGCAGGTATAAAACAAGGCACCCGCGAACGTTTAACTGTTCACTTTGTCCTTAAAAGATCAAAGCCATATCACCACCTGTTTCTCCGTCATCTGGAAATAATTTTAAGACTGGCATTTTTATTAATCCATCCCATTCCCATGACATTTCACCCCACGAGCTGCCTCTGTTGAAATGTAAAGCATGACAATTTATAGAATCCCTTCCCAACTCTTTAGTTTCCACACGACAACTGTTTAAAACCCTGGCTCCCGCTTAGGAAGATGACCTTGCTTGAATGTGCACCCCTCCACGGCTGTTCCTGCATAGCTACAGAGGTTGCAAGTGGAAATTCAGAATTACTCTCACACTGCTAGGTCTTGATGTTTTCATGTGTGCTTATCCTGCTCTGTCTGGAAAGGGACTGAGCTTGGCTTGGAAGCCACGGACCCTGGAGCTCTAAGCCCAGCTGGGACATGCGTGAGACATGGAATCCTGGGCAGTGGCGTGAGCGCTCTGAACAGCAACGCTCTCTTCTGCAAAATGGTGGGAAGCTGGTGCCCAGTAGTTTTCTTGTTCAGATTAATTGAGATAATGATGGTAAAGAGAAGCAGGTGATTGGGAAACAGCAGCATTCTCCCTCTCACCCCAGGCATGGCCTGTGTTCCTTGATCTTCCCTCTCAGCTAAGGTCGCTCTTCCCTCCTCACCCCACTGTCCCTCCACTGTGACCCCACGCAGGGCACAAGTGGAGTCAGGGAAGCCATGTGCTCACCTGCTTCTGTTCTCCTGCTCCTCATCTTCCTGCGTGCTCACTCGCTTCGCACAGACCCTGCAGATGGTTCCTCCCAGGGACGTCTGGCTGGAGGCTCTCTGTGAAGACGACCGCTGACTCAAGGACTTCTGGGAAGATGCCTGGGTGGAAGCTCGCCTTCAGGAACATGGACACGATTAGGAGATGCATGCTCAGGCACAGTATGGAAATTTATCCTGACACACATCACTTTCTCTCTACACACCCCAAACCACTGGTATATGCAGAGCACACACAAACACACACATGCACAGGCATATGAGAGGCATGCACCTACACACATATATGCACACATGCACACACATGCATGCATATGCACATACAATACATGCGTACACATGTGTATGCAAATAAATGCATAAATGCAAGGACACGCCTTCCCACAAGCACATGCACATGCATACACACAGCGCGTGCACACATAAACAAACCTACACAAGTGTACACACACTTGCACACAGGCAAACCCAAGCCTGTGTCCCTGTGTGCCCACACCCATACCCCGCACATGCCCGCCCTGGGGTGCTTTCTCCCTGAGCTCACTGTGGCTGGTGCCACCTCCCTTCAGAGCCAGCCAGTGCCGGCCACAGTCTTTCTGGCTCCACGCCAGGATTATATATATCTTGAGGGATTTGAGACACCCCAAGGCTGCTGGGAGGGGCTGCAAATGTTTGGCTTTGTTTGGCACAAGGGATGGCAACTAAATAAAAGTACCCTAAGCGTTTCTAAACATAGGGTGTGGGTGACATGAGGCAGGCACCTGGGCTGCAGAACGCCTGCCCGCGGTCCCTCCCTCCCTTCACCACAGCCTTCCAATCAGCCCATTAAGATTGCAGATTTGCTGCTACACAAACAGTGTCCATGGGGGCGTGAGCTGCCATCCTGTATGAGGCCATCCCCGAGAAGCTTCCGGAAGATGCAGGTGCACACCAGCCCCAGAGGCAGGGATTCTTGATCTCGGCACATCCATGATCGATGTAGCCAAATCACTAATATTGCCTCCCATTCTGTCTTTACTCTGCCACCCATTAACTTCTCTCCTACCGACAGCCTTTCCCACCAGTTTCAATCTCATTGCTTTTTATTTTGGGTGGCTTTTTAGATCCTAGTTCTGGAAGGCATGTGATGAGCAGTAAAATCAACGAGCTCATACAAAGGACTTCCTGCCTCCCCACCTCGATCAGGAGCTGAACTCGGCCAGCAGGACCTGCCAGAACACTACGCCAGCTCCACAGAGTGCTGCTCCGTGGCAGGACCTGGGCACGGGAGAGGCTGCCATCTCTGCTCTCTGACTCCCTGCAAACCAGTGCCTCTCCAGGGCTGACGGAACTGGAAAAGCCTTTAAATGTCAGACCCCCATAATCAAAGCTCTGCGCGTCTCATCAGCGAATGTCAGCTTACTTTTTTGACGCATATTCGTCCAGCAGGTACCGTGTTTGAATATTACGGTAGGACTGGTCGAAGTGCCTATGTCTCTTCTGGTAGAAGGGGACAGTCACAAGGGACATCTTGGCGTGCTCCTACAAAGAGAGTCACACACAACACTGAGCTCCCTCGCAAGCATCATGAGGCCTCTGCCATTTCTGCATCATTCCAAAGGGGAAAATGAACTCCAGTTAATAAAACCCCCTTGGGAAGGGAAAAAATGAAAGATTACATGGCCAGAAATCACCTTAGACCAGCAGTCAGGAAGCCTATTAACTTCCCAGGGACCCAACTTTATTTTTTGTTTTCTTCCACAACAGTTGGAAGATTGGGCTGCTGTTTCATTTCATTGTGAACTCAACAAGTATTCCTAGAACCCCTGGTGTGTTCAGGGCAAAGTTCAAAGCAATATAAGTGGGAAGTACAAAAATAATTAAAGCAGATTAGAGAAGTAAACAAACACTTAGAATACAAGAGAACATACGATAAGAGCCAAGAGCCCGGGGCAGGTAGAAGGTGTCCTGGGAATGGCAGGAGGCCAGGACGGCCGAGTGGCCCACGAGGCAGGTGACATTTGAGAGGAGGCTCGGTGGACAGGTGGGACTGCCAGGCGGAGGTGGGAAAGGAGGGCAGCCCATAAGCAAAGGTCGGGCAGGAGAATCCAGGATCATGGGAGACTTGCAGGGGTGGGTGTGACCAGAAATCACTCTGGAAAGACGCAGCCACAAGCGGAGGTGGCGGGTGTCTGCCTGGGGAACGGGCAGTCTCTCCACCATGCAAAGGGGGATGTGGAAAAAGGGACTGGCTGGAGATGCCCCCTGGAATCTGCCGTCTGAAGTCTCACTGGTTACGGTAGACAGGCGTAGCAGGAGGTGAGCAGGAAAAGTGAGGACAGAGCCTGGCATGAAAGCCTCAGGGATGTGGGGAAATTCGAGAGTGTGGATGAAATTCTCCCCAAACAGGAGATGAGCGAGTTCCATCTTTTTCTCTGGGAACTTGCAGCATTACAGGTATTAGACATGGCAATCTGCTGTACATGTTCACCCAAAACACGTAAAATGCCAACGTGCTGAGTGACTTGATCATCACGGCAAAGTTACGTAGGGACCGTATTCCTAAATCTCTGCAGTCATTAATTTCCCAAACAAGGTGCAAAAGGACTCACAACCTGAGCTCCATTTTTTACTTTTCTGTTTAAATGACGAGGATCTGTCCTTATTTAAAGACAGAACTCCTAGGCCAGGCCCCATGGCACAGCCCCAGGGGTGCCACCCACATCCCGGGCCATGGGTATGAGACTTGGGTGGAAAATGCCAAGGGCTGCTCGGAGATGAATTTGTCATAGTTCAGATCTCCAGGGTACGTGCTAGAAAACCTACCACAGTACATAAATTGCTCCTTATGAGCTGTTTCCTTTGAACTCTGTAATCTCCGAGAATCACAGTATTGTAGAACTTGGAAAGATCACTAGCGATTACCCAAACTCCTATTCTACAGGGAAGAAAACAGGACACGAGGGCCAGAAAGGAGAAATTCTTCCCCAAAAGCATGTAGAAGAGGCTACCCCTGCCCCAAGGCCATCCTTATTCTGGGCCTTTCACACTGCCACACTAACTCTCTCAATATTGCCTCTTAAAACCCAACTAGTCGACCAACCACCCCACCCTGGGAGGGCCCAGCCGTGTTTTAGAGTGCACCAGCATGCATTCTACTCCAGGGATATAACGGAACGTTGCACCTCATAGAACACAATAAAAGCAGCCGGGCGCAGTAGCTCACACCTGTAAACCCAGCACTTTGGGAGGCCAAGGCGGGTGGATCACGAGGTCAGGAGATTGAGACTACCCTGGCTAAGATGGTGAAACCCCGTCTCTACTAAAAAAAATACAAAAAATTAGCCAGAATGGTGGGGGTCCCCTGTAGTCCCAGCTACTCGGGAGGCTGAGGCAGGAGAATGGCGTGAACCTGGGAGGCGGAGCTTGCAGTGAGCCGAGATCGCGCCACTGCATTCCAGCCTGGGTGACAGAGCGAGACTCCATCTCAAAAAAAAAAATAAAATAAAAATAAAAAATAAAATAAATAAATAAATAAATAAAAGCATATCTCCTCCACCCGCCCTGATATTGAAGGCAGTATCATAGTGCAGAGGTCAAGCGCCCAGGTTTTGATGTCTGGTAGACCTGGGATCGAATTCTGACTCCAGCATTCTGATGAGGCCTGGGGTAGCTTCTAGCTCCTCTAGCTCTGGCGTTCCATATTGAATCTGCATCATGCCTGGCCCTGGCCCTGGTACCGAAATCGGTTGCTGTCTCTGTTATGCTGCTGCTGTTATCATGGTTCAAGAATTCTGCAGACAGGAAAAGGTATCTGAGAAAATCTATGTATTGCTTCACTATTTGAAATCTCCCCAGATGCAGCTCACTGGGATTTTCCAATGAGTTAATCAAGGTGGATCTTCAAGAAACGCTTCCTGCTCAGAAACCCATTTACTCTCTCTGGAGTTCACCAGCAGGGTGCTGGGAAGAGCTCACTGAAATGAAGTTGGACCAAGGTTGGGGAAGACGTTTCAGCTTCCATCCGGTTTCCTATCCAAGGTTCTTCTGGGATCAGCCTGACGAATACCAGGCAATTCCACTCCAGCAGACGCATGAGCAATCCCCAGTACCTGCTATTGCAGCAGGGGCTCATGTGTCATCACAGTATCTACTTACACTTATGTTGAGTTAAACCTCAGATGTGTTTGTATTTCTTGGTAAAGGGAAGAGTCAAAATGTGACCTATTAGGTCAAAGGAGAGAATGAGCTACATTGAAATAAGAGGAGAATCGCCCTGGATGGAAATCCTCCTCCTTAGACCTAAGACCTGGAAGAATGTGAAACGGCTCAGGTCTTGAGAGCTCACAGACTAGCTATCCTTCAACCAGTCTGTAACGTCCTGTCCAATGCAACCTATGTATCACTGACGTGACATCCGGTCCTGTGGGCCTGGAAGTCTTCAAACACTTCATGTGTGAGGGGCTACACTTTGTAGTGCTTAGCAAGGCAGAGCTGGGATCACGTGTGCACACTTCCTGCAATCCTCACTCCAATGGTACCTTACTGTGGAAGTCTCCCCGGGAAGTCTTTGGATGGGGGTAACAGGGCACTTTGCCACGTTTATCCCCACATGTATTCCCTGCTCACTTCATGCTCAGGACCACCAAAATCAGGAGGTGTCAGAGGCTTTGCAGAATCCATCAGCCTCAGTTGATTCCACAAGTATGGGGTCACTTGCAACGTGCCAGCCAAGCCTAAATCAGAACCCTTGGATTTCAACAATGAAAACACCTTAGAGCTCCTGGCTCGGGAGAGTAGCAAGCTCAAGTCTTCTGCGCATTTGACTCCCAGTGCCAATGTGCCCTCAACTCCACTTTTATCAATCACATGCCCAACCCAGAAAACCAGCAGGACTGCACGTCCAGCCTCACCCACCCTGAATGTGTGTCCCCTCCGCAATCTCTTCACTCCTTGGGGGACTTCCTATGTTAGAACTTCCCCAGTGTCCCTCACCCAGCCTGGGCCACCACCTCCTGGCCGGGTGTGATGACGTCTTTGCAAGCAAATCCCCACTGACTCAGCACGTGCTGGGTGCCTGCAGCCCTGGCAGCACAGGGCCCTTCTGAGTGGAGGGAACCCTGGAGAGGACTTGCCAAATGCACCCTACAGGTGGAGCATCCCTTATCCAAAATGCTTGGACCAGAAGAGTTTCCAATTCCCGATTTGTTTTTCAGACTGTGGAATACTTGCATTTATACTTACTGGTTGAGCAACTCAAATCCAGAAATTGGATACTTGAGATGCTCATGTAAGCATTTCCTTTGAGAGTCATACCAGCGCTCACAAAGTTTCAGAATTTAGAGCATTCTGGATTTCTGATCTTCAGATTTGGAATGATCAACCTGTACTATTTATGACACTATAAAGAAAATGACAGGACCTGGGCCGATCAGCTCCCCAATGTCCCTCTACTGTCTACATAGAAAGCTGTTTTCCTTTTTAAGGAACTATCTCAGACATGTGTTAAATACCCCCTACACACACCAACCAAAAAAAAAAAAAAGAAAAAAGAAAGAGAGAGAGAAAGAAAGCAGCTTTTCCTCGCAGGGTAGTTTTTGATGTGAGTCCCTGGGGCTCAGGCGCATTGGGAGGCTGAGACTCCAGTGGGGACCTGCTGACCTTCAGCTCAGGGGCCTCCACCTGCTCTGCTGTAAAACAGGGGGCTGAGTGAGGTGGCAGCTAACAGTCCCCCAGCTTGGACAGCCTGTGTGTAGATAATCCTGGCGCCACGCTGTACTGTTAGCACAGACCGTCCCCAGGGAAATATGACTTGCCCGGGTCACCGGTAGGGCCACGGCCGAACCCAGGCGCCAGCTGACTCTCCTGACAGCGTCCAGCCCACTTTCCACCACAGCCCAGCTCCCCGGCCACTCCCGGAATGCTCCTGACACGTTTAGGAATCATGACACCAGGATGAAACGCGAGCCTCTCCTCCAGTGCAGGGGACCACGTGTCTGATATCCCCATCCTAATTCCTTCCTGCAAACAACGTGTGGAGCCCATTCCTCATGTCACCAGGATGGGTTTTAATTTGCAAAAATGTTTGAAGTACAAAACATTGACTTCCACTTAATGAAGGAAATTGTTTGTACAGTTAAAAATGTCAAAGTCAATAAATACACCAAATTAAAGCTTTCTAGAGGGGAAAGGGACTCCCAGACACGCAGCGTTGGCCTGTGCCACAAGTGGCTAAGCCCTTGGCTCCCAAGACAAGTTTTAGCTTGGGACTTGGTTTATTAAATAACGCCTTAAATTATCTTTGTTCCACGCTTTCTTTGAGTCCTGTTTTACTTCTACTTAGTAAGAAAGGAATGTGAAATGGAGAATTAGAAAAGGCCAGGTGTTCCCAGTGATGGCAAACCCCTTCCTTCCGTTTGCCTCCGGTGCCTTCCACGTGCAACCACCCAGCCCCACTGTCTTTCTCCAGCAGGTTGCATTTCAAGAGCACGCCCTGAGAAGGCACAGCCTCTATCAGCGGAGTGGAGCTGAAGAAGTCTGAAGGGTCACAACACACCCAACAGCACAAAGAAGAAAACAGCCGTAAGAACGCTGTCATTTTTGGGCAAAAACTTGCAAGTCCTGACAAGGATTGTTCTCTTTCCCATACCGTGGATAATATAGGCTAGGTCTAAGCTGAATGACCCTCGACTCTTTTTTCCCTTAAGAAAATATCCAGTTTTATTATTTCACACCTTTATAAGTCAGCCCTCTCCTCGGGGGAGGCTTTCGTTTCTGAGAATCTCATGAAACTTGCAGACATCAGTCCACTGACTGGGGGGCCCCCTGGGGCCACGATGAGACCAGGGCTAAAACCCAAAGCACACGCCGCAGGGTGCTAAACGGCACTTAGCAAAGACCACGGCTGTGGGAAATAAAATGTTAGTTGAGCATAAAACCTCGTCAAAGAAATACAGATCCCAGAACTAATTGCTCTGTTTTCCACAGTAAAGGGTGCCTGCGACGGGGTGCACTGGCTCTCTCTTCTTGACCCTGAAGTAGAGGTACTTAGAAAATGTGAGTGCAGAAGTTACCGGTCCTCCCCTTAAAGCCACAAATTAGAAAAGGCAAGAAGAGAAAGACACTTACCCAGACAGAAAGGAAAATTGCAAGGAGGAGAGAGAATTCCTGACCACCGGCTCACCAAGCCACCCACACTCCAGCCGAGGAAGGCAGAGCTGACTCCTGCAAAGCAAGCGCCTGTGCCTCCCTCCCGTTTAAGGTCTGAGGAGCTACTATATATAGACGCCTGGGCCTGCCTCTCCCCACATCAATACCCACATCGTAAATCACCAGCCTGACCTCAGGAGGAAAAGCTTCTTGTTCAAACTGAGGGCGGGGGAAATCACGATTCAAAACTGGAACGTGTCCTTTCTGAGTCCCAAACTGCACTTTTCCCAGGAAACCGGGTGTGACACTTCAGCCCCCGACCCAGAAAGAGAGGGCAGGGCACTGACTTCCCACGCTCCCTCCCCGCAACTCTCCTCCATGAGTTCTAATCCTTACGTGTGAATTCTCAGACATATCTTCAATCCTTTCGAGCTACAGGTTCCCTGGCTCACAAATTGCAACTCCTGAATGAGTCTTTAATAATGACATGGATTTCAGTGAGCATTTGTGCCATTCGCAGGCCTGGACACCCGAGTTGAGGTCGGCTGTGGAGGGAGGGAGGTGCACAAGCCCCTGGGTTTGTGAGCGTGTGTGTGCATGTTCGTGTGTTTGTTCGTTTTTTTTTTTTTATTTCAAGAACGACTCAGGTCTTCACTCGATTGTATCTTAGGGCTATTTTAGCAAGAACTGCCTACCCAAAAGAGGAGCGGTGCCTAGTCGGCAAGTCGGGGCTTATTTATAGCCATTACCACAGACGTACACTGCGTCTACACCACACGGATAATTGCAGGGTGCCCGTCGTTTCGCACAGCGTGTGTCCAAATATAGATAACACACACCTGGCACGGTCCTGGGCTGCAGCCTGGCCAAGAGGCGGGGCCTCAAGGGGATGCCCCCATCTGAGGACCCGGAGAATCACACTCCAGCTGCACCTCACCACAGGGGCTGAGGACTTCGGCCAGCTGCTCAGCCCACGGGGGCTATGCTCCCCAGCTCTAAAACGCATGGAATAACAACTTTCCTGTAAGTTTGTTGTGACAAGTAGAGAAAATATGATAAGAGAATTGCCTTAAGAAACTCCACGTTCTCACACTGGGGTATCAGAGGCACAGCCAAGGACCAGCGAGCAGGTGGATGGAGGCGAAGATCAGATACGAGAAAGACGCGAGCACAGCCTCTTGCTGGGCCCCAGAGCGTTCTGGATGCTGGATCAGGAGGCGAGTGTTTCTGTCTTCTTCCCCTTCGTATTCTGATGGCCTAGCATTTAATTTAATTAGTGTTTGTTGAGTGATTTCTTAGTCTATTCAGGCTGCTTTAGCAAAACACCATAGACCGTGTAGCTTATAAAACACAGGAGCTTCTTTCCCACAGTTCTGGGGACTGGAAGTCCAAGATCCAGGTACCAGCAGACACTGCCTGGGGAGAGCCTTCTGGTTCTGGGACGGCGCGGTCCCTGAGTCCTCACCAAGTCAAGGGGCCAGGCCGCTCTTGGGGCCTCTGTATGAGGATACTGATCCCACTCGGGAGGTTCCACCTCCATGACCTTGTCACTTCCCTAAGGCCCCACCTCCTCACACCATCGTTTTGGGGGTTAGGGTTTTAACCCACATATTTTGGGGGGGTTGCAAACAGCAAGACCAGAGCAAGCAATGTTTACTTCCGGTTTATCAGCATCTCCTTCTCTAGCGAATCCATTTCTCAGGGACCTGGGGGACTTCCCTTCAGCCCTTCTGCCCCCCTGCCTCTGAGTGTGGCCGACACTGGAGGGGCAGTGATGGTGCCTCGTCCCCTCAGGTGGCATCTCAGTCCTCTGAGTCCCAGTCCTGGCATCTCAGTCGCCTGGGTCCCAGTCCTAGCATCTCAGGAGGGGACAATCTCATCCCGGGGAGGGGCCTCTCCTGAGAGAAGGAAGGGCCAGCACACTCCTCCTCCTTTTCTGACATTTCACGGTGGCTGTGCCCTCCTTCTGTGATATAGAAATCCAGTGCTGCGTCTAAGAAAGCCTGGATCTTTCAGCCACACCACCCAGAGAGCAGAGTGTGACCCGGGACACAGATAGGCTCCTGATGGGGACAGAGCTTCGCCTTCTGCTGGGGACAGGAGACCCCTCCCCACCCTCCTCGTAGACCCCCATCTCCCTGAGCCATGCCTGCCCCTGCCCACCCGGGATGTAGCTTCCAAAACTCCCTGGGTGAGGTGCACCTGCAGGAAGCCTGGAGCCAAGAAGGGACAAAAGACGGAGGGAGGCGGTGGGACCAGGCATGGGCCCCGCATTCTCCACCAGACACACCAGCTCTGGGGCAGACAGGCTCCTTCTTGCCGGAGTTCCTTGGGCTGACTTTCTATCATCGGCCATCAAGAGAATCCTGACTAAGACAAAGGAAGAGTCCAGCAATCTCATTTCCACAGCTCAAATTGGCAGCCTGTGAATGGAAAACAGTTGGCCTCACTGAGGATTTCCCACAACATAGAAAAGAAGATCGAAATGCAAAGAGTGACATTCTAAAACCACGTGCCTTCAATCCTGTGGAACCCCAGGCCAGACCATTCATGGGTGAAGTTATGTTCTATACAGCAACAATCCCCAACTGTTTTGGCAACAAGGACCGGTTTCGTGGAAGACAATTTTTCCAAGAACGGTGGAGAGGGGGATAGTTTTGGGATGAAACTGCTCCACCTCGGATCATCAGGCATAAGATTCTCATAAGGAGCGTCCAGCCTAGATCCCTCGCGTGTGCAGGTCACAGTAGGGTTTGTATTCCTGTGAGAATCTAAGGCCGCGGCTCTGAGAGGAGCTGGAGCTCCGGCGAGAATACTCAGTGGCCGCCATTCACCGCGCCATGCGGCCCAGCTCCTCACCGGCCACGGACCCCGAGGCTGGGGTTCAGGACCCCTGTTATATTGCACAGAGCCAAAACTGACATTCGATTCAGGAAAATCAGTTTGGATATTTGAAAGAAATAAAATTATTCTTAAGATATTTTGTTCACTTCCATGCATTCCGTCTCAGAAAACAAATTTTCTGTTTTTTAGAAATTATTTTAGAAATTATCCATGTATTTTAGAAATTATCCATCCCATGTATTTTAGAAATTATCCATCCAACAGGCCAAATATTCAGTTTTATGATTCAAAGGATGACAGCTCACCAGAAAGAGGCTTCGCAGTTGCAGCCACAGCACAGGGAGGGGCAGGGGGTCACCCTCCGTGCTCTCCCAAACCAGGGGGTGATGAGGCCAACAACAAAGGCGTCTGGTCCCCACAGAGCACGTGTGCACAGGCCGCAGAAGGGAGACTGGAAAATCTGGAGGCAGAAAACTCCCTTGAGGGCATCAGCCCCCATCAGCACTGCCTCTCATTCCCAAATCCTGAAAACCTGAATCTCAGAAAACAGCCCCACTTTAAAGAAAAGAGTTTTTTTCTTTATTTTTATTGACTGATGACTGATTGATTGAGATGGCGTCTGGCTCTGTCGCCCAGGCTGGAGTGCAGTGGTAACCTCCGACTCTTGGGTTCAAGTGAGCCTCCCACCTCAGCCTCCCAAGTAGCTGGTATTACAAGTGTGTGCCACCAGGCCCGGATATATATATATATATATATATATATATATATATATATATATATATATATATATATTTTTGGTATTTTTAGTAGAGACAAGGTTTCACCATATTGGTGAACAGGCTGGTCTCGAACTCCTGTCCTCAAGTGACCCACCCATCTCGGTCTCCCAAAGTGCTGGGATTACAAGCGTGAGCCACCATACCCAACCTTGTTCCTTTTTTCTGCCTTTAGAATGTCTTTGTTCCTATTTATGGTTGTGCAGTTCTGTATTTAGAATTTAAACCTCAAGAAAATCACATCCACTTAGATGAATTAACTGTAATGTTTAAATGTGAACCTTCTGAAAATGTTGATTGTGAGAGTAACCTTGTTTAGAGAAATACAATTGTCACCTTCTTAATTTCCAAGAAGTTCAATAGATGTCTCTTTGAGGCCATGCTTAATCCACTAATTGATGAAATAGGTCGCTGACATTCAGAGGAAGCGCCTTCCTTCTAACATTTCATTAAGTCAGTTAAACACGTGTCCACAGAAAGCAGCAGCTCAGTAATGAGGAACCCTTTAGCGACATGAATCGCACAAATTCCCAATGTTTCCAGCATTTCTGAATCATTTTCCAGGAAAGTAGGAAAATAAATGCTTAGGTTTCCTTTGCTTTTTTTTTCTTTTCTGCAAAATTTTGACTTTATTTTATAGTCCTTAGTAAGTTTACCTGCTATCTCTTTTGAGGCCAATATTATTATAACTACACATCAATTTCTGAGTAAAGATTTCCCCAACTACACCATCTTACTCTTCCCCAGACACTCTTGCCACAGCAGCCACCAAAGTGTGGGCTTCTTCTCTCCAAACTTAGCACATTCTCTGTGCTTAATAAAGGAGTTCTGAACTAACTGCCCAATGAATGGATTCAAGAGACATGAAGAACTTACTATTGTTAAGTATAATAGTTAATAGTGGCTCAGAACTAAACAGAAATATACAGAATTGACAAAGCTAGGCTATATTTAGTAATTCTTTACCTCAGCTCAAAAATATATATGGTAGATAGATAGATAGATAGATAGAAAGATAGATAGATATTGATATAGATAGATATAGATATAGACACTTTAAAATATATATACTTTTAAATACATTTAAATTAATATTTATCAAGCATTTACTATGTCTCAGAGTACCAGCAAGTCTTAATACTATAACTCTATGTAGTGGGTAATATATAAGACATGAGATGTCTGAAGTAGACTTTCACTTTTATGTGTGATAAAGTTGCTTCTAGTAGGACAACATTCTTACCCAGAACAAGTAACAATCCAGATAAAATACAGAGTGTGAGAGATGGCAAAAGAGTAATGAAAGAAAGAGAGAAAAACAGATAGGTGAATGGACATATAAGCTGATGGGCAGATGAATAGACAGACAGATGATGATGATGATAGGTTAGATAGATTGATTGATAAAGAGATTGATGGTATATGAGTTACATGATAGATAATAGATAGATGATAGAGTGATAGAAAGATAGATGATAGGTAAATAGATAATATATGATAAAGTGATAGAGTGATGATAGAGATGAAAGATAGACATAGATCAGTGATGGAAATAGATCAATAGGTGATAGATAGATAGACAGGATACACAGACAGACAGATGATACACAAGAGAGCTGTGAGAGCAGCCAGTGGTTCGAGGCCCAGTCCTAGTGAGAATTGTGCTTCCTGAAGTGGGCACTCTCTCTGCACATCACTTTCTATCTCTGGGCTCTTGCCGATTTGTGGCTGGGTTGAAGGTAAGGAAGAGGAAAGAGTGCCGCTGTTGAGAAGCAGGGGGAAACAGCAGAGCTTCCTGCAATACTGTGAAGCTGGAGAGATAAGAATTGGAGTCTGGGCCTGACAGTGCATCCAGGATTTGAAAGGCCAAGATCCTGAAGAGAGGGGAGGCTCAAAGATCAGAGCCCACATCTCAGCACCAGGTTTCACCTCAAAGCACTCCATGAGCAGAAGGCAAAAAGTAGTGAGAAAGCAAAGAAGAGCTGCTGGTGGGTTTCTGGTGCTCTTGAGTTGGGGTTTAGGACCCCCAAGAAAGGTGGGGCCATGTTAAACGAGGGAGACTCTCCATTTGCCAATGGTGTGTATTCTTTGGTGAGTTGTCTGTCCAGGCCTTTTGCCCATTTTTTTCATTGGGTTGTTTCTTTTCTCATTGTTGAGATTTAAGAGTTCTGCGGGCAGCCGTACTTTATTAGATGTATATTTGCAAGTATTTTCTTCCAGTCTGTGGCTTGCCTTCCCATTCTCCTGATCTTGTCTTTTGTAGAGCAGATATATTTAATTTTATTGATGTCTGGCTTATCAATTACTTATTTCATCAATTGTGCCTTTCGTGTTATATCTAAAAAGTCATTGCCATACAGAAAGTCATCCAGATGTTCTCCTAGAATGTGTTTCTGAAAACATTAAAACACAAATAGAAATTCTAGAACTGAAAAAAAATACAACGAATGAAGTTAAGAACTTGACAGTTTTCATAAAACTTCCTGTCTCTCCTTTCTCCCTAAGGCCAATATGACCCCCATGCTGTGGATCACATTCCCTCGCGTGGAATAATCCCAGCGCACACAGTGTCTGGAAAGGAAAACCTCAAAATTCATGGAATATCTGAAAAATACTCAAAAGGGCATGGACTCAGTAGTGGATCAAAACCAGCCCTGTGTTCAAGGCTGATCTCATGTCAACTAAAACATTTAAAAGCAAGCTTTGAAATAATCAAACTGTTGGAAAAAAAAAAAAACCCTTCACTGTATTACAGAGTAAAGCTCAAAAATATTTCTGGAATACAAAAATATCCAGCAACCAAGAAGTTAAACTTCACAATATCTGACATTCAATTAAACATACCAGAAAAATGCAACATATAATGAGAAAATTAATAGTAACATGCCCATAAATTTGGTAAACAAAGACATTAAAACAGTTATAACTATGTCCCATGCCCTCAAAAAGACATAGAATAGATTGAACATACTAAATAAAGACACAGAAGATATTAAAAAGATCCAAATCAAACTTTTTGAGATGAGAAATATAATGCCTGAGAATTTTTTAATGCACTGGTGGGATCGATAGCATGTTATTGCAGAAGAAAAGACTGAAGATATCCAAGATAACCCTTGAACTTAAAAATAGAAAATAAAAATGTTTTTATTTTTTATTCATTCAGTGTTTTTTCTCTTAATATTTTATTTTATCAACTAATGAAAATAAATAAAAAATAAAATAGTAAGAGAAAAAAAAACACCGAATGAATGAAGAGCATTGAGGAAAACATGAAGCAGACAAATATACATGTAGTGTCCCCAAAGAAAGAAGTCAGACAAAAGAAAATAGTTGAAAAAATAATGTCCACATTTTTTCTAAATTTTCTGAAAACTATGACTGTGCAGGCACAAGAGGCTCAACAAACATCAAGCTCAAGAAACATAAACAAAACTACACCAAGTCACATCATAATCAAATTGCTTAAAGCCAGCGATTAAAGGAAACCTTAAGACAGGGCAAGAAAAAGAAACAGAGTGTATGTATAGAGAAGCAAAGATAAGAATGACATCAGACTTCTCATCAGAAATGATGCAAACAGGAAGACAGTGACACAGTATTTTTAAGCGCTCAAAGAAAAGACCGTCAACCTAGAATCCTATACCCAGCAAAGAAAAAAAAAAAGGTTCTTTCAAAAACGAAAGCAACGCAGCCCGGGTGGTATCAGTGGACACTTAGAAGCAGAAAGAAGGTGTCCCTGCCACACACACACCTCTGATCAGGGAATCTGGACTTCTAGCCCACCTGATCATGCTTCTGCAGTAATAAGACAGCACCTCTTTCCTATGCCAGTATGGTGCCCATTAAAATATAATATATATAAGACCCAGAGTCTCTTAACATAATACCCAAAATGTCTAGGTTTCAATCAAAAATCACTCACTGTTACTTTATGCAAATAACTTCCTCTCCTAATCCACAAAGTCAACTAAAGCCAAACATACGAGCTCCATCAACTTCCCATTACCCCAACTACCTTCTCTCCCTGAGGCCGACATCCCTGAGCTGTGGATCCCTCTCCTTCATGGTGCTTAGGATGGGGATACGGTCAGTCCCTAACACCTATGTCCCCCACGACTGCAGCTCTGTTGCTCAACTGGGTCCTTTCCCATCATTATTGGAACATTTTTCAGGTCTCTTCTAAACTTAAAAACAACAAACAATAAAAATCCTTTCTCAGACCCACTTCCTCCTCCAGCTGCTGCTCTCTCTTTCACAGACAGTGTTCTTGAAAGAGTTGTGTATAGTCACATTTTTTCCATTTCTTCACTTTCCACTAACCCTATTCCAACCTCCCTTCCACTCATATCACATCACTAACCAAAATAGCTCTAAGCCACCAGTGACCTCTGTGTCACCAAATCCACAGGACATTATCAGCTCTCAGGTTACCTGACCTCTCCCCGCTAGTTGGTCCACTTGACCCGCACCCCTTCCTGAAGCACGGTTCCCTCAGCCTCCGCCGTGCCACACTCCTCCTGTTTTCTTCCTCTGCCTGTTTTCTTCTTCCACCCTCGGCTGGCTCTGTCTCCTTCAGCCCACCATGAAGTATGGAAGTTGTTCCCACGCACTTCTCAAATCACTCTTCCTGTCTAATCCCCTGCTCCTTCCTAGGCGACCCAAACACATGCTGTGTAGGAATGGCTTTAATTACTCTCACCTCCCTGATGGCTTCCAGAGGGAGGCTGCACTCACGTTGAGCTGTCCTTCACAACTCCTTTTGAATGATAAAATGGAAACTTAAACTCAACAGGTCAAAGACTAAACTCAGGAGCCCACCTGATCTCTTTGTCCAGTATTTTATACCCATGAATAGCTCATGCCAGAAACCTTTGATACCTCCCTGAGGCCCACACAGCTTTAAAATTTTCCCTCCTAAATACCCCTCACAACTATGCACCTTGCTCAGCCTCCACTGCCACCCAACTCGTCCACACTTGACAGTGTCTCGTTCAGGTCCTGTGACAGCCTGCAGTCCCCCCACTCCCACTTATCCCCCAGGATAAGGCTGAGGCCCTGCACCCCCATACCACACTCATCCTTAGGCTAAGGCTGAGGTCCTGTGCTCCCCACACCCATGCTTATCCCCCAGGCTAAGGCCCAAAAGAATGTCTCAGAGTGCAGATCAGAGCACATCACCCAAACACCCCTGAAAGCCACTCGTGTTTTAACAAGCAACAGACGTACCATGTGAAGCCCTGTGTGGCCTGGCCCCCACTCCAGTCTTCACGACGCTCTGCATGTCAGTGGAGCTAAGCTCCTTGCTCCACCAGCCCCCAGCCATGCACAGGCTCTTTCCCATCCTTCGGATTCCACGGTCCTGCTCCCTGTACAAACTTCAGCAGAAGCCCCGATATTTCTGATGCCTTTTCTGACCCCAGTCAAGGTAAGGCTCCCCTGTGGCAGATTCACTAAGAGCTGGGTTTCTTTCCTGCAAAGCCCTCCTTTATGTCTGCAGTGTGGTTCACGGCAGGGATGTCTGGCCAGCCTGTGTCACCCACTGGACCATGAGCACTGGGGGTTCCTCTGACCAGGGAGGTCCCAGGACTTCACTCAAAGCCCAGCACACAAAATACACTAAAAATACTTGCTTACTAAACAAACCAACCAAATAAACTAGCTAACTTGCCTCCTGTAATCGCAACAAGACATTTAGTGGTGATAAAACCGATATTCTTCCCAAACAGTAAGGCAATTAGATTGCTTGGAGGTTGGGCATTACTCAGCATCTCTATAATACGGCGCAAAGTTTTCCATATTTTGTTAATCAAAACATATCCTAGGAGACCTGGCAGCAGGCCATGGCTACGTGCCTGGCAGATAACATACGAGCACCTGCTTGCATGACACCCCTGGTATCCATCCACGGGGGCATAGGACGTGCCATGACTACACACCGGGGCCTGAGGAACACAAAGCTCAGCTCGGGGTGGTCAGAAGTTTCCTCTCCGACCAGCAAGGTTCATCTGGACGTCGTACGGATGGAATTGTTCTCAGTTCCCACTGAGTCCACAAAGACCTAATGCACACAAGGAGAGGAAAGTACGAGACTTCGGTCATTTATCATGTGTCTAGGTAACCACAATTTCCTAAATCTTGATAAAATTCAGGGTTATAATGTCATTCTTAATGCAATCCTCCTGGCTGTGTTCTAAAGCTGTGAAAACTGCCGGTCTGCTGAGTTAGCACTGTAAGACAGGAGGCCTTTCTCCTGAAGTACCCGGCCCAGGTGACCAAAAGTTTGTGCCTCGATGACGACTGGTCTAGATTTGCACCTCCCCTCTGACTGAAACAGTGCCATGCACGTGGTAGAAGCTCAATAAATACATTTTCTTTCAGTGGGAAGGCATGGCTTTCGTCCTGTAGCGACTGTGGATGGGTTTCTATCTTCAGAGGCGGTGGCATGTGGCCTCCAGCTATTGGGGAGTTTATCTCCAAATGGCATTCTGTAATCACACCAAGGCTGGGCCAGCTCCGTCTCGCCAAATTGCCCTGAGCCCGTTGTCAAGGGCACTGGCGCTGGGCCTAGTTTTCTGTTTGCTAATCTGTTGTTGAAGTTTCGTGCCCCATGGAAAATCTCTTCACCTACCCGCGACCCCTGGCTTCCTCATCTGTAAGGTGAGCGTGGGATTAGATGATCCTCTCTAAGTTCCATTATGCTATCGTTTCAATCCTGAATGATTGTGCTGGGGAACCGAGCCTTAACGCACACGAACAGGGCTACCAGCTGCCCGGCTCAGAACAGGATCCAGGAAACGGGACCCAGAGGGCACCGAGCTGTCCCCAGGGAGGATTCCGTTCTGAAAGTGCTTGAAGGCTTAGCAATCTCAAACAATGCAATCAAGCCGTGTGTTCAGAAGAAGAGCGCTTGTAATAAAACAAACATAGATGTCAGGCGTAAGAGCCATTCACTGTCAGGGGCCACCCAGTCTTGTGAGGAGCAGGAGGTGAATCGCGTGCTCCAGGGCTCCAGAGCGAGCTGGGAGGGCAGAGACCAAGATGAGGTGGATGCCAGCCCCAGAGACATCCCAGACCTGGGCAGAGCAGAGGAAATCATCACCCCCAACCGCTCACTTCACCCTGCAAATGTGGAAATCAGGCCCAGACAGGTTTAAAAACCAAAAACAAAAAGCAGGGGTCACGTTGCAGAGCGTTTAAAGGGTTTGGACTAAAATTCAAATATCTTGATGTCTAGGCTTTGTGATGTTGCCTCCAGGAGAGGAAGGGGATGCAGAAACCCAGGTGCAGGCCCAGGTGGGGCCAGAGCCCAGATGGAGGCCCAGGTGGAGGCCCAGGTAGGGCCAGAGTCCAGTTCTGCATGTGACCGAGCCAGACCCCTCCTCAGGTAGCTGATACTCCCAACTTCTGCACTGCCAGTCAGGCTCAGTGTGAGGCTGGTGGGGACACATCAAAAACCAGTTTCTCAGGTCAAAAGCGTTTTAAACACATAGAAGTCAGAAATGGTCACAAGAATCCACTGTCCCGTCATTACTATTTCTCTTCACCGTTGTGTCCTGGAGGCCTCGTTCCTGGGTAAACATGGACTGGAATAGGAGGATCCTGGGACTGGAAAGAGACAGTATCTGCCCATAGCTGGGAGCTCAGATAGGGCAAGGCTGCAAACACCACCAGTTTCCCCAGTTTCCCAGTTTCCCCAGTTTCCCCAGGAGGCCAGATTCTGTGCTACCTGACGTCAAGAGCGTGCAAAGAGTTCACCCACGACTGGTCCTGGTGCGAGCGAACCTTCAGTTTGGCCGTGTTGGCAGCTGCACCTGCCCCATATGGACCTCGCACAGCAGGGTCCTGGCTGACTCAGCCAGCGGGAGGACGCGGGCGAAGGAAGCTTTCTTCTCAGGGCTCAGCGCAGGTCAGGGCTAACACTCACTGCCTTCCTCCTGCACTGAAGCTTTTGGACTCCCCCCTGGTTTAGAAGGACAGCCATCAGCACCGAGGAGCCAGTCCTTCTTCGGGGTCTGCACTCAGCCCCCAGCCCCTTCGGCGCTGGTTGGTGCCACGCGGTTGCCACGGCCAAGCATGCGTCCTCGCCAGCCGCACTCACTAGCTCTGTGACATCGCACGAGGCACTAAATAAATGAAAGGGGGTGAAAATGGAGGAGCTAGACAAAGGCGTCCCTGAGATCTGGCTCTTCCCCAAATCCCACGATCCTGCTACAATTAGGAACCATACAACTTGTCACCCAAGCTGGGACCACGTGAGAATGAAATGATTAATAAACACTGCAGGACAACAGGCATGCACCTACAGCCACCCGAATTATTAATACAATCAGCAGCATCAACGCAACTAATGCCCAGGTGCGGAAGTCGTTGATATTGTACATTTTGCAGAACTATGTGCATTTAGGAGATATTCCATACAAAATGAAACATTGAAAGGCAGTTGCTCCCTCTGATAACATTTTTTTCCCCAAAAGACCATCATGTTTCCTTCTAGATTGATTAACAGCTGAGTAAAGATTCAGGTTTTGCCTGTTTTCCCCAAGAGCGCTGTACTTGATTATTTTCTTCTGTAGGCACGCAGTGTTTTCACAGAATCGCCTCACTAACCGTGGGCTTCTCATTGCCACTTTCCTTTAAACATTTCATATCAGAGACTTCGCCACTGGCAAAGGACCCTGAGAAAAAATGCACGGATAATACATCAAAGGTTAAACCATCCTAAATTAATAGAGAAGTTTGTTACATAAAATTTTAATTTTGCTCAATTATATATAAAATGCACAGGCTTGTGCTTATGGCCTCAGAGTACTCAGTTCTTCATAAATTAAAAGATGAACTTCTTGAGTTAAATTAAGAAATGATTTCAGAAACTTGAGCAAATCATTTTCAAAAGCATAAATAAATGAGAGTTGATTTCTACACCTGGAGAGGCAGAAACTGTCTCATTCTTTTTTTATTGTTAAAAACTGTTCCTGGGAACTGACAGATAATACACACTCAATAAATATGTATCTGTGTGTGTGTGTGTGTGTGTGTGTGTGTGTGTATATACATATATATATATATATATATATATATATATATATATATATATATATATATATATATTTGAGACAGGGTCTCGCTCATGTCACCCAGGCTGGAATGCAATGGTGGAATCTCGGCTCACTGCACCCTCTGCCTCCTATGTTCAAGTAATTCTTCAGCCTCAGCCTCAGCCTCCCAAGTAGCTGGGATAATAGTCATGCACCACCACGCCCAGTTAATTTTTTTTTTTTTTTTTAAACAGAGTCTTGCTCTGTCACCTAGGCTGGAGTGCAGTGGTGCAATCTCGACTCACTGCAACCTCCACCTCCTGGGTTCAAGCGATTCTCCTGCCTCAGCCTCCTGAGTAGCTGGGATTATAGGTGCATGCCACCACGCTCGGCTAATCTTTGTATTTTTAGTAGAGATGGGGTTTCACCATGTTGGTCAGGCTGGTCTCGAACTCCTGACCTCGTGATCCACCCACCTCGGCCTCCCAAAATGCTGGGATTATAGTGCCCGGCCAATTTTCCTATTTTTAGTACAGAGGGGGTTTCGCTATGTTGGCCAGGCTGGTCTGGAACTCCTGACCTCAAGTGATCTGCCTGCCTCAGCCTCTCAAATTGCTGGGATTACAGGCGTGCCCATTCAATATTTCTATATGTGGATGTTTCCAAGAAAATAAAAAACTGAGTTAAGCGATGGGGGTGAAGTCAGGAATGAAATCTGTGTTAATACTGTAAAAAGTAGAGGTAAGCATCAACTATTACCTTTTTGGATGTACAAATGAAACGATGTTAATTTCTTGAAAATCAACAATATATAAGCATGTATAATCATATGACTCAAATCATCCTGTTTTTTAAATTCACTGTTACACATTATTATCATTCGCTTATGATCAAATACTATCTCTTTAGATTAAAGCTCAAACTTTTGGTCTCAGGATCCCTATGCACCCTTAAAAATTATTGATTTTTTTTAAAAAACTTGTATTTAGGTAGGTTATATCTACTTATATTGACCACATTAGAGATTTTATGTTTTATAATATTTAGTTATTAATTCATTTTGAAATAATAATAATGATTCCATTATAGGTTAACACAAATAACTTTTTTAAGAAACTTTTTTAAAGAAAAAATAAGCAGAGTGAAAGTCTTTTATATTTTTTGCAAATCTCTTTAATGTCTGGCTTCAGATAAGATGGCTGGATAGGTACTTTTGCATTTAATCTGCTGTGATTCCATTTTGGATCGAAATACATGAAGAAAACCTGTGTCAAGCAGCTGTGTAGTTGAAGAAGAGAGAATAATTTTAGTAGTCTTTCTAGATAATTGTGAATAGCCTTTTTCACTACACTAAAAATCTAATTTCTTAAAGATTCGTCGCAATCTGGAATCTGAGATTGCACTAGTGAACTTTGCACACTGTTACATTAAAATATCTTCATCCCTCTTGCACTTTGAAGGGATCTTTTACCATTTGTGATTTTGTAACATCATGCATCGGTCATTTGGAAAATAGTAGTTTGGAGTCACGCAGATATTCCAAATTTCGTTATACCGCTGTGGATTACACACACATTCTTAATACAGCCACGGTCTCATCCGTATGATCAAAATAGTTTTCGCCTCCTGGATTGTATACTAGGGTGTTAGGGGTGACGAGGCATCTCTGGAACAAACTTTTGAGAAGCCGCCCTCCGGCCTTGGGAAGCCTCGCCGGTGAGTTAGCGACTCTCAGCCACTAGAGGGAGCGCCACACCGTCAGAGCGGTCTTCATCCTTCTATGGGAAAAACCCAGCGATGGCTGTTCCTTTAAGAAGAAATTCAGAGGCATTTTACAGAAGAGAGAAGAACATTTAAAATGTAAATAACATTATACCAATAACCTTTTGCAATGTTGAACAAAAAGTTATATTAATCCTAATTTGGCTGTAGCTAGTCATAGTAATGGTATCCAACCAACAACATATGTATAGGTAATGGCAAGCTAGTTATTTACAGCAATGCTTACGATGAAAATAAGCTTTGAAAACCTGAAAAGGGGTGGATGAAAACAGAGAGCACTATAAATGTATTTATTACCACTGAACTGTACACTTAAAATGGTAAAGATGATAAATTATGTAAATATATTTTATCTCAATAAAAATATTAAAAGACACAGATAAAGACAGAGATATCTATCTACAGACTATCTACCTCCACAGAATATATTATAGATATCTGCACATCGTGATGGTTAATTTTTATGTGTCAGCTTGGCTAGGCCACTGTACCGAAATCTTTGATTATCATTATTCTTGACATTGTCATGAAGGCATTTTTAGGTGTGATTAGCATTTTCATCCATGGGCTTTGGGTCAAGCAAATTGCCCTCCACAGTGTGGATGGCCTCACACACTCAGCTGAAGGCCTTCAGACAAAAAGCCTGATCTCCCAGGATTCTGCCAGGGGCCGGCTTGAAGACTCAATGGCAACTCTTCCCTGGGTCTCCAGCCCACCCAGCACCTCCATAATTACATGAGCTATTCCTTAAGATAAATCTCCTTTTATGTTGGGTTTTGTGTTTTACATCCTGTTGGTCCTGTTTTTCTGGAGAATCCTGACATTCACACAAACATGCATGCACACACACACGAATACACAACACACACACACATGCATGCACGCACACGTGAATACACAACACACACAAACATGCAGCATGCACACACGAATACACAACACACAAACATGCATGCACGCACACGTGAATACACAACACACACAAACATGCATGCATGCATACATGAATACACAGCACACAAATATCCATGCATGCACACACAAACACAAAACACACAAACATGCATGCACACACACGAATACACAACACACACGCATGCATGCACAAATACACAGCACACACAAACATGCATGCATGTACACATGAATATGCCACATGAACATGCATGCATGCACACACAAATACACAACACACAAACTTGAATGCATGCACTCACAAATACACAACATGCATACACATGCATGCATGGACACACAAATACACTATACACACAAACTTGCATGCGTGCACAGACAAATACACAACACACACACAAACATGCATGCATGCACACATGAATATACAACACACACAAACATGCATGCAAGCACACATGAATAAACAACAGAAACATGCATGCACACATACATGAATACACAACACACACAAATACACCACACACATACACACACAAGAACTGAAGACTATCAGCTTGAAAAAGAAGGAAATAATAAAATCCCACAAAATGAATATGACAACAATCTTCTTCTTGACAGTCTCTGTGAGTCGCAAAAAATATTTTCAAGTGACAGCCTGACTTGGGAGTCAGAAATGAAACCTGGCTGAAAGAAGGGGAGGAATCCAGTCAGTGAGCTCCCCAGGGACCCCAAAGAGGCGTTCCCTGAGGGCGAGGATGCAGCTGGGTGCAAAGCTCAAATCTCCATGCAGCCCCCAGCATCACCAGGAGAACCCCAAACCCTGAGCCGCTTATGGGAGTCCCAGGCTGATGCTTCCCCACCACACCAGATGCCTGCAGAGGTCAATGTAAATATAACCTGGAAAAGCTACCTTATCGAATAGGAAAATTTATTCCTACAACTTAATTTTAATGATTTATTTTGTTTGACCCAATATATCCAAAAGATTACCATTTCAACTACATCACACATAAAATTACTAATAAAATCTTACTTTCGTCACACTAAACCTATGAACGTGGTGTGTATTTTACAGTCACAGCGCATGTTGATTCTGAGGAGCCTCATTTCAAATGCCGCAAGTCTCCCTGTGCCCAGCCAGTGGCTCAGCCCGGGAACTGAACCTGGGGGGGTCCTTTCTAAGGCAGAACCGTAAGCCAAAGTTCAACTCCTGGGAGTGGGATTAAGCCTGAGCAAGACAGGATTAGCAGAGCCAGGAAATCGACAGTGACCAGATCCACATGGGGGAAGGGAGCAGGCCAGGAAACCTCAGCGAGTGAGACATCATCTTTTAAAACATGGACCAAAAACAAGAGTAGAGAACAGTCGGTGAAATTATAAGAGCGTCATGTCCCCACCCTCCTCCTAGAGGTTCAGGAAAGTTAAATTCTTAATCTTACAAGCACTTTTATACAAATGAGCAACAGAAACATTGAGGTTACATTCCATAAACAGTCCCATATGGAGAGAATGAGAAATAAACTAACTCTACAGGTGGAATTGAAAACGGGACAAATTCAATTCTAATAAAGGATACAATTGCAAGGAATCAACCAGATGTGGATAAAATTGCAAAGAATCAACCAGATGTGGATAAGAATTGCGAGGAATCAATCAGATGTGGATAAAAGCACGAGTTCATTGAATGGGTTACCTTCTGAGAGGGATGGGAAACCAACTTCTTATACTAAAAACTGGGTAAACAAAAAGGAAAAATCAAGTTCTTTTTTCCAGCCTCCTGAATGTAAATGGTACCACTCGGTAACCAAGTGTAGGTGAGGAGTGGATCTCCTTATAAAACTATTCCAGCCAACATTTGAAAACAGGGTGAGGAGATAGTAGCACCTTCTCAGACTCCTTTTCTGTTTTCCTTATTAATTTCTCAAATTCAGTTTTTTTCTTTCTTAAACATTTCTGAACTATATAAGGTTTATTTTTGACATTCACTATATAGATGTGTGTTTTTTAACAACAGCTACTGGGAATTTGAATACCACTTAGGCCCTTTTGAACTATGATCCACAGGTATTGGTCCCTTGCTAATTGACAGGCATTTCTAACCCTAGTGCCTGTGTTATTTTATTTTCGTTTCCATGACTCTGTAATGGAGATTCTATTATTATTGTGATTTTACACATGAAGCGATGGAGGCTTTGAGAGGCTGGGCACGGTGGTTCACACCTGTACTTCCAGCACTTTGGGAGACTGAGGCGGGCCAATCGCTTGAGCTCAGGGGTTCGAGACTAGCCTGGGCAACATGCTGAGACGCTGTCTGTACAAAAAATACAAAAATTAGCCAGGGGTGGTGGTGCACACCTGTGGTCCCAGCTACCTGGGAGGCTGAGGTGGGAGAATCACTTGAACCCAGGAGGAAGTCAAGGCTGCGGTGAGCCAAGATCGCCCCACTGCATTCTAGCCTGGGCAACAGAGTGAGACCATATCTCATAAATAAATAAGTAGATTTTCAGGGTCATGTGTGGTATATGAGCAAGCCTGGAGTCCCAGCAAAGGATCTCAGCCTCAGAAGTGTGAGCCCCTTGCCACCTTCTTGCAGGAATGTCTGCTGGGAAGTGAATTCTACCCCCGCCCCCAGGTCATGGTGAAGCCCTAACTCCAGTGTGGCTGTGTCAGGAGATGGGCCCTACAAAGGGGTAATTTAGGCTAAAGGAGGCCCTGAGGATAGAGCCCTTGTGTGGTAGGATGGTGTCCTTGCAGGAGGGAGAGGACACAACAGAAGGTGGCCGTCTGCAAGCTGGGAAGAGAGCCCTCCTCAGGCACCGAGTCAGCCAGAATCTGGATCTGGGACTTGCAGCCTCCAGAACTGTGAGCGATAAATGCCTGCTGTTGAAGCCGCCCGGTCTGGGTGCTTCGCTACCACAGCCGCGCTGACTCGTGTAACACTCACAGCAAAGCTTGTTTGAGTCTTGTGACCTACAGCCTTAAATTGCTATTTAACTATTACAGGTGAGTGCTCTTGCACCCACATCTGTGTTTCTGACCCCCAGCCCCCGGAGCAGGGAGTAAGCCCTGTGTTTCTTTTGACCCCCGACAGTCTACTCCAGCACAGTGCTGTCAGCAGACGTGGTGGGAGGTCGATTGCTGCGTGAGGTCGTGTTTCCAGAATGTACAACACCGAGTGTTGAGCACGTACTCAAGTCCTGTGTGTTCCAACTTAGGGAAGAGTCTTCAGTGCCGCCTGCTCCGTCCCCTGTGTCTCCACCATGCCCAGCTGTGACTACGGCCCCTAAGAAGGCTGCACTGTGGCTGGACGCATGCAGAGGGCTTTTGGTGGCTTTTAGTCTACCCCATAGGCCATTGCTAGAAGTTTTGCTTCTTGGTCCCAAATGTTTATCTGCCAGAGATAAATCATAATAATGCTATAGAGCACGTGATGCATCCCTGTGAAATACGAGAACAGCAAATGCTGAAGAGGGCTGTTGGCCACTGATGATCCCAACTCTACATAAAGGTACATTCACAAAATTCATGGAAAGTTCAGAAGAAAGTTGGGCGAAAGTTTAAGACTTTCATGAGACCCTAATCAGACACTCACAATGGCCCACATCGATGGCAATCTACCTCACTCACAGGACATGTTTATTTTGGAAACATAAGAAAATGTGTTTCTGGGCATGCAGGCGAAGTGAGGGACAGCTCTAGGGAAGGAGCCAGGAAGCCACAGCCTCCGGCAGAAGCTGCCCGGCTGCATGCAGCCCTCGTGTCAGAATGGCTTTGATGTTTTTTAAAGGGTTGTAAAAACAAAACCACATAAAAACAAGACTATTTGACAAACACTGATAGGCCCACAGAACCTAAAATATTTACTATGTGGTTCTTCTCAAAAAGTTTGCAAACCCCTGGTCTAGATCACCCGAGTTACAGAGTGACTTTTTTTTTCCATTTTATGTGCAAAAAAGTTTAATTAAAATAGCAGCTTGGGCCAGCCATGGTGGCTCACGTCTGTAATCCCAACACTTTGGGAGGCCAAGCCGGGTGGATCACTTGAGGTCAGGAGTTTGAGGCCAGCCTGGCCAACATGGCAAAACCCCGTCTCCACTAAAAATACAAAAATTAGCCAGGCGTGGTAGCACATGCCTGTAGTTCCAGCTATTCAGGAGGCTGAGGCAGGAGAATCACTTGAACCCGGGAGGCGGAGGTTGCAGTGAGCTGAGATTGTACCACTGCATTCTAGCCTGGCAACAGAGCGAGACTCTAAAACAAACAAACAAAAAAATAGCAGCGTGTTTGCCTCAGGCAAAGCAGATACTTACGGAGGGACGGGAGTGTGTGGTAGGAGTGCCCGTGCAAGTTACAGTCCCTGACGAGCCCCCCAGCCCACTGACTAGTCACTTGGAAAGTGACATTCCTAAACTGGCTACAGAGTGACTCCGCTGTGGGATGCCTCTGGCCTGTCTGATAAACGGCTTTCCTTCTGCCAGTCTGCTTTGAGATCTGTGGACAGGTTTCAAACATGGCTCTAAAGCCCTGCAGTAACCCTGCAGCTTGACACGGAAAGTTTGCTATGCAATGAAGCAAAGTTTCAAATCACACGAGTGTGTGTTGGCTCGGCTCAGTGCCATGCCTCCACCCTCACAGAGCGCGCAGTATGAAGCCATAGGAACCCCCCCATCCACCTCACAAAAGCAAGGCTGTTCGCAAAATAGGGTTTTAAACCGATGAAGTCATAATGTCATAGATGAACTTACATTGGAAAGTCTAAACAGAAATGTGTAGAGCAGATGCTTCCAAAACATTTGAAAATGTGAGGAAAGACTGCAGTTTTCACTATGCTAATACGTATAAAAATATAATTTGAGGTTTTCCAAAAGGCTCAAAGCTCCTGTTGGTCGGTGGAATCCACTAGGCTCAGACGTTATGTTGACTTTTTTTTTTTTTTTTTTTTTGAGACCGTTTCACTCTGTCGCCCAGGCTGGAGTGCAGTGGTGCAATCACAGCTCACTGCAACCTCCATCTCCCGGGTTCAAGCGATTCTCCTGCCTCTGCTTCCCAAGTAGCTGGGATTACAGGCATGCCCCACCATACCCAGCTAATTTTGTACTTTTAGTAAAGACCGGGTTTCGCCATGTTGGCCAGACTGGTCTCGAACTCCTGGCCTCTAGGAATCCACCTGTCTCAGCCTCCCAACGTGCTGGGATTGCAGGTGTGGGCCACCACATCCCGTCTATAGTGACTACTAACTCATCAGACTTGAATGTACATAGGACACCACGGTAGGCTCACATGAAGGGGGGCCTGCAGGGTGTCCTATGATTAACACGATCGCGAAATGATTTCCTTCATCATATGACATGCATTATGTTTGAAAATAAAAATGCACTTCAGTGCTCTAGCAAGCATTTATTGTGTGTGCGCAATGTAAATAGAATACAATGAGCTGAAAAATTCTTTACATCCCCAGTTTGGTTTTGACAGCTGTGATGGAATTTAAAGTAGTTTGATATTTCTCTAATCCAATATCCTGAACGTGCTCTTCCCATTTGGCCCCGAGGCGTCATGTTTCCCGCTCACCAGCAGATGGCGGTGTTGGATGCGGTACTGGCCTTCGACCTGCGGTTCCTGGTTACGCGGAAATTTTGGAGACCCTGGAGCCGCGGTCTGAATCACATCACCTCCGAGCAGGAGGCCCGTGTTGAGAACTGTGTTCTACCGTCTTCTTTTACGGTGAGAACCCAGACCCAGAAACGGCCTCCTGTCACTCGGCCCCTCTGAGAACAGCTCCCGATGCCGCCCTCTCCTCGGCTCTGACCCAGCCCGGCCGCCTCCCCCTCCTGGCCCGTGGCCCTGGGAAGGCCGCAAGCCTCCCTCCTCCTCCCTGCAGAGCCTCCATCCCTGCCCAGCTCCCGCGGGCCCGAGGCCCCTGCTGCTTCCTCCCCTGCAGCCCAGGCCCGCTCCGCCCTATGGCCCCGTCGCTTCTCAAAGCCCCCAGAGCCTCCTCTCCCCGGGCCGCGTCCCATCCAGTCTCAAGCACGGCACCCTTCACGCTCCCCTTCCTAGCATAATCACGACTTGTGATCATTCTGAGTAATTGCTTACATAACCTCGTCATCAATCAAAACTGGTGATGAAAAGCATGCAGTTTTCTGAAACACTGATCGATATGCATTCGTCATTATGCTAATTCACCCATTTACTATTCAGTTGGTTTTTAGACCAACCCACTCAACCTCCAGCTCCCGAGGTCAGGAACCGTTTCTGTCCTTCCCATTCTTGACTCCTCCGTGCTTCTGTGGCTGGTGCATCAGCTGCGTCCGGGCCGAGGGCTCAAACGACAGTGGCTTCACCCTCAAACCACAGCGGCTTCACCCTCCAGGAGCCGCTCCCCTTCAGTGAACAGGATGGACACGGGTAGCCATCGCTGGCAGGTGTGCAGGAGCCCAGCCTCTTTCTGAGCAGTGGCTTTGCTGTTGGAGCGTGAGGGCGTTCACAGTGACTTGCAGGATGGCTAGAGGGGGTCGGCCAGCTGCACATCCCACTGTAACCAGGCTGCTGTCCACGGCTACATCTGCTGAAAGAACTGTGAACGTGAGCTAAGCTGGGCACCGCACGGCTGTGGAGAGGGGAAGTGGCACCGGCAACCCCCGCAGCAGAGGCTTCAGTGCCCAGCAGGTCGGGGGAGTTGTCAGATGGGAGGAGCCGCGGAGCTCCTCCTGAGGGCCGGCTGGGCCCACACGTGGTTCGCTTTGCGCTTTAAACATTAGAAGAGCGAGTCCTTTGTCCCAGCCCCGGCTGCTGCGCAGCAACAGGAATGCCTAGCAACAGAAACACCGACATCTCACAACTGTTGGGTGCGGAGGCCGGGGCAGACAGAGGGAGGCAGGGAGGCTGGGGCCAGTGTTCCCAGGTCACTCGTGGTCCCTGCTGCTGTGCCTTGTGGAAGGCAGGCCTCTCTGCTGCCACTTCTTGGCTGCCCCAAGGGCAAGCACACGCACAGGCTCCTCTGTTTCAAGGGTTTATGGGGAAATGGAGAAAGGGAGAGGGGAGCAATTAGGAAGAAGACTCTCTGGTCCTGTCCCTCAGCAGTCATGATGCTGTGGTCACCGGGGCCTCCACTCTTTCTCAAGGAAGGTTCTCAGCACATTGCTGTCTTCCAGGGGCCTGGCCAGGATCTGCCTCTGTGGCCTCACTCTTCTTCTGGGTCCTGCCCCCGTTGGGAAGGCAGAGCCTCCACCCTGGGCTCAGGCTGGCTGCCTTGATTCCACCCTCCTGGGACCTGCAGGCCTCCCACGAGATGCCTCCTCCAACCTTGGCCATGATCAGTGCCGACGCCCAGCACTGCCTCAGCAGGAGTACAGAGCCCATGGACACCAGGTGCAGGAGCACGGAGCCCGCGCATGTCGGGTGAAGGAGCACAGAGCTCACGCATGTCAATTGGGCGAGTGCTACCCAGGCCCTGATCCCCTGGCTGTGGGTACTAGGACGTGGTGCATTGTTGCCTAGAGGTAGCCCTGGTTCTACCCACCCTGACACATTCATGGCATTGAGTAGGTCCCTAGTGCTCTGGCCCAGCTGGCGATGGTCCTTCCAAGTCTGGTGGCTTCACACACAGTGCAGCACACGCTAGGTGAGTCTCACTGGGCCTCACTGTCCTTCCTCCCTCTCAGCCCACCTGGCATCTCCAGAGATGCCCACTCCAGGTCCCCAGCCTCAGCCATGCTCCTCACCCCTGCCAGGCTGGTCCCTGCTCACAGCCCCTGGCATCCCAGGCTCTCTCGGCTTGGCCTCCTCCTCCAGGATGCCTTCCCTAGGTCCCCTCAACTCGGCTCCATCCCAAACTCTGGTGCCACCCTCGCCAGCAGCCCATGCCTGCCGGGCCTCACTGGATGGGGTCGTTTTCAGTTCCCGGCCGCCCCGACAGTGGGATGAGCCACGACTGCATCTCATTCATCTCTGCCCGGCTGCACAGCTGGAGCTGGGTGCTGATTCATCTCTGCCCGGCTGCACAGCTGGAGCTGGGTGCTGATTCATCTCTGCCCGGCTGCACAGCTGGAGCTGGGTGCTGATTCATCTCTGCCCCGCTGTACACCCAGAGCTCAGTGCTGACTGAAAGAATTACCTCCAGAAACGCTTTGATATTATCCAGCCGTACCCAGAATCCAAATATCTGATGTGTTCAACCCAAACGACAAACGGGGGAGCGTTTGCATTGTGCCACGAGAATGATTAGCCATTTAACTAGACAGAGGAGTCAGATAGACAGAGTGAGGCAGAAGGCCCAGCCATGCCTAAGGGTCCAGGGTCACAGAACGAGTCCACAACTCCAGCTACAAATCACTCAGCCCCATAGCTTGACCTTTTCAAAAGAACACAGAAAGGAACTTCAAAGGAAATCCTGGAATAGTTAACAAAAAGCATAAGGAATTAACAACTTCATGTTCTTTTCTTCACTGCGATGACCTCTTTAAACAGCAGAGGCCACCAAGAGTTTCTCCGATGTGTTCCCTGAGTGCCACGGGGGAGACAGGGAGCGGGTTCCAAGGTCTGGACGGTGCAGAGAATGGGCTGTTGTCCTCAATCCCTGGTCCCCATCCCTTCTACACACAGGGGAAGACAATGGGCACTCTCTGTTCTGTGTTCTGCATCTCTGTCTGCACAGAGGGGGATCTGTGACAGGGAAGGTGGGGGGAGCATTGGGGTGCAGAGCTCGCCAGAGAGCCAGAGACGTCCTTTCTGCACATCCTCACAAGGAAAGGGCCTGGGAGGCGGCAGAACAGCAGAAAAAGAAAACAAATGGAAATTGCCAAAGCCAGTTTCCATAGAAAATGTGAAGTGCTTTTATTGCATCAGCGTCCGGTGCCCAGCGCCTCTGCAGGCTGAGTGCTGACTCCCTGCTGGCTCTGCCCTGCCCCGCTAGGAGAGTCCCGGGCTGCGCAGGTGCACGTCTTGCTATCTGTGCCCGTCCAGGCTGTTTCTAGGTGACTCTGTGGCACTCTGTCCCCTCGGAGGGGACTGTCAGGAAAGCACAAGGCCTGTAGTTCATTCCTCAGTCACAATGGAATTTGACGTTAGAGCCACACAGCACCACAGTGTCAGCAAGACTAAGACACCATGTGAACCACAGAACTACAGAGCGGTTTTAGGAGTAAACATGTTCCAAATAGCAACAGCTGTTGGGCAGCTATTTAGCTGGAAAGGGAACCATGCTTGACCTCATAACTCCCAGGAAATTCATCTCAAGGAAAAGGGCAACTTTAATTAAATAGATTTTGTATCAACTTGTCCTGTATTATGACTCCAGCAGGGTCTGTTGTCTAAAACCAAAGAGAAAATGTGACTGTTCTGGCTTCTGCATGTATTTGAAGGATGACACGACATGGCGATTTTGTTAATGGACAGGCTGTATCTTTTTGATAGATTACATTTTTTCTTAGATTGTGTATGTAAGGTCAATTACATTAGGACCATTTGACGTTTCAGAGATTTTCCAAATTATGCCATGGAGGCAGAAGAAACTTTGAAGACTGTGCTGCAAAGGGTAACATCAAATTTTCAGAAAAACAAATAGCTTCACATTTTAATCTCACTCGTCTCTAAGCTTCTCCCCCCGACTGAGCTACTCAATCTGCTTGAAAGTCCAGGAAGCTCACACCGTCACACCCGAGCCTGTGATTTGATGGAGGGACGACAGCTCCCGAGATGTCTTTATGCGCACACAGGTGTTTAACGGGTGGAATAAATGTGTCAAGGTTGGAAGCCTGGTTTTGGGCAAATTACATTCTGGATCTGGAAATCACTGTGACAATTCTTCACAGGTATGTAGGCCACACGCCGAGTTGCTCACAGGATTAGCTATAAAGTCTGTGAACGTGCAAAATTATTTTGAAGTCTCCCACCGTCAGTGATAGCTGATACCTAAATTGTGTGACAATGTTCAATTCCGAGTTTAAAACTGACTTCATTTTACAGGCCTTGGGGGAAGAGGAGGCTGTGACATCCAGCCTGCACCATTCATAGAAGATGCTTTGTTCTGTGTGATTTGGGAAGGTGTTTTATAAGCCTGGTGCTGTTTATTGTTTAGCATCTCTCACAGACAACTCTCTTTCAAACCCCATTTCTCAAGCGTATCCTAATTCGACACCACCTATTGGTTATGACTTAGGTGTTGACAGTCCTGTTTAGTGTCCAATTTTGATTCCTTTTCCTGATTCTTGTTTTAGGTTTTGTCTTTTGAAGGCCATATGTAAGTGCAAGGAAACATGCTGTATTCTAATGAAACTTAAGATTTACATTCATTTTTTCAAGTGTTCATTTGACGTCCCTCCTACAATAAAAGTCTTCATCTTTTTATGTGACACTTCTCTTCAGTCAGAGCACAGCTCTCCCTCACTTGCAGATGTGAGACAGCCGGGGTTTCCTCCAGGCGCCCTCACTGTAAGCTGTGAGGCTCCCCACAACTTTCTGTTGTAGGACATAGCACATTCTTGATGACTTATTTGTGTATTAACTTGAATAGCGGTTTGTACACCTCCGTATATTAAGAGAACATGCGTGGAGGCAGAGTTTCTTATATAAAATCTATTCTTATTTCCTCTTATAAGAAATCTTGACAATAAATTAAGAGATTAGGGAGTTTACATATTGCATACTACTATTAACAAATATTAAATATTTTCATTGTTAAAAGATTAATGATTAACCCCAAAAAGAGAAACCATCAGGAAAAAAAGTATTGGATTTGATATTCAATGATATTCAATTAAGGATTGTTATTCAATAAAATATCCCACCAAAAAATGCTAACAGTTATGTGGAAGAATATATTTAACATTTCTAAAATACATAAAATGGTAATATCTAAATCTACAAGAAATTATAAATCCACAGAAAACAACAAAGAAAAAATACAAAGAAGCTAAATGGGCTGGTCACAGAAGTGAGTGGTTAACCAGTAAATGAAGGCACTTTTAGTCCCACAAGGTGGCAGAGAAATGCAAATTAAAACAAGAGATTTTAGTTTCCTATCTGATGGAGACAAATGGAAAAGTTGCATCAAAGCAAGTGTTGGTGAGAACGTGTCAGGATGCTTTGTGCTGAGGGCCGCATGTGGAAACATGACTTGGCATCACAGTGTAGTTAGAAAGCCATTATATCCAAGAGGCTTGGTGCATCCCAGAAAACCTTGCTGCCCTGTCACAGTGGAAAGCAACACTGGGAATCACCCACCGCAGTGGTCGGAACCTGAGTTCTAGCAAGCCCCCCCGCCACGTGCTAACGTGCTCTGGAGTCCCATATAAACTTAAAAGGCAGCCTAGACCACAAGGACTGCAACTCCTGGGCAAGTCCTGGTGCTGTGCTGAGCTCAGAGTCAATGGACTGGGGGGACACATGACCCAGTGAGATATCAGCCAGGGCAGCCAAGGGAGTGCTTGTGCAACCCCTTCTCCTACCCCAGGCAGCACAGCTCACAGCTCCTGAAGAGACTTCGTCCTTCCCCTGAGGAGAGGAGAGGGAAACCTGAGGAGGCCTTTGTCTTGCAACTTGGATACTCAGCCACAGTAGAATAGGGCACAGAGTCCTGAGGCCCTCATTCCAGGCCCTAGCTCCTGGATGACAATTCTAGACACACCCTGGGCCAGAAGGGAATCCAGTGCCTTGAAGAGAAGAACCCAGTCCTGGCAGGATTTGTCACCTGCTGACTAAAGAGCCCTTGGGCCCTGAATAATCAGCAGCGGTAGCCAGGTAGTACATGCCGGGGGCCTTGGGTGAGACTGTAAGACATGCTGGCTTCAGGTGTGACCCAGCACATTCCAAGCTGTGATGGCTAAGAGGAGAGGCTCCTTCTGCTGGAGAAAAGAAGAGGGAAGAATATGGGTACTCTGTCTCAGTACCATCTTGGCCACAGTAGGGTAGAGCACCAAGCAGGCTCTTGGGGTCCCCAGTCCTAGGCCTTGGCTCCTGGAAAGCATTTCTGGACCTGCCCTGGGCCAAAGGGGAGCCCACTGCCCTGAAAGGAGAGTTCTAGGCCTGGCAGCATTCATCACACACTGAATAAAGAGCCCCTGGGCCTTGAGTGAACACTGACAGTAGCCAGGCAGTACTCGCTGCAGGTTGGGAGCAATGGTGGCCACGGGGAGAGACTTCTCTGCCTGTGAAAATGGGAGGGAAGGATCTTGTCTTGTGGCTTGGATGCCAGCTCAGCTGTAGTAGAATAAAGCACCAGCTAGATTCCTAAGGTTTCCAACTCTAGTCCCTGGCTCCCAGATGGTATCTCTGGACCTGCCCAGGGCTGGGGGAAACTCACTGCCCTAAAGGGAAGGAAAGAAGCCTGGTTGGCTGTGCCACCTGCTGATTGAGCAAATTAGGCAGTAGCTGGTCAGTGGTTACCATGGGCTTTGTGTGAGTACTGTACTGGCTTCAGGTATGACCAGCACAATCCCAGTGGTGGTGACCAGAGGGATGCTTGTGTCACTCTTCCCCAAGCTACAGGCAGCTCTGCATGCAGAGAGAAGCTCCAGTTGTTTGGGAGAGAGTAAGGGAATAGAACAAGAATCTCTTCCCAATAATCCAGAGAATTCTTCTGGATCTTCTGCAAGACCACCAAGGCAGTACCCCTACAAGTCTGCAAGAGCCACAGCATGACTGGGCTTGGGGTGCCCCCTAAGATATGGCTGCAATGACTGAAAACTTAAATTCTAACACCCAAGTCCCTTTGAATACCTGAAAGACCTTCCCAAGAAGGACAGGTACAAACAAGCCCAGACTGTGAACACTACAATAAATACTTAATTCTTCAGTGCCCAGACACTGATAAACATCCACAAGCATCAAGACCATCCATGAAAACATGACCTCACCAAACAAACTAAATAAGGCACCAGGGACCAATCCTGCAGAGACAGAGGTATATGACCTTTCAGAAAAGGAATTCAAAATAGCTGTTTTGAAGACACTCAAAGAAAATTGAAATAACACAGAGAAGGAATTCAGAATCCTATCATAAATTTAGCAAAGAGATTGAAATAATTAAAAAGTCCAGCAGAAATGTTGGAGCTGAAAATGCAATTGACATACTGAATCATCCACTGGAGTCTCTTACCAGCAGAACTGGCCAAGCGGAAGAAAGAATTAGTGAGCTTGACAACAGACTATTTGCATATACACAGTCAGAGAAGACAAAATAGAAAAGAACTTAGCACGCCTATAAGATCTAGAAAATAGCCTCAAATGCTCAAATCTAAGAGGTAGTGACCTTAAAGAGGAGACAGAGAGAGTGAGGTTAGAGTAGAAAGTTTATTCAAAGGGATAATAACAGAAAACTTTCCAAACCTAGATAAAGATATCAATATTCAAGTACAAGAAGGTTACAGAACACCAAATAGATTTAACCCAAATAATGTCTCAAGGCATTTAATAATCAAACTCCTAAAGTTCAAGGATAAAGAAAAGATCCTAAAAGCAGCATGATAAAAGAAAAAAATAACATACAATGGAGCTCCAATCCATCTCGAAGCAGACTTTTCAGTGGAGACTTTACAGGCCAGAAGAGGATGGCATGATATACTTAAAGTGCTGAAGGAAAAAACGTTTATCCTAAAATAGCATAAGCAGTGAAAATATCCTTCAAATATGAAGGAGAAATAAAGGCTTTCCCAGACAAAAAAAGAGCAGAGGGATTTCTTAAACTCTAAACCTGTCCTACAGGAAATACTAAAAGAAGTTCTTCAATCTGTAAGGAAAGGAGATTGAAGAACCATAAGAAATCATCTGAAGGTGCAAAACTCACTGGTAATAGTAAATACACAGAAAAACACAGAATCTCATAACACGTAATAGTGATGGGAAAACTACTCGTACCTTGAGTAGAAAGACTAAAAGATGAACCAATTAAAATAATAACTATAACAACTTTTCAAGACATAGATAGTCCAACAGGATAAAAATAGAAACAATAAAGAGTTTAAAACAGGGGGACAAAGTTAAAGTGTAGGGTTTTTATTAGTTTTCTCTTTGTTTGTTGGTTAGATTGGCTGTTTATACAATCAATGTTAAGTTGTCATCAGTTTAAAATAATGGGTTATAAGGAATTATTTGCAAGCCTCGTGATAATCTCAAATCAAAAAACATACAATGGATACAAAAAAAAAACACACATATACAAAAAGCAAGAAATTAAAACACACTACCAGAGAAAATCACCTTCACTAAAAAGAACACAGGATGGAAAAAATGAAGGAAAGGAAGACCAGAAAATAAATAATAAAATAGCAGAAGTAACTCCTTACTTATCATAATAATATTGAATATAAATGGCCTAAATTCACCCATCGAAAGGCACATAGTGGTGAATGGACTAAGAAACCAAGACTCAGTGATCTGTTGCCTTCAAGAAACACACTTCACCTATAAAGAAACACACTACTGAAAATAAAGACATGGAAAAAGATATTCCATGCAAATGGAAATCAGAAAGAACAGGAATAGCTATGCATACATCAGACAAAATAAATTTCAAGACTAAAACTATAAAAAGAGACAAACAGGGTCATTATATAATGACAAAGGAGTCAATTCAGCAAGAGGATATAATAATTGTAAATATAGAGAGGCTGGCGGATCACAAGGTCAGGAGATTGAGACCATCCTGACTAACACGGTGAAACCCCATCTCTACTAAAAAATAGAAAAATTTAGCCGGGTGTGGTGGTGGGTGCCTACAGTCCCAGCTACTCGGGAGGCTGAGGCAAGAGAATGGCATGAACCCAGGAGGCGGAGCTTGCAGTGAGCTGAGATCATGCCACTGCACTCCAGCCTGGGCGACAGAGCAAGACCCCATCTCAGAAAAAAAACAATTGTAAATATATATGCACCTGAAACTGGAGCACCTAGATATATAAAGCAAATATTATTCAAGCTAAAAAAGAGAGAGAAACTCAAACACAATAATAGCTGGGACCTCAGCACCCCGTTTTCAGCATCAGACAGCATCTAGATAGAAAATCAAAAAACAAACATCGGACTTAATCTGCACTATAAGCTAAATGGATCTAATAGTTATTTACAGAACATTTCACCCAAGAGCTGCAGAATACACATTCTTCTCTTCAGCACATGAATCACTCTTAAGGATAGACGATATGTTAGGCCACAAAATTAGTCTCAAAAAAATTTTTTTAATGAAATTACATCAAGTAACTTTTCGGATGACAATAGAATAAAACTAGAAATCAATAACTACAGGAATTTTGGAAATTATACAAACACATAGAAATTAAATATCTGCCTGAATAACCAGTGGGTCAATGAAAAAATTAACAAGGAAACTGAAAAATATCTTGAAACAAATAATAATGGAACAAAACATACCAAAACCTACGGGATACAGCAAAAGCAGTACTAAGAGGAAAGTGTATAGCTATAAGCACCTACATCAACGAAGTAGAAAAACCTCAAATAAACAACCTCACAATGCCTCTTAAAGAACTAGAAAAGCAAAAGCAAACCAAACGCAAAATTAAAAGAAGAATAGAATAAATATCAGAGCAGAAATACACGAAATTGAAATGAAGAAAACAATGCAAAACATCAACAAAATGAAAAGTTTTTTACTTGCAAAGATAAAATCTACAAACCTTTGGCCAGACTAAGAAAAAAGGAAAGAAGACCAAAATAAATAAAATCAGAGATGAAAAAGGAGACATTTCAACCAATACTGCAGAAATTCAAAAGGTCTTTAGAGGCTACTATGAGCAACTATAGGCCAATAAATTGGAAAAGCTAGAAGAAATGGGCAAACTCCTAGACATATACAACTTACCAAGATTGAATCATGAAGAAATCCAAAACCCGACAGACCAATAACAAGTAACAAGAGTGAAGCCATAATAAAAAGTCCCAGCAAAGAAAAGCCCAGGACCCTGCCTCAACCTCCCAAGTAGCTGGGATTACAGTTGCCCACCGTCATGCCTGGCTAAGTTTTGTATCTTTAGTAGAAATGGGGTTTCACCATGTTGGCCAGGCTCTTCTCGAACTCCTGACTTCAAATGATCCACCCTCTTCGACCTCCCAAATGGCTTTACTGCAGAATGTTACCAAACATTTAACAAAGAACTGATACCAATCTTCCTCAAACTATTCCAAAAATTAGAGGAGGAGGGAAAATTTCCAAACTCATTCTACAAGGCCAGTATTGCCCTGATACCAAAATCAGACAAAGACACATCAAAAAAAAGAAACTACAGGCCAGTATCCCCAATGAACATTGATGCAAAAATCCTCAACAAAATACTAGCAAGCCAAATTGAATAATATATTAAAAAGACATTCAACATGACTAAAGGGGATTTATCCCAGGGATGCAAGGATGGTTTGTGATAGGCAAATCAATCAATGTGATATATCATTCAACAGAATGAAGGGCAACAAGCATCTGATCATTTCAATTGATGCTTGAAAAGCATTTGATAAAATTCAACATTCTTCATGATAACAACTCTCAAAAAACTGGGTATAGATGGAAAATATCTCAACACAATAAAAGCGGAACACAATAAATGTGGAAAAACTGAAAGCCTTTCTCTGAAGATCTGGAACACGACAAAGATTCCCAATTTTTTTTGGTTTTTTGAGATGGATTCTCACTCTGTTACCCAGGCTGGAGTACAATGGTGCAATCTCAGCTCACTGCAACCTCTGCCTCCTAGGTTCAAATAATTCTCCTGCCTCAACCTCCCAAGTAGCTTGCCCACTGCCATGCCTGGCTAAGTTTTGTATTTTTAATAGAAATGGGGTTTCACCATGTTGGCCAGGCTGGTCTCAAACTCCTGACCTCAAATGATCCACCCTCTTCGACCTCCCAAAGTGGTGGAATTACAGGCATAAGCCACCACACCTGGCTAAGGATGACCACTTTCACCATTATTATTCAACATACTACTGAAGGTCCTTTCCTAGAGAAAGAAATAAAGGACATCCACAATGGAATGCAAAAAGTCAAATTCTCATTGTTTGCAGATGATATGATCTTACAATTGAGCTCTGGCAATGATGCAGCCGATCCATGTCATTACACATTTGTCCAACCCCATGGAACTCACAACACCAAGAGTGAGCCCTTATGTAAACTGTGTACTCTGGCTGGTGATGAGCTGTAGGTTCATTGATGTAAAAACGCCCCACTCTGGCAAGGGTGTTTACAGTGGGGTTTACACTATATGTGTTGGGGGCAGGCGACTTACGGCAACTCTGAACCTTCCTCTAAATTTAGCTGTGAGCCTAAAACTTGTCTGAAAAATAAAATCTTCTTTGGCTCATGATCAAAGAATGCTAAAAAGAATTTGATGTTTTATGATCTGCAGTTAATATCATAATACTATTATCAACCTCCCGCCCTTAAGACTTTACCAAGCACAAAACTGGATGCCGAAAGTAAACACTGCTCTGCGTTCCGGACCCCCAGCTGCCATTTTCCTTCCCTCTCCTCCTGTCACTGGCTCGTCGCGGGACAACCTACTGTGTCCCTGTGGCCACCGCATTTCTGCTCTTAATCATCTGCTTTGTGAGCCTAGAAATGACAGTCGTGCATGTGAGAACGATACTTAGATTACAAACAAAGATGACGTGAGAACACAGGATGTTTGTGTGGCTTCTTGGAGCTGGGGACATCTGTTCCAGCAGCTAGAGGCTTGCTTCTCTGTGTCCTTACGGGCTCCTGGCTGCGAGTAAGTATTAGAGGACTCGGTGCCGCTCTTGCAGGCTGGACTCCCCTCCGCTTTATTTTACTATGAGCTCATCGCCTCTGTCACTCTCTGTAAGCGTCTTAAGCGTGGGTGTCCCACTTTACGGAGTCATAAATCCTCTCACAGTGATTCACACAGGGACCTCACCTCAAGTACATTTTGAACTAGAAAGCTAAATTTGTGACAGGCAAAGTTACAAGAAGGAGATTTCAGCCAGATTTTTTTTTTTTTTGAGACAGAGTCTCACTCTGTAGCCCAGGCTGGAGGGCAGTGGTGCAATGTCAACTCACTGCAACCTCCACCCCCCAGGTTCAAACGATTCTCCTGCCTCAGCCCCCTGAGTAGCTGGGATTACAGGTGCGCACTTGCACCTGTCAGGATGGGCGGCTGAGGTCCTCAGGTGCTACGGAGTCTCTGCTTCCTCAGCCCACCGTGGCTTGGTCAGGCTGTTCACATTGCAGTTCCTGGGAACTGTTTGGGATTCTCTTACTGTAAGAGGGTTTGTTTTCAATGCCTAAATGCCTTCTTTTATCCTACATGGGGTTTGTGACAAGCCACAGTCTCTTCGGGGTGATCCAAGTTAATAGCCACAAGTATCTTTGCCAGGAGAGCGTGTGGGGAGGACACCAACCACCTGGCGAGCTCCACACGGACAGCGATCCTAAACGTGCTTAGATTCAGCCACCTGCTGGGAGGTCCTACAATAGCGTTTTTAACAGCGTGGCAATGCGAGCACTCACCTCTGAATTCCCTGTTGAAATGCACATCTCTGGCTGCATCCGGGATATAGCACGTGAGAATCTCTCATGTCAGGACACAGAATCCCTGTGTTTAAGGAGTAGCTGCAGTGACTCTTCCGGGCCCAGAGGCTGGACTCTGCCATGGCTATCTCCACACAGCCGTCTCATTAGCACTCTGGGGACTGCTCTGATTCAGATTTTAGGAACATGAAACTAAGAACGTTGATGAGGCTTAGTGGCGTGTCCCAGACTATACAGACAGCAGAAAACAGAGCTGCAATAATGAACTGTGAGCGACCGCCAGCGTTTTACCTACTGAGTCACAACCATTAGTGAGGAGCGTGCTGTGGGGATTGATGACCGAGGCTCCACGACCCATTCCCGCCCTCCAGAGCTCTCAGGTGTGGGGATTGACGACCCAGGCTCCACGACCCATTCCCGCCCTCCGGAGCTCTCAGGGAGCAGGCCTGGATGATGAATTCATCAGCCCGCAGCTGTGTGCATTCAACTGTTCAGTTTCTGCTGCTGAAGCGTTTGGACGCATCTTTAGGGCGTGAGAACACATTCTAAGGTGTTTGCCACACAGCGTGGCCCACCAGCAGCAGGGCCGCATCACTGTGTCAAGACCCTAGCGTGGCATGGTACACGGTGATGCCAGCAAGATGGGCTCTGAAGGGAGGGCCTTAACACGCCTCCTTCAAGACCTCCGAGGAACTGAGCACAGTCAGCTCTTCTGTGCACAAATAGGTTTAATTGCGCTGGGCGCGGGCTCATGCCTATAATTCTGGTACTTTGGGAGGCCAAGGCAGGCGGATCACTCGAGGTCAGGAGTTCCAGAGCAGCCTGGCCAACGTGGTGAAATGCCATCTCTACCAAAAATACAAAAATTACCCGGGCACGATGGTGTGCGCCTGTAATCTGAACTACTCGGGAGGCTGAGGCAGAGAATAGCTTGAACCCAGGAGGCGGAGGTTGTAGTGAGCCAAGACTGCACCAGTGCACTCCAGCCTGGGTGACAGAGTGAGACCCTGTCTAAAAAAAAATTGGGGGTTGGGGGGAGACGAATAGCTTTAATTTCATTTGTCTGAAGAGGTGAAAAGTCCCCCTTTCTCACTGAGCAAGAATATTAGACTTCTGCAAATTGTTCTCACTTCTTTCTTTTGCCTCAATTTATAAGATTCATTGCCTCAGTCTAAAAGGCCCACGTGTTTCCTGGTGTTATATCAGGTTTAAAATATTCAAAATACTCAGCTAAGAAAACCATTCTCATTTATTATAAAAATCCTAAAGCTCAGCAGGGGAAAATGGTGACGCCATAGAAGAGTTCAAACAGAATTCTATTTCCACAGAAGAAAATGCTATGAGAAAAACTAAGATAACAACTTCAGGTTGGAGAGCTTCTGTCTCCACTCTGCTTACGAATATACTTTTAGCAACATTCCTTTTTTTGGGATGCAGCTCTGGGAGCTGCATCCTCTAGGAGTCCTGGTGCCCTGATACCCTGTGGGGGGTGGGGGCTGAGTGCATCTGACCCCCTGGGGTGGGGGGCTGAGTGCATCTGACCCCCTGGGGTTGGGGCTGAGTGCAGCTGATACCCTGAGGTGGGGCTGAGTGCATCTGACACCCTGGGGTGGGGGCTGAGTGCATCTGACCCCCTGGGGTTGGGGCTGAGTGCATGAAAAATAAAGATTTTAAGAGGAAAAATAATTTTTTCAAGACCCCTGACAAATGAACAATAACACTTGGTTCTGGCTCAAGTACAAATTGTGTCTAGAAACGTTTGGGCCTGCTGCAGTGGCTCACACCTTAATCCCAGTACTTTGGGAGGCTGAGGCAGGAAGACAGCTTAGGGCCAGGAGTCTGACACAAGCCTGGGCAACACAGTGAGACCCCATCGCTACCAGAACTAAAAACATTAGTTGACCATGGTGGCATGCACCTGTGGTCCCAGCTACTCAGGAGGCTGAGGCGGGAGGATCACTTGAGCCCAGGAGTTGGAGGCTGCAGTGAGCTGAGAGTGCACCACTGCCCTCCAGCCTGGGCGACAGAGGGAGAAACAGAGGGAGACCCCATCACAAAAAAAAGAAGCACACGAAAAAGAAAAAAGAAAAATGTTTGTGTCTACAGGTTTTCAACTCAAACTTTTCCTTGGTAGGAGGCCAGGTGAGGGTGGAGGAGGGTGTCTTCGGATCAGAGGAAGAAAGAAGCCCAGGTGGCCCGATGGCTGGGTGTCGTCACGGCCATGGCCTTATCTGCTCTGAGGGCAGGGTGGTGGCGACATGCAGGAGCACCAGGTCTCACCACAGCGTTCACTCGGCCCACGCCTCAAGCACACGGGACGGGAAGGAGCGTCTTCCTCCCTCATCCTGGCCACGCCTTTCATCGGCTCCAGACCGTTTTCTTCCTCAGCTGTCTCAGTGAAGACCCCAGGAGCCTGTGAGGCCCGTGTCCTTTTCCATTGCGGGTGCGGGGCTCGAGGCCACCCCTCCTGTGTCGAGCTGGGTTCGAGGCCCACACTTGGGCCTTGGGGTCGGCACTGGAGACGCTGGAGGCCACGGGGTCCTGAAGACCCCAGTGGTTAAATACGAGGCCCTGCCTGGTATTTAACATTCTAATCCGACCTCAGCCCAGTCTGAGGGCAGAGAGTGATCTCTAAGCTCCAACGGCTCAGAAACATGCAAAGGCACCTACCCCTGTGCTCCCCCAGGACATGGAGTGGCCACGAGAGGACAGGTGCATCCCCGGGGAACGTGGCTCCAGGCCTGTTTCCATTGCAAGGAAATTTCTGAGGCTCCTGGTCCTGGCCTCTCTGCAGCTCCTACCCCAGCCTCTTCTCCCCAGGGGAGGAATGTGGGGAGCAGCCCTTCCCTCACATCTGGGCTCTCCCATGGGACCTGCCCCCCAGGAGCAGGGCTCTGTGCTCACTCACAGGGAGTTCTGGGAGCTGCATCCTCCAGGAGTCCTGGTGTCCTGATACCCTGTAGGGGGTGGGGGGCTGAGTGCATCTGACCCCCTGGGATTGGGGCTGAGTGCATCTGACACCCTTGGGTGGGGGCTGAGTGCATCTGATACCCTGGGGTGGGGGCTGAGTGCATCTGACCCCCTGGGGTTGGGGCTGAGTGCATCTGACACCCTGGGGTGGGGGGGTGAGTGCATCTGACACCCTGGGGTGGGGGCTGAGTGCAACTGATACCCTGGGATAGGCCTGAGTGCATCTGACACCCTGGGGTGGGGGCTGAGTGCATCTGACATCCTGGGGTAGGGGCTGAGTGCATATGACCCCCTGGGGTGCGGCTGAGTGCAAGTGACACCCTGGGGTGGGGCTGAGTGTATCTGACACCCTGGGGTGGGGGCTGAGTGCATATGACCCCCTGGGGTGGTAGGATGTGTGCACTGACTCCGGTGGCCTTCACAAGCCCACGTGGCAACAAACCCAGCACCACTCTCTGGCACAGCCCCTGCGGGTGAAGCAGTGGCTGTGAGTCCCACCTGCCTGGCTGCTGAGCCGTTTCTCAGTTCGTTCTTACCTGGGGGGTGGGCGGGAGGACATGTTCTACATTAGTTCCCCCAAGCCCCACTGCAACTGGGAAATTTCATGGAGGAGGTGCTGCTGGTGGAAGGGGACAGGACACCGGGGAAGACGTGGGATGGCCCTAATGCTCTTCCCTGCCCACCCTGGTACCTCCCGACCCACTCCAGGGGCAGGGGACTGTGCCTGACGGTCCTACTGACCACCTCTTTCATTTTCTGTGCTTTGTGATGTTTTGGCATCTTACAGCTTGCTGGCCTGGCCAGGGACAGGCTGTCCTCCTGAGTCAGCTCATTCTTAGAGATGGGAAGGGCTTGGCTGGGAGCTCATGGCCAGACCAACTGGCCGCAGTCCACACCCCCAAGCCCTCCTCAGCTACTCTCACACACAAGCCCTGCCCTGTATCACCCCTGGGCCCGGTACCAGGCAACTGGAGACCACCGTGATAGCACAAAGCCCACTGGAAGGACACAAACCAGTGCAGCGAAGCAGCTCCCCCAACCTGCCTTCCCTAGGAACCAAAGTCTAGGCGCTGGCCTCGGCTTCCACCTGCTCCTGTGCAGCCCATCCTGGTGTTCCCGAGGTCCTAGGTGGTGTGCCGTGATCCCCCGCTGGGACCCGTGAGCAGACCGAGGAATCCAGGGCACCTGGGAGTGGGAACAGACACCCCAACTTAGAACCTCTGTGCCAGGGGAGCTTCAGGAGCCGGTGAGGGCAGTTCCTCACTTAACGGGCAGGACGTGTCAACCCTGGGTCCCGCAGGCAGAGCTACGCTCCCTGATTCACAGGAGAAAAAGCCGCATCTGACGCTCGCTGTGGAGAAAGAGAAAAGCACTCGGGGCACATCAGGAGGACTGGCACTTTCTGCGTGATTTATTTCATCTCGGCATGAACTGACAAACATACGAGGCTCTGCACTATTTATGCCCAGGATTTTAAAAGTCAAGCATTAATAAATACATTAACTACACAGATCACAACAGCTGCCCTGAACTTGGCCTTCAACAGGTGTAGTTTACCTTTAATAAATGGTAACATTTGAGAATCGCTTAGAGCTTGAACAGGCTTTGGAGGAGCTTTGATCTCACATGAGAACCCGTCTCCTGTTTCATATGCGTTCAATCCAAATCCATCCACTTGGCGTGTCTGAAGCTCCTGCCAGCACAGTGTCTGTGCCGGGTGCCCGAAGGCTGCACAGTCCAGGCTTCCTCCCGGATGTGGAAAACGTGGAAATGATGTGGCCACTGAAAGAAATTCAAGACAACTGAAACAACTGCAGATTTCCATTTTCAGCTCGTGTTTTCTTATGAACAATAACATTGCAGAAGGGGAAATATCAGAAAGTTGATTGATTTTTAACCCAAAAACAGAACTTTTTGTAAGCTAGGAAAGCATCTAAAATTAACAAGAATACAAAAATGCACTTTTGTTTACATTTGCTCTATTTAGATCTTACAAGAGATTATGTCTTGAATCTATCCTGACTTCAGCAAAAGACAAAAGAACGTTGAAAACATCCTATTTCCAAATCGTTTACAGGAAGTTACCTAAGAGACTGACAGATTCAACGGCTGCTACCAGAATTACTGAAGTGACACCAGAAATTAGCAGAAACAGAGCAGATGATTAATTTCTTACTTATTTGTAGCCAAACTTATACAGTCACGAGTTTTAGTTAAGTAGCCAAAGAATTTCCACAACATTCATTTTCTTACAGCAGAAGTCGGTGCCTCCACAGACTCAGAAACCAAATCCCGAAGTTCCAAATCCAGCTCTACAAAGCTGCAGGAAGCAGTGCGGAGTGGAGGGATGTTCCCAAGAGGAAGAATAAAACCGGAAGGAAAAGGAGGAAGGCTCAAGCTCATTCCTCTGCATCTCAAATGAACCTTGATTGGCAATACAGAAGGGATTGCTGTCAACTAAGCAAAAGGTCAGGCTTCCATGCATAACATTTTCCCCAAAAGACACCACTGCCTTTTCAGACATTTGGAAAGGCCCCTGCGTATGGGTTAATTTCACGAGTCAGACATTTGGAAATGCCCCGGCATACGGGTTAATTTCATGAGGAGTGTGGACAGCTGTCATCAAGGCAATAGCCTCATCTAACTATTTTAATGGGTGGATGACCAGGAATATTTTTGCACCAACCTTTTTCCTACACAGTGTTGGACGCAGACTTAGAACACCACTTTGAATTGGAAAAGGTCCTACCTGGGGCATCAGCCGTTGCCAGGCAGTCTCAGCAATGCCTCTGCCCTCCCTGCAGCAGTCCCAAAATGAAAGCCACACCTTGGAGGGTGTGGCTTTTCTCTGTTTCATGGGTGCAAACCCTAGCGGCTCCACACCCCAGGGACTGGCCCCCAAAAAGCAAAAACACTGCTCATGGCGTGGCAGGTCCTCTAGTATGTATTTTTATGTGATATCACTATTCAGAACTGTGGTGTATACTATTCTATAAATTTCCACAATAGGTTGGCCGGACATCCTTTAATGGTGGGTATTAATTCCTCTTATTCTTTACGTTTCTTAGTGCATTTTGTTGTGAGGTGACAGGGAGCACCTGGGGCTTTGCTGCCGGGCCCCACAGGAAGCTGTGCTACATCTAGTGTGAGCATTCCTTCACTAAATGAAACGCTGGAAAGCCATGGGAACCGCACAGGACTGTGCAACCACCCCCATCCAACATCCACCACTTCTCATATCCTTTTCCGGGGACAGTGTTACTCTGGAAGCCTAATTTCAATATTTCATTTTCAAACAATAAACATTACAGGAATGATTTCACAAGTAAAATCACAGTGATAACAGCATATGAGTTTGATATTTAAGGACTGAAAATATTAGCCTGGTCCTGGTCCCATTTCATATAAAAATTTCTACCATTAATAAAATTCTAGAGGAAAAGGCAGGACAGTGTGAATGGTACATTGCTTAAAATGAACATTATTTGTTTCCTTTTGCTGTAAATACTGTTTCTACAACCATTTCTCCAGTATACTCCTATAAAAGGCCAATCAAGTCAGGCGATATGAAGTCTGTTTTTCTTTCCCAAGATGATTAACCAAGTTGCCAAGCTATCCCCTCAGTTCATGAGTAACCATGGGCAAGCAGACACGTCCCCAGAACATACCGTAACCCAGATCATAAATTCCAGCCCCCGAGTCATGCATAAGGTTCAAGCTGATCACTTCTAAACACACTTAACTGAGACCTCTCATAACCACAGACTCTTTAAAAAGCATAACCTATTTTTCAATTACCCACTGATTTCTACAGAGATGGCAGTTCCCATTACTGGATTAACAAACAAATAATATTAAAGTAGGCAGGATTTCAACTAGTTACGTTCCAGTAACTTTTCCTCTTACAGTAAGAAAATGGGTTGGATTCGGAGTTCAAATGTTCGCCTCTATTTGTGAGCATGGATCTCATCCTCAAAGTCATAATAGTAAGTCCTCTGTATACACACTTGAAAAGTAAAATGTTAAATGAGAAACGACCCAACTGATTTGTTTTTAATCCTCATACCCTGTCAATGCAGTGAGCCTCGTGTTAATTCTATTAGGGTATTTTGGAACTCAATTCAATACAATTAAATACATGCAGTTTACTTGCAAATCTATGGTGATAAGCACGTCACTTCCTTGTTATAAATCTATGCCCACTGTCACTCGGCCACACTTAGAATACTGATTGTAAAAATTAATCTCCCTCATCAGAACTACACGATCCACATTGAAAACATCATATACAGTGGGTTTAAAATGTGCCTACACTTTTTTTTATAGAACTGTCAAAGCAAAATGATTTTCCCCGCTTTTTAGGAATATTTTATCTCGTTCCAGATTATGAAAGCGGCTGGGCATACAGAGTGGACTATCAAAGATTGCTTTTTAGATAGACAAGCACCCTGGTAAGTTTTTCCTACTTATGATGTGCTGTTTGGTCACATTTAGCCACTGAAGACTTAAAATTTAAATAATGGTAAATCATCGCTACATCAGTTAACATCCTTTCAACTGAAAATATGAAAGCCCCCTCGGTCCAACAGTGAGACGGAGCTGCTCTAGGCATGTGAGTTTGAGTAGCAATGGTGTGGGGAAGGAAATACTTCCAATGCATATTGAACAAGAAACCTTACTGGTAATCAAAGATTTTACCTTTAATGCTTATTAAATTACTCTTTTTGGAGTTGAGCCAACCAAAGCGAGCACATGGTACGAAATTTTCAACTAAATCAGAAAGAGCTTTACTTATCAGTTATAATTTTAAATCTCAAGCCAAAAATAAAAGGCGTGACCCTCTCTGCGTGCTTCCCCCGATAGTTCGCGGCGACCTACTTGAGGGTCCCAGGCTCCTGCGCACAGCCTCGGTGCTCTGCGGGGTTCGGGACACCCCGGGGCCGGCTGCAGGCTGCCTCAGGAACCCCCACTGTACCCTGAGGCTGACCCTTTGGATCCCACAGCCTTCTCTGTGTCCTGTCTGTCAAGGGACCCATCCGCACACCTCCTGGGTCTCAAGGCATCCACCCCCAGAAGCAAAGACAAGCAAAAGGAAAGCAAAGCGAAAGCGGCCCTGAGAGCGTCCTCGGGGCTCCTTCGAAGTGTCCAAACCACCAGCGTGGCCAGCGGCCCCGACTCCCCACCACGTCCTCCTCCGCGGGCCCAAAGGGACCTGGGCCCCGCAAACCCCTGCCGAGGGAGACGCCCGCCGACCCCGCCGGCCTACGGGGCGCCCTGCTCCCCTCGGGGCGGCTTCTCAGGCAGGCTGAGAGCGAACGGGATGAGCACACCCCGGACGTCCAAGGGGGCGCCCAGCGCCTCGAAGCCGCCGCCCTGGCCTGCGTCGCCGCCGGCCTCGCCTTCCCGGGCAGGCTGGAAGCGCCAGGTGCCCGCGCGGCTCACGCAGTAGATGGCGCCGTCCAGGGCGGCGCAGCGGAAGGGCTGCAGGCCCGTGGGGCCGCCGGGGAGGCGCAGGGGCGCGACGCACGGGCTCCACTGCTTGGCCAGGCAGTGGTATCGGGACACGCTGACCCCGCTCGGCCCCGCCGCCTGCGCCTCGCCGCGGCTGCCGCTCAGATCGAAGCGGTAGATGAAGCCGTCGAGAGCCACCATGTCGGCCGAGCGCTCGCGGCTGCTGCTGCACGGGCACTCCTGCCACTCGTCGCGCCGCGGGTCATACTTGAGCAGGCGATAGAAGAGGGAGCCCCCGGACACGTAGATCTCGCCGTGGCAGGTGGTGGCCTCATGCGCCACGGCGAAGGCGCCCCGGGGCAGCGGCGCCACGGGGGCCCAGCGGTCGGCGCGCGGGTCGTAGCGCTCCACGCTGAGCAGGCACTCGCCGCCCACGGCGTAGAGGTGACCGTCCAGGGCCAGCAGCCGCAGCTGCGAGCGCGCCTGGCGCAGGGGCCTCACGGCGCTCCAGCTGTCCGTGGCCGGGTTGTAGCAGAAGACCTGGTCGGACGGGCGCGCGCGGCCGTCGGGGCCCGCGGGCGCCACGCCGCCCGCCACGAAGAGGTAGTTGTAGAGGACGCACAGGCCGCAGCCCCGCGCCGGCGCGCCCTCGGGCAGCCGCGTCAGCTCGCGCCACTCTCCGGCCGCCGCGTGGAAGCAGTAGACGGCCGCGTCCCCGCGCGCGTCCGCGTCCCCCGAGGGGCTCTGAGGCCGGCTGCCCGCGCGCTCCCCCGCCGGCCCGAGCGCCGCGGCCAAGAGGTGGGCGCGGCCGGCGCGCAGGCGGCGGCGCAGCAGCAGGTCCCGCTCTGCGCCCGACAGGCGGCCGAACACGGCGGGCTCGCGCAGCACCTCCAGATAGTGGTCGCTCATGAAGCAGTAGGCGGCGTCGCGCAGCTCGTTCAGCCGCTGCCGCTTGGCCGCGCTCAGGACCTCGTAGCAGTTGGCCAGGCTCAGCTGCGGCCCCACGGCGTCGGTGGCGCGCTGCGCGGCGCCGGGCAGCTGCAGGCGGCGCGCGCCGGCCACCACCTCGGCCACGTTGTCGGGCCGCACGCCCGCCATGCGCCCGCTGTAGGCGTCGGCGAGGAGCAGCCGCAGCGCCGTCAGGCTCACTCCCTGCACCCGCAGCACGTCCCGCGACGCGCGCGCGCGGAAGTAGTCGCTGCGCGCCGCCAGCACCGCCTTGTGCGCGCGCAGCCGGCGCCCCGACACCTCCAGCACCAGGTCCGGCTCCCCGTACACCGCCCCGAACCCCGGGGGTACGGGCGCGGGCTCCCCGGGCTCCTCGGGGGACGCGGGGTCCTCAAGCCAAACGCGCGGTTCGGGGGACGGCGCCGCGGGCTCTTCCGGGCACGCGCGCTCCTCAGGGGACGCGAGCTCCTCCGGGGACGCGGCGCCCGCGCTGCCGGCCTCCCACTGCCGCTCCACCACCCGCGGGCCACCGCTGGAGGGCGGGGAGGTGGCCGCGCCTTCCGCCGCTGAGGCGAGGGACTGCGGCGGGGACTCTTCCCCGGAGCTGAAGCACAGGGACGCGCCGAGACTGCAGGGTGTCTGCGCCGGGGACGCGGCGCCCTCGCTCTCGCTCTCCCCGGCAGCCCCGGGCTCAGTCCCTGGGTAGAGGACGCAGGGGGCCACCGCGTGCTCCATGGCCGGGCTGTGCTGCGCTGCGCCCGCGCGCCCCCGGTTCCGCAGCCTGCAGGTCTGGCCAAGGTCGAGCCTTACTCCGGGGTTTCCAGCCTCACAGCTTTTCCTGGCACGCGATCAGATTTCACTTCTGTGTGTCCACGCTTTGTTGTTGTGTGTGTGAAGGGGGGAATCTCACACGCTGCTCCCCCGCCTCGCCTTTGCCCTCTCCTCTCCAGCGAGGAGGGGTGTGTCCGACTTGCTGAACTTCTGAACCCCAGCCACTTTAAATCTGCCCAGAAAGTCTTGGTGAATGGATCTCCAGCTGGCGCCAGGACCGCGTCAGCCAACATCCAGCAATGACTGGAGCTGCAGTTGACTGCGGTTGTTTCTGCAGCCTGGGTGACCAGGTGTCTCTCTCTGCAGCCTGAGTGACTAGCTATCCCTCTTTGCAACGCTGGCTGACTAGGTGTCTCTCTGCAGTACCAGATAACCAGGTATTGGGTGCGCCCTCGCTCTCAGGAGTCCGTGCTCACCCACTCACTTCACATGCTGTCATATCACCGCGCCCCCAGAACACAGAAAGCTGAGACCGGCTGTGGCCCCAACTTCAGAGCCTTGATTTAACACCGTGTCTTGAAAAGAGTCCCCTTATGGGCTCTCCTTCTCTGTGGCTCCCACTTGTGGCTACACAACTGCAAGGTCACGGGGAGGACACTGGTCCTGTGTGCTGGTCTCAGGAGCTCTCCCCGTGTGTCGGCATCCACACCTCCTCATATACGGGGTCATCCGTAATTCACTGCCAGGGGGATGTTAGGAGAAGCCGCTGTGCTCCTGGAGGCTGTCCTCGCTCACGGGGCAGGACCCTTCCTCTGCAGCTTCCTTTGCTGGGATATCAGGTGTTTCCGCGTCCTCTCACCACACTCTTGTTCCTGTTTATAGGACAAAAAGAGAGGATATTTGTGCGTTTTTCAGTAAGGTTATTTCGTGTCAGCGGAGTCTACCACCCTTCCCTCTCCAACGTTCAGATTATAGAATTCAGTTTTGGTTGTAAAGGGGTTGTGATTTTTCTCTGCTGGAGAGTTTGATGAATAGGACATGCAGAATTATTTAGGAATTTTTTAAAGTACCCTCTCGATATTCCTCTCCTGATTTTGAGGACTCAGGAGAGTCCAGTTCAAGCAATTGGCACCACCAAACATTAAGGCCTGACACGCATCGGTTGAACCATATGAAGTTGCTAGTTCTGTAGGTCAAAAGCAGTCGAGTATCAACAATTAACTGTTTTCAACATAAAAAGTGTAAGTAGCATGAAGAACTCCTTTTAGTGAGAAAGCATGACTGGATTGTGTGATTTTATTAATTTATTAACAGATCACAAGTTTTCTTTCAGTGTTTCCCAGTTAATTATTTCACATTCGGTTACAACCATTTGTAGAAAGGCGTTAGGATGCTTCTCTGGAATCAGCTTCAGCCAACAGCATGAATTCAGGACCCCAAATGGCGCCAACTCCTAAATCTCTTTAAACTCTTAGAATTACAACCCTGAAAAACCTCAGAGAAGCAATTATCCAAACAGCCTAAATGCAGCAAAAGGAAAATCAAAGCGAAAAGACTGAATGAAGTATGTGGAAGGCAGATATGAGTGCCGGCAGATGCATTATAGAATACAATCAAATATCTTTCTTAAATTGGCAAACGCTTCACGGACACTCCCTAACATACTGGGAAGAAACTTAGAGTCTTAGAGTCCACATAAGCCAACTTCATTCTGGCCTTCTAAAGAAAAGAATGTGGACAACACAACCATCCAAAACATGACCAGGCTTATCTTTATACAGAATGCGTGTTCAGCTCTCAAGTGAGATGGGTAAAATGATACTTAACCCCCAGCATCTTCTAAAGTTCTACTTATTATGTGCAATAGCATTACCTGGTTACTATAAATTCCCTGCTCTTCCTGTCCCTCTGTCCCTGAAAAGGCTTTCCCAGTATTCTCAGAAATAAAAGTGTCTTCAAGTTGGAAACTCCACGTTTGACTCTCCCTGTCTCTCTCTCTCCCTCTGTCTTCCAGATATCTTTCACAATAAAATGTTGGCACACTCCCTATGTGCATAGAATTGTCATAAGATGCCTGGGGAATGTAATATTAAGAAGGTTTCTGAGAACCTTGAAGCTCTGATCCCCAGGGTAGGTCACAGACAATAGCTAAGCAGGACACAAGGGTCCCTTGTGTTCACCCAGCCATGCCCACACTGACAGGTGCTCACCCCAGGCCCCCATCCTGCTGTCCAGTGGTGGCCAGTCCAGGGCCGGGGAAAGGACCACAATGTAACGGTGACCCGAAATGGAAAAGCTGTGAAGCTGCATCGGTGAAGGGCACCAGCCCTGAAGACTGCAGAGTCTTTCCAGCCAGCTGAGTCATGCAAAGGAGAGAGAGAGCAAATCTAAGACAAACTTCTCTATCAGATAAGAAATACACATGAACCTCATGTCTGAAATAAAATCTGAGAACTGGCTGTCTCAGTTGGCTTATTCGTTTAACACTGCTTCTGTAAGATACAGAAGACATAGCCCCTAAAATCCAGTGTAGTAAACTTTCTTCTTGGCCTAGAAAGGGCTCTCGGAGCTCCCTAGTTCTTTCTCTGGCTGGACTGTCCTGCAATGTACAGGAGCCTCCATCCCGAGAGTCATCTTTATGTAATTAATCATTACAGACTGAAGGGAAGTCATGCAATCAGTCAAATGCATTTTAAAAGCTTAAATTTGGAACTCTGCCCTGCAAAGTCCTATGAAATCAGTTCAAAGCCTGAAAGAGTGTTTGATAAGTATACATTTTGTTATAACTACAATTAAGCAAGAGAGACATCTCCATGATGAAACAGACACACCAGAAAGCAGCCCACAGTGCCCCCAACAGCGAGGGACCCATCTCTGCTGTGCCAACAAGGAGGCTGTCTGGCTAGAGGCTGAGTAGCCCTCATCCCAAATGCTTGAGCTCTTCAGGATTTCCCATTTTTTGAATTTTGGAATACTTGCATTTATACTTACATTTCAACTCCCAAAACCCCAAATCTGAAAGGATCCAATGAGCATTATGTCAGCACTCAAAACAGTTCAGATTTTGGAGCATTTTCAGTTTCAAATTTGGGATGTTCAACTCACACCTGGGTTAGAACTGGTTCTTATTCCAGCTGGCCCAAGAAATAATGAAACTCAATCATCTCAAAAGTCATGATTCAAGCGGTCTTTATGTTACTTTTCCAACACACACACATTATTAAATTGTGTCCTTCTGAGGAGCCCCTTCCAGCAGAGGTGGTGGCCCTATCGTATTCTGTCGTTGCCGCCGTCCCCCTGCGTGCCCTTTGGCTCACATTACAAAGCAAGTTGGCAGAGCAGGGGATGGTCTCAACATGGTACAGCGTCGCACTCTCACTGGGAGGAATCACAAGGCCTCTCAGACACCACTGCATTGAGATCACCTGCCACAGGCAAAAGCAGGCCAGCAGCTCCCTGTCCACCACCATCAGCGATGTTGTTTCTGACACCAAGATCTTCAGCTACGCTGTTGAGTAGCAGCAGCAAGGCTGCATCAGGGGCTCGGGAGCCCTCCGCCGCCCCTCTAGGAGGCTCTGGGCAGCCCTTCCGGGAGATGGTCTCACAGCACTGAACGTGCCTGCCCTGCCGCGGGTCTCCCTGCAGAATGGACGTGGTGTCACACACCATGTGGGAAATGAGGTTAAGCAGGAGGCCCTTTTCTGTCTCAAATTATGTTAAAAGAAACTCAACATTAAGACTTTTTTTTTTTTTTCCAGAATGACCCATTACTGAAATTTTTACCTTAAAATAGATGGAGAGGAGTTGGCCTTTGGGTCTAGCAGTCCTCTGAGGCATCAGCAACCGCGGTGACTGTTAGGGTCAGATGTTTTTGGATGGGAAGTCAGGGATTTCCACAGGGATTCCTCCCACCGCCACCATTTTGTGGTTGGCTCCAGAATCAGAATTCCACTAAGAGGCTCCCTGAGGAGCGTCCATCCTTGTTACTGTGAAATTACTGAAACTCGCCCACCCCCCGCCGGAGGGTTTGGAAGGATTTTTTCCCTGGGTGATCGTCAACAAGGGTTTCCTGAGCCCACTTCTGGAGTCACAACCAGGCGACACAGAAAGTCAGCACTGCAGTTTCCATGGAAGGCACGGGGGGCGCGCGGGGGAGACAGGGAGTGACCAGTTTCCTCCTTGCTGGTAATTAGGAAATCATTTCATAAGAACAAGGGCTAATTAAATATAAATAGTATTAATTAAATGTAAATAATAAAATATATGTAGCATTTTCCCCCAGAAGATGTAAGTTTCTTCTGGGCCTTATAAATATCTAAACTTCTAAGTTTCTATACATTTCTTTACGATTAATACAAATTAAAAAATAAGATTTTGTATGATTTCCCAATGTGGACATTATATATTTAATGTGGACATTAGGACTTATTCAGAATAAAATATCATGCTCTATTTTAATAATACTGCTTGCTAAAAAGAGTCTTCCTTTCAAATCATTACAGTCAGCTTAATTTTTTTTTAAAGAATGCGTTCATTGACTTAGGGAGTTTATGTAAACTTCTGTGGTATGTTTTGCTTCTCAGTCCTTCAGCCAGGCGCGGTGGCTCAAGCCTGTAATCCCAGCACTTTGGGAGGCCGAGGTGGGTGGGTCACCTGAGGTCAGGAGTTCAAGACCAGCTTGGCCAACATGGTGAAACCCCATCTCTACTAAAAAAATACAAAATCAGCCGGGCTTGGTGGCACAGGGCTGTAATCTCAGCTACTCAGAAAGCTGAGGCAGGAGAATCACCTGAACCCAGGGGGCGGAGGTTGCAGTGAGCCGAGATCACGCCATTGCACTCCAGCCTGGGCAACAAGAGTGAAACCCCGTCCAAAAAAAAAAATTCCTTCCAGCGTCCTACACGCATTGCCTATATCCCACCACACCCTGTTAGACCACAGCGTCCCTGGGAATAGCGCCTGGGTGGGCCGTGCCCACATGGCCTCCATCAGCACCAGAAAGATGCCATTCACACAGTTAAGTAGCCAATGAATCGCAAGGTTAATTAAGAAAGAAGGGCCATAAGTCTAAGAAAAATTATAGCATCTTAGAAACCTGTAGGGAATCTCAGGATTTTTGTTTGTTTGTTTTTTGAGACAGGGTCTTGCTCTGTCATCCAGGCTGGAGGACAGTCACACAAGCATGGCTCACTGCAGCTTCAACTCCTGGGCTCAAGAGATCCTCCCACCTCAGCCTCCCAAGTAGCTGTGACTATGGGGGCGCACCACCACAGCTGGCTAATTTTTGTATGTTTAGTAGAAACAGGATCTCGCTATGTTTCCCAGAGTGGTCCTGAACTTCTGGGCTTAAATGGTCCACCTGCCTCGGCCTCCTAAATTTGCTGGGATTACAGGTGTGAGCCACCATGCCCGGTCAGGATTTCTCTTTGATTCAATGTATTGGTTCACTTTCAACTGCTGTTACAAATATTGCTTTTCAAGGTTATTTCCTCTCCAGGCCCAAATGAAAACAGGCCCACAGCTTCTGGGCAGGCAGGACCGAGGGTGGGTGAAGCAAGAAGGGAGTCGGTGCCATCACTGACACTGATGCCCCGTGGAACTGGCCGTCCTCACACCCAGCCCTGATCCACATTTTCTCAGTATGCTTTAAGGCACAGAAAATAGTGTAAAGGGACCATGAAAATGTGCAGAATTACACAGCCTAAAACTAGCCAGGAGGAAACACCACTCAGGAAATACATTTTCCTTGTAAAATGCAGCCCATATTTAACTTGGCCGTACGGCTACTAAAAGCAAGGTTCTGTGCTGTCCTGGGGAATGAGAAAAGTGGCTTCTGCTCTTAGTGTCTGCCTTCAGGATTCCTACAGTGGTTCAAGCAACGAGATACTACATGGATAAAAGAAAACTAAAGCCAATTGTAAGCAATATTTTCTGTGTAGTTTAGAAATGGGGAGGGTGTCTACAGCACGGTGGAGTTTCTTGAGTAACTGAATAAGTAAATGTTCCATAATATACCTAGCAACATGCATTAGAGTGTCTGTCCCACCACAGCACAATGTATATACTCTTTTAGCTTTTTTTTTTTTTTTTTTTTTTGAGACAAGAGTCTCACCCTTGTTCCCCAGGCTGTAGTGCAATGGCACCATCTCGGCTCACTGCAACCTCTGCCTCCTGGGTTCAAGGGATTCTCCTGCCTCAGCCTCCCGAGTAGCTGGGATTATAGGCACCCACCATCACGCCTGGCTAGTATTTGTATTTTTAGTAGAGACGGAGTTTCGCCATGTTGGTCAGGCTGGTCTCGAATTCCTGACCTCAAGTGATCCGCCCACCTTGGCCTCCCAAAGTGGTGGGATTACAGGCGTCAGCCACCACGCCTGGCCTCTTTTAGCTTGTTTTTTATGAAGGGCATCCTAAGAGACCAGCTGGACTGCAGTGTGACCTGACAACACGTGAGTCCGAAAGGACACAGAGCAGCGGGCGTCTATTTTGCCAGGCACTGTTCTGGTGTGTGCTACATCATATTAACACGTGGCACCCGCAGGAGCCTTCTGGGAGGGAGGTGTTGTGATTAGCCATTTATGTGATTTCATCAATATGCATTTTATAAGCCATGCAGTTTTAAGGGGCAGAGCCAGAAATGAGCCAAGCAACTGGCTCCACTGCCCACGCCATCAGCCACCGTGCCATGACACCTCTTGAGTCATTCAGACTCCCGGCCCTGTCTGAGCTGACGCCTGTCACAGCCATGCACGGGGCTGAGCAAAGCCTCTGGAATGTTCAGGCGGGTCGCCGGTTGCCCCTGCATCCTGTAGACAGAATCCAAGCAAGTCAGGGTGCTCTGCGCAGTTCTGAGCATTGACGCAGCAGGAGATGGGGCAGCACTGGGATCCTGGGGCAGGCCCGGCCTCGCTCCACCAGCTGTCCCCCACCTGCCCTCCTGGGGGTCATTTAGGGGAATAACAGTAGGCTGAATCTCCTAGCAGGACTTAATTGGAAGAAGTAAAATTATTGGGAATTTCCTGAAGAAGAGCTTTTATACAATAGATATTCTTGAAGTCTAAGCTCCGTAGGCCGGTAAACGAAGTATTGAGCAATCTGCTCCCAACTCACCCGCCCTCATGCCTCACTCCCCTCTGTCCTACTGCACGAGCTCATGGAATTGCCTGTGGCTCCCCTGATAAACCATCTATGGGGTTTTGTGTGTGTGTGTGTGTGTGTGTGTGTGTGTGTGTGTAGGGGGTATTGTGTATTCATATATTGATAGCTTTTGCCTGTGCAATTCTTGATGCCTAAGACAACCCCCATCCTGGTTTGAGAAGCAGAATTCTTGCTCCTTCTTTAGGCTCAAGCTGCCATGGTGCATTCTCTAATAAGACTTCCTCACTTCCGGTTTTAGTTGCTCTACAGTCTGTGTTTGCAGAGAAAGTCTTATTTTAGCACCACATAGTATCATTACAGATAGGGAGGTGTATGTGTCATCCCTTTCCATAAAAACATAAAATTCACAGAAAGGAGGATTACCTTTCACTCTACCATTAGCACAGGCTGGACTGTGTAAGGGCAACTGGATGGATGGATGGATGGATGGATGGATGGATGGGTGGGTGGGTGGGTGGGTGGGTGGGTGGATGGATGGGTGGATGGATGGATGGATGGATGGACGGATGGACGGATAGATGGATGGATAGACAGATGGGTGATTGGATGGATAGATGGATGGATGGGTGGGTGGGTGGATGGATGGATGGATGGATGGATGGATGGACGGACGGACGGACGGACGGACGGACGGATGGACCGATGGATGGACAGAAAGATGGGCGACTGGATGGATAGATGGATGGATGAATGCATGTTAGCTAGGGAAACTAAAACAATGGTAACTGAAAATACTCAGATGAAACCACAGAGGCCAGGCATGGTGGCTCATGACTGTAATCCCAGCACTTCAGAAGGCTGAGGTGGGTGGATAACCTGAGGTAAGGAGTTCGAGGCCAGTCTGGGCAACATGGGGAGACCCTTTCCCTACTAAAAATACAAAAAAAAATTAGCTGAGAGTGGTGGCATGCAGCATTTGTAGCCCTAGCTACGCGGGAAGCTGGGGTCAGAGGATCACTTGAGCCCGGGAGAGGTCAAGGCTGCAGTGAGTCAAGATCATGCCACTACATTCCAGCCTGGGCAACAGAATCAGACCATGTCTCAAAAATAATAACAATAACAAAATAAAAGCAAGTTTTTAAACTACACAAAGAATGGCAGATTAAGATATTATCCACATGACAGCTCCAAGTAGGGGCTCACAAAAAAGGTTTTGAAAAAAAAAAATAAATAAAAGAGATCAATAGTTATATCTGGATGTTGGATTACAGCTAGGTTTTAAAATCTCCTAAATAAAATGCTGAGTTTCAATATTTTCTAAAATATATGCTGCTTTTATAATCAAAACAACTTGTGGGTTTTAAAGTATAGACCAACTTGAAAAAGTCTTAAGATATAGAAAGAAAAAACAGTATGAAAATAAGGATGGGGATTGGGATGAATTTTTTTTTTTACTCTTTACACATTTTTTAAAAATCTATTATGAACAGGCATGATTTTAAACTCATATTCCTAAACTATGGGGAGCATTTCTAACCTTGGGAAATCTCTCCAGGTACCTACACCTCCAGCCAGTGTTTCCCACCCCACCCCCGCTTCCAATTTAAGAAAAAGCCTCCACCGAGCTCGCTCCCCTCTCCTGGCATCCGTCTGGCCCTTCCTCCCCTGCCTGTTCCTCCTCTCTGAGTGTATCTGGGGGACGTGTGGGTCACGTGGAGGAATTAACATTTGTGCTTTTGTACTGTGTGCAGGAACTGTGCAGGTGACATCAGTTACCACACAGTCTTCAAACACCCTGGGAGGCAGGCAGCGCTGCCACGTTTTACAGTTGAGAAAACCCGGGCTCAGGGATGAGGAAACTCACCCGTGCTCCCCTTCAGGCAGTGACAAAGCCCGGCAGGAACCTGCCCCTCTTCCTGGTGGAATGAACAGGTGGGGCCAGAGTCCAGGAGTGCGTGTCCTGGGTGGCAACAGGTGCTGCTCAGGGACCTTTCAGAAGAGGGAGGGTGGGTTTGAAAGTTAGACGTTCCTCAACTAAAGGCCCTTGGGTAGATGACCTCCCATCTCTGGCACTTCCTCGTGCATGACGCCTACCTCCCTGTGTGTCTACCGCGATGAAATAAGCACACATTTCACGCATTGGCAAAGCTCCAGGAAGGTCAAGGTGTTTGGAAGCCTTCCCTTTGGTGTCAGACACACCCAGGTCGGAGTCTCTTCCCTGTAACTTACTCCCACCAAGAGCCCAGGCAATTTGCTCCATTCAGTGATCTCGTCCTAAAACGAGAAGGCCCACTCACCGGTGGGCACCTTCTCTGCCACTCCATCACTGGGTTCCCTCAGGGCAGTGCAGGACCCCCAGGAAGCAGGCCTCGGGATCCTGGCTGGGCAGGTCACAGCTCATTGCCCACAAGATACCCTGAGCTCTTCTGACCTGGTGTGGGGAGAGCAAAGCCTCTGGCGATGCACGGGCCTCTGGGCTGATGCAGGAGCAAGGGCCCTGCCCTCATGGATCACAGAGCTGGAATCGAGGGAAAGCTCATTATCTCCAGCAGAAGAAAAGAAACAATGCACACAGCAGAAAACTTAAAAATGGGAAGAGGACAGGAGAGTGAGACCCCTGGAGCATGTGGTGCCGAAGGACAGCTTCTGGGGGCGTCTGAGGTAAGTTCGCTAATAAATGCCACTTCTGGCTTAGGCTAGCGTGCGGGGATTCCCATCCTTGGAAACTGTAATCCTTTACCTAAAAGCAAACGCCTACTTCACCAGGCAGTCCTGGAGTTCAACGCGGTGTGTATAAAGAGCACGGTGCAGCCGCTGCCCTAGCAAGCTTTCTCACATGCAGGGAGGAGTGCCTCCCAAGGACAAGGTCACTGCCAAACTACAGAGGCCCACAGCAGGACAAGAAGAGGGCACCAAGGCCCCACAGCATCTACCCGGACAGGGCGCCAAGGCCCGGCAGCATCTACCCGGACAGGGCGCCAAGGCCCCGCAGCATCTACCCGGACAGGGCGCCAAGGCCCGGCAGCATCTACCCGGACAGGGCGCCAAGGCCCCGCAGCATCTACCCGGACAGGGCGCCAAGGCCCCGCAGCACCTACCCGGACAGGGCGCCAAGGCCCCGCAGCATCTACCCGGACAGGGCGCCAAGGCCCCGCAGCACCTACCCGGACAGGGCGCCAAGGCCCCGCAGCACCTACCCGGACAGGGCGCCAAGGCCCCGCAGCACCTACCCGGACAGGGCGCCAAGGCCCCGCAGCACCTACCCGGACAGGGCGCCAAGGCCCCGCAGCACCTACCCGGACAGGGCGCCAAGGCCCCGCAGCACCTACCCGGACAGGGCGCCAAGGCCCCGCAGCACCTACCCGGACAGGGCGCCAAGGCCCGGCAGCACCTACCCGGACAGGGCGCCAAGGCCCGGCAGCACCTACCCGGACAGGGCGCCAAGGCCCCGCAGCACCTACCCGGACAGGGCGCCAAGGCCCCGCAGCATCTACCCGGACAGGGCGCCAAGGCCCCGCAGCATCTACCCGGACAGGGCGCCAAGGCCCCGCAGCATCTACCCGGACAGGGCGCCAAGTCCCAGCAGCATCTACCCGGACAGGGCGCCAAGGCCCCGCAGCATCTACCCGGACAGGGCGCCAAGGCCCGGCAGCACCTACCCGGACAGGGCGCCAAGGCCCGGCAGCATCTACCCGGACAGGGCGCCAAGGCCCAGCATCTACCCAGACAGGGCACCAAGGCCCAGTACCCACCCGGACAGGGCACCAAGGCCCAGCAGCATCTACCCAGACAGGGCGCCAAGGCCCAGCATCTACCCAGACAGGGCACCAAGGCCCAGCACCCACCTGGACAGGGCGCCAAGGCCCAGCATCTACCCAGACAGGCTCCCGGCATCTTCCCGGCAACTGTCCCATTTCAGTCTCACAGCTCACACACTTGAGACAGGCAGATCTACCAGCGTCTTCATTCCATAAATGAAAAAATGCTCAATGCACAGAAATACTAAGTTTGTAGTCTCAGAAGACTGAACAAAATTAGCAGCTGACCAACACCAAAGTTCAATATTCTCCTCTCTTCCTCTGTCTCTGGAGCCTTCAACAAGAGGCCTCAAAAAAAAAAAAAAAAAAAAAAAAAACCACCTGAGACATCGTTATCTGTTCCCTAGTGAGCTGGCCCTCACAAATTAGCAGGGATTCACCCCTGCTGGTCACAAGTTTAAGAGGTTTAGTCAGAGCCATGGATTCCAGCCCCTGTGGTCTCACCCCATGAGGATGCCTGCTTCCGACTCTGTGGTCAGGTTCGCAGCCAGACGCAAGGGAGGTGAGGGGGCACTCGTGTGTCTGGCCCCTTAACCACTGCCTGCTATGAGCTCTTCGGGGAGGCGATGCGTCGTGCAGAGAGGGGACACCTCAGCTGTGAAACTTGTTGCATAGATTTCCTGATCTGCTTCCTGTATCTGATTAATGGATTTTTTAAAAAATGCAAGCGTCTGAGATCCATGCGGTATGGAGCTTAGTGACTCCATCATTCCTTCATTGCTGACACGACGATACACCTGCATGGACCATACTTGAAAGTAGAAGAGGAATGAGATGTCCTTGCACAGAAGTGTGCGGTCAACTTGGTCCAAAACAAGATTGGACAGGGAGCCGCTGGCGCCTGTCCTCGCTCTAGTTATAACACAGCCTGTGCTCACTGGAATCACAGATCTGGAAGTACTGAAAGAAAACTGGATGAAAATAAATCATTGTACTCATTCAAAAGAGCCTTTGATTCAGAGGAGTACAAATCTTACTCTAGGTTTCTGTGAGTGTCCTTGGGGTGGAAACTGAGAACACGTTGAAATAGGAAGCATCTGCCCTTCCCTGTGGCCCGACTCAAGAATTACTGATTCAGCCAAACATAAAGCGTGAATACCAAGGTCGCACCAGAGCACCAAGGCTCTGGAGAGAGGCACCGGCTGAAAGACTCTCCTGAAATGTCCAGCTCTGAAACCCAACTCTGAGCAATGTTTGGGTCAACTTGACTCTTTTAAAATAAATCTGTTTCATTTTAAAACTGAAATCAAAGTTGAGTGTCCTACCAGGACGCTCAGCTGGAATCGGAAATGAGAGATTCCTGGGCTGAATAAATCCTACAATTGCTCACAACTGTCAATCTGTTAGATTTACATTGATATGTTAATAATGATAATTAATTAGCAATATTCATTCATTTGCTCATTTACTTAGCAGACATATATGAAGTATTTACAATGTGCCAGACAGCGCGCCAGCTACTAAAATGGTAGCAAGGAATGAGACAGACTTGGTCCCAGCCCCATGGGGCTCAAGCCTCAGTGCAGAAGGCAAGCGTTGAGCCACTGCACACGTTTGAATGGATTCAGGAACCAGGACAAAGGCTTGAAGAGACTAGCAAGAAGACTCCAGGAGGGGCTAATATCCAGAATCTACAAACAACTCAAACAAATTTACAAGAAAAAAGTCATCAAAAAGTGGGCAAAGGATATGAACAGACACTTCTCAAAAGAAGACATTTATGCAGCCGACAGACACATGAAAAAATGCTCACCATCACTGGCCATCAGAGAAATGCAAATCAAAACCACAATGAGGTACCATCTCACACCAGTTAGAATGGCGATCATTAAAAAGTCAGGAAACAACAGGTGCTGGAGAGGATGTGGAGAAACAGGAACGCTTTTACACTGTTGGTGGGAGTGTAAACTAGTTCAACCATTGTGGAAGACAGTTTGGCGATTCCTCAGGGATCTAGAAGTAGAAATACCATTTGACCCAGCCATCCCATTAGTGGGTATATGCCCAAAGGACTATAAATCATGCTGCTATAAAGACACATGCACACGTATGTTTATAGCAGCACTATTCACAATAGCAAAGACTTGGAACCAACCCAAATGTCCAACAATGATAGACTGGATAAAGAAAATGTGGCACATATACACCATGGAATACTATGCAACCATAAAAAGGATGAGTTCATGTCCTTTGCAGTGACATGGATGAAGCTGGAAACCATCATTCTCAGCAAACTATCACAAGGACAGAAAACCAAACACCACATGTTCTCACTCAAAGGTGGGAACTGAACAATGAAATCACTTGGAAACAGGGCGGGGAACATCACACACCGGGGCCCGTCGGGGGCTGGGGAGCTGGGGGAGGGAAAGCATTAGGAGAAATACCTAATGTAAATGACGAGTTAATGGGTGCAGCAAACCAACATGGCACATGTATATATATGTAACCAACCTGCAAGTTGTGCACATGTACCCTAGAACTTAAAGTATAATAATAATAATAATAATAATAAAGGCTCCAAAAGATAAGGACAGATGAACCTGGTTCTACTGTGGTGACAGGTGCGTCCTCCCAGAATGTGAAAGTTATGCTGCAGCATGAGAGAGGAGCAGGAGAGCAGCCGGAGAAGTCCTCGAGGTACAGACAAGCTTGACAGGTTCTAGAGACCGAGGGTGGCCGGAGCGCAGGGGTGCTTGGGGTCTGGTGGGGGCAGCACAAGGGCCCGGTCACCTTGACCACAATGGGATCTGCTGACGGCGTTTAAAGAAAGGAAGCAGTGACGGGAACAGTAATATGATCAGTCTTGGGTTTTAGAAAGATTGCTTTGTGTCCTTTTCTACAAAAAAGGATTGATTGAGCGACTCCTAGATGGGTTTTGTGTCACGCTAACACTGTTCAAATAAATGACCTAGATCTGCATGTCTCAACGTGAGTCAATTTCATAAACAAAATTTTGAATTTCGGAAGCTTTGCAGTTGCAAAAAGATACTGGATAATTCTATTTATGTATATTTTAAACATTAAAAAACACCTATGTCTTTTATGGAAGTGTAAAAACAGAGAGAGGAAGGACAGGCATGGATTCTTGTGTATTGATCACTTCTGAAGAGGAGGCCGGGGACGGGACCACAGGGCTTCCAGTGTCTCTGTTCACCACATAGACCGTATCATTCAGGTTCCTTCTTTGTGTGTGTGTGTGCGTGGTTTTTTTTTTTTTTTTTTTTTTTTTTGGAGAGATAGGGTCTCACTATGTTGCCAGGCTGTCTTCAACTCCTGGGCTCCCCTGGTCCTCCTGCATCAGCCTCCTGAAGAGCTGAGATTACAGGAGTGAGGCACCACGCCTGGCCTCATCTAGTTTCTTACAAACAAACAAAAAATATTTGAAGCCTAAGTGGCAAAACGATAACATGTATTAAATCTTAGTGGGATCCATGAGCGTTTCTTTATATTGCATTATGGTGTTTGAAATATTTTACAATTTAAAACGTAATGCCATATGTTTAAACAACTACCATTATTTATCAATTAAGTAATCTGGCCTGCTAATAAAAATGAATGCAAACCATACAACCTTAAACACACCTAAGTACAGTTAATCACCAGGTAAGAATTCTTCATGCCTCTGCTGCTGAGTAACTTAGTTACTAAAAGTTCCAGCCAAGTGGAAATACGGGAATCTAAATAAAAACTCGTGTTTTGTCCTTTTTAAAGTTCTGAGCTGTTGGTTTCATAAAAGAGAGACTTGTCCAAGATTACAAACAAGTTATGGCAGAGTTGGATGTAGAACAGATTCCCAAACTCTGCCTTTTCTAATAATCTCATGGGTTTATTTGCATCGTTGGTATAAACTGAAAGGAGGGCAGAAACCCGTCTCCTACTTCTTTTTTGTGTTTTGTTTCAGTTAAGATTTGACAGAGTCCCAATTCTACTGCACCTGCATCATCAAAACTGTCAGCAGGATTCTCAAAAGTAGGATATTCAGCTTGTACTTGCCACTCAGACTTTGTGATGGGGGAACAATGACCATTGGCTGCTTTAGATCCAGGGAAAATGCCTGAGATCCCCAAAGGCAAGCACAACGTGGCCAACCCCAAACCAGCAGGTGACTGAGTGCAAAGGGAAGGAAGGTTGATGACATGAGAATTGATTTGTCATTGTTACTGATATTTTAGCTACTATTTTTGATGCAGAAATCAAGACTTGTGGTCTGTCAAACAAGAGTGCAGTTATGTGAGCAGGAAGAGACAGTTTCATATCCAGATGGTCCTGCAATTGCCACGCGGGAGTGTGGATGCAAAACCGATGTGTCTACAATTATACCTTGAGACTGAATGGGAACAACCTGATGTTATCATTCGTTCTTTACAAACTCTTTTAACGTCTCACTAAATATGATTTATAGATGAAGATTGTCAACATACTGGTTTTTACTTCATTGTTTGTTAGAGACAAGGTCTCACTCTGTCACCCAGGCTGGGTTGCAGGGGTGCAATCATGGCTCACTGCAGCCTGGGACTCCCAAAGCGCTGAGATTCACAGGCATGAGCCAATGCACCTGGCCAACATATTTTTATTTCGTGTTTTTCTCTAAAATGCAGGTTTGAAGTTAACGACTGTAGCGTGTTCGGGGTGAGATGAGAGAACAGTTCAGTCTCACAAAGGTTATTATTTAGGAAAACAAGGATCCCACCTTGGTAAACGCCACATGGCACCCAGGCTGGAAGCTGAGCAGGCTGCCGTGTGTGGCTTGCCGGGCGCCGGGCGCCAGGACAGACGCTGCTGTGGAAGAGCATCTCCCCTGGAGACTGTCCAGTGTTCGGAATTCCCGAGGGGGAACCCCTAAGCGCATGAGACAGTTTCAGAGGAATAAAGCCAGGTGGCGCGGGAGTCGGCCAGGTCAGGCAGGCTGCCTCTCTGCAGAGAAGCAAAGCACACCCTGATCTTTGCTCTGACGAGCTCCTGACAGCTCACCCTCACCAAGGTCTGTGTGGGCTCCACCAGTGGACACCTCACGAGGTGCTCTCCTGTAAGAGCTCTGCCTTCTCCTGCCGGGTCACCTGCATTCGGCCATCGGCCACCCTCTTTGGGGGTCTCCAGTGAGCCACCTCCCACTCTGACTGGCTGTCGGCAACAGGAGTTCCTACAGAAGGGCTTCTGATTTTGTACAGGGGCTTCCGAGGACCCAGGGCATACTGTGGATGCCCCTTAGAGCATGAGAATGCAATACCTGATCAGACTGCCAGGCCATTCCACCCTGATTCAAAAGCACATGACCTTGTAATCGCAGCGACTCAGGCTGTGAAACACCCTTATGTTGGGCTTTGCAAACAGAGACCCTTTCAGATAACAGCCGAGAAGGCCAAACAGCAGCAACGTGGCCTGAAACGTACGTGGCCTTAAAGTGGGGTTTCATTTCCAATGATCGGCTGCCACTTTCGTTTAATGATACGAGATTTTACTGCAGGAGATGCCACTAAACTAATCACAGTTTGTTTCAAAAGTCTGCCACATCTGCCCAAATGCTATGAGTTCCTGCTCCTGTGGGAAGTCAAGTTTGGAGTGCCTATCACACGTGTGCTTTTTAGGGGGCCACTCACCTAGCTGTTCATGTGTGACTTTTCATTCATTTTTAAACATTTTTTTAGAGACGGGGCCACGCGTGGAGGCTCATGCCTGTAATCCCAACACATTGGGAGGCTGAGGCGGGGGGATCGCAAGGTCAGGAAACTGAGACCATCCTGCCTAACACGGTAAAACCCCGTCTCTACTAAAAACACAAAAAATTAGCCAGGTGTGGTGCGGGCAGCTGTTGTCCCAGCTACTTGGGAGGCTGAGGCAGGAGAACGGCGTGAACCCGGGAGGCAGAGCTTGCAGTGAGCCGAGATCACGCCACTGCACTCCAGCCTGGGTGAAAGTGCAAGACTCTGTCTCAAAAAAAAAAAAAAAAAAAAAAAAAAACTTTTTTAGAGATGGGGTCTCACTATGTTGCCCAGGCTGGTCCCGAACTCCCAGGCTCAAGTGATCCTCCCACCTCGGCCTCCCAAAGTGTTTGGATTACAGGCATGGGCCACTGTGACTGGCCCACGTGTGACTCTTTTTTTATTTTTCTAAATTTTTTTCAGACGGTCGCTCTTGTTGCCCAGGCAATGGCGCGATCTTGGCTCACTGCAACCTCTACCACCCAGGTTCAAGTGATTCTCCTGCTTCAGCCTCCCGAGTAGCTGGAACTAAAGGTGCCTGCCACCACGCCCAGCTAATTTTTGTATTTTTAGTAGAGACGGAGCTTCACCTTGTTGGCCAGGCTGGTCTCAAACTCCTGACCTCAGGTGATCCACCCACCTTGGCCTCCCAAAGTTCTGGGATTACAGGCGTAAGCCACCACGCCCAGCCCCATGTGTGACTTTTTCCAGTTTGTATGTTAGACTTCAATAAAATTTTCTTTAAAAAGCAATTCCTGCATCCAAGCAGTCTCCAAATTAATTGGGAGAGATAAGCTGAACACATGTGAAATACATTTCAACATTCATGGTCTTATTTGCACAAGACTGCCCCAGGTCCTATAGGTAACACATTTCAACATTCATGGTCTTATTTGCACAAAACTGCCCCAGGTCCCATAGGGACAGTGTGAAAAGTCATCAGCTTGACCCTCATGGAGGTGCCACCAAGCACAACTAGTGAAGACCAAAAGCAGAAAAGATGCATCATGAGGTCATGCAGCCAGTGCTGAGGGGGGTGTTACAAGATAACCCGACGGATGATGGAAATAGGGAACGAGACAATCCCCAGCGCCCTGGTCAGGTCACGGAGCGGTGGCAGGCACAGGGTTACAAGGAGCACCCAGCTGCCTGGGACAGGACTTCAGGAAAAGGAGCATCGTGACTGGGGACAGATGTATGGTGGCTGTTACATCCTGGCTGAGAAGTTCAGCTGTGATGACCTGGCCTAGATGAGGTCATCCTTTTTGGAGCATGGGGGTGCACACAGGGTGGCAGCAGAGGCGGCAGGATTCACTGGGGACACAGCAGACTATGCCCAAGGCTGCCAAGTTCTAGGTGTGGCTCTGCTTTTGTGGGTGGCACAGAAGTGAGTCCATCCAACTCATGGCCTCTAGCAGGTCACTGCTGCCTCGGGGCACACACACCCAACATGTGGCAGGAGGGGACTGGGTACAGTCAACATTATCTAAACCAAGCCTCACCCAGGACATCAAAAGAGCCCACCTGGCTCATGCCTGTAATCCCAGCACTCTGAGAGGCCAAGGTGAGTAGATCACTTGAGGTCAGCAGTTCAACACCAGCCTGGACAACATGGCAATACCCCATGTCTACTAAAAGTACAAAAATTAGTTGGGCATGGTGGTGTGTGCCTATAATCCCAGCTACTCAGGAGGCTTAAACCTGGGAGGTGGAAGTTGCAGTGAGCTGAGATCACACCACTGCACTCCAGCCTGGGTGACACAGTGAGATCCTGTCTAAAAAAAAAAAAAAAAGTGCTCAGCAACTCATACTAAAAGTTTACTTCTGATGAATTGGCCCCTTTGGCATTATAAAATGCTGCTTGCATTGTACAAAGCTTCTGAGTGCTGCTTGACAGTTTTAACTTGAAGTGGATTTTATCTTATATAAGCATAGCTCCCTCTGCTCTCTAATGCTTTCAATTTGCGTGGAGTATCTGTTCCCATCCCTTCACTCTCAACCTGTGTTTCCTCAAAGGCCAGTGGGTCTCTTGTAGGCAGCATATAGTGGGGTCTTATATGTTTTTTTAACCCATTCATGCACTCTATGTCTCTTGATTGGAGAACTGAATGCATTTATGTTCAAGGTAATTATGATAGGTAAGAACTTACTATTCCCATTTTCTTAATTGTTTTCTGGTTGTTTTGTAGGTCTTTTGTTCCTTTCTTCCTCTCTTGCTGTCTTCCTTTATGATTAGACTTTCTCTTGTGGTATGCTTTGATTCTTGACTTTCTACCTTTTGTGTACCTACTGTAGGTTTTTGCTTTGTGGTCACCATGAGGCTTACATAAAATACCTTATAGTTGTAACAGTCTATTTTAAGCTGACGATTTAACTGATTCAATAAAATAACTCTATACTTTTAACTCCTGCCCCCCACCCATTTTATGTTTTTGATGTCACAAATGACAGCTTTTTGTGCTGTATATCCCTTAACATATTACCATAGCTGTATTAACCAGGGTTCTCCAGAGAAGCAGAACCAACAGAAAGGCTAGATAGACCGGTAGATGAGAGGGGATTTGCTAGGGGAACTGGCTCACACAGTTATTGAGGCTGAGAATCCCACAACAGGCTATCTGCAAGCTGGAGAACCAGAGAAGCCAGTGGCATGGCTCAGTTTATTGTCAGAGGCCTCAGAACCAGGGAAGCGAATAGAATAACTCAGTCCAAAGCTGAAGGCCTGACAACCCAGGGGACCACTGATGCAAGTCCCAGAGTCCAAAGGCTGGAGAACCTTGAGCTTTTATGTCCAAGGGCAGAAGAAGACGGTGTCCCAGCTCCAGGACAGGGGAGAGTGGGAGAGGCAGAGAAAGAATTTGCCCTTCTTCTGCCATTTTCTTCTATCTGGGCTCTCAGACAATTGGACGGTACTGAGGGCAAATCTTCCTCACACTGGTTCAAATGCCAATCTCTTCCAGGAACACCCTCACAGACACTTCCAGAAATAATACTTTACGAGCTATTGGGGTGTCCCTTAATCTACTCAAGTTGACACCTTGAAATTAACCATCACAGTATCTTTTACTGTTTTAATAGTTTTGTCTTTTAGCCTTCATACTGAAGATGTAGTTAATTTACATACCATCGTTACAGTGTTAGAGTATTGTGAATTCAACCGTGTACTTACATTTACCAGTGAATTTTACACTTTTCAATGTTTTCATGTTACTAATTAGTGTCCTTTTCTTTCAGCTAGAAGAATTCCCTTAAGCATTTCTTATAAGACAGGTCTGGTGGTGGTGAACTCCCTCAGCTGATGTTTGCTTGGCAAAGTCTTTCTCTCCCCTTCATTTCTAAATGACAGCCTTTCTGGGTACAGAAATCTTGGTTGGCAAGTTTTTATTTCCTTCAGCACTTCGAATAGATCACCCTACTCTCTCTTGGCCTGTTAGGTTTCTGCTATGAAATTCACTGACAGGCTCAGGGTCACACAGCCAATTAGTGTTGGCGCTAAAATTAGAAACCAGACGCTGAGATCCTACTGCCCTTGTTACTATTTTGCCCTGTTGCAATGCCAGACATATGAAACAAGCTGAGAAGAAGTCTGTGATCCAACCATTCGCAAAGATTTCCACAAATCCCATGAAACTGCGGGAAACTCAGCCCATGCAACAAGCAGGCAGGCTTTCTGTGGTCATTCAGCTTGAGCAGATTGTTAAAGTCGTGCCGAAAACGGTAAGGCATTCATCTGCTCTCGCTGGCACTCTCTCAGAAAAGACAGTTAACAGAACCAGTAGGAAACATGCTGCCCCTGCCCTGCCCCTGCCCTGGCGGCTGCGTGGTGCCACCTCCAGCTGGCGGAGGCTCCAGGGCAGGGACAAGCACTTCTCAGCACACGCTGCCACCACAAACCACAACCCGGCCATGCCACAGCCCGATGCAGAAGCACGTGGCATCCCCCACGGAAGCTGCCTGCAGTGTGGAGGCAGAGGCTGTAGCTTCATGGAGCTCATTTTAAAAGTTTTGATTAAAGGCTGGGTGTGGTGGCTCACATCTGTAATCCCTGCACTTTGGGAGGCCGAGGCAGGCAGATCATGAGGTCAAGAGATTGGGACCATCCTGGCCAACATGGTGAAACCCCATCTGTACTAAAAATACAAAAATTAGCCAGGCGTGGTGATGCATGCTTGTAATCCCAGCTACTCCGGAGGGTGAGGCAGGAGAAATGCTTGAACCCAGGAGGCGGAGCTTGCAGTGAGCTGAGATTGCGCCACTGCACTCCAGCCTGGTGACAGAGCAAGACCCCATCTCAAAAAAAAAAAAAAAAAGTTTGATTATCAGTATTTCACATCATTTAGGCTGGCACACAGACTGGGCCTCTATCTTCTTATCTCAATATTTGTCCTCAAAATATCAAATCCCATCTAATAAGATGTCATACTTAGACAGGGGATTCTACAAATCCCAAGAGATTCATAGAAAACAAAACCCCACAGCACTTTCAGGTAATTGTACAGATGAAATACTGCCAGCTCAGGCTACAGGGAAAAGATTCAGCACAAAGTGAGACTGGGCACTGCACTCCCAAAGTACTCTGGGCAGGATGCAAGAAAACCTCTCAGCTGCAAACAGAGGCCTCTCCATGGAAAGGAAGAGGGACTCCCCAAAGAGATCCAAGAGCCCAGAGGGTGCAGCCAGGAGTGTGGAAGCCACGCGGGATGAGGCCCGAGCCCTGTCCCGAGGCTGCCAACCTGCACCCAGCTGCACTTCAGGACCGCGTGGGCCACACACCCCTGTCTGCCACACACTTCTCCCTTTCTGAACAGGAAGGTTATGATAGGTACTTTTATGTGTCCCCTTGGCTAGGCCACAGTACCCAGATATTTAGTCAATCACAGTCCAAATGTCACTATGAAGGGTTTTGTTTTGAGACAGAGTCTCACTCTGTAGCCCAGGCTGGAGTGCAGTGGCGCAATCTCGGCTCACTGCAACCTCCGCCCCCTGGGTCATGCAATTCCCATGCCTCAGCCTCCCAAGTAGCTGGGATCACAAGTGCGTGCCACCACACCTGGCTAATTTTTGTGTTTTTAGTAGAGACGGGGTTTCACCATGTTGGCCAGGCTGGTCTCAAACTCCTGACCTCAAGTGATCTGCCTACCTCGGCCTCCCAAAGTGCTGGGATTACAGGCGTGAGCCACTGCACCTGGCCTAAGGGTGTTTTTTAAAGACATGATTAACATTTACATGGGAAGATTTTGAGTAAAGCATGTTTCTATTCACAATATGGGTGGGCCTCGTCCAATCAGTCAAAGCCTTAAAAAGGCGGAGGTTCCCGAGGAGGAGGGACTGCAATGCCAGCACTTCCCTGGCTATCCAGCCTGCCGGCCTGCCCTGCAGATCTCAGACTTGCCCCACCACCATCGGATGAGCCAGGTCCTTCAATCTTGCTCTCTAATCCCTCTCACACGTGCAGACACATGCACACACATGCACACACATGTACCCAGTTGGTTGTGTTTCCCTGGAGAACCCTGACCAGCACGAGGGCCTACAGCAGTTCTCCTGTGCCTGCCCAGGGCTGTGCACTGTGGGCTGGGGGTGGGTCTCTCATTGCTTTGGAACACCAGCCTTTGCATTAGAGGAAGGACTGGAACCCAGGGAGGCACTTTCACACCTGACTTCCATGATGACTTCCTGGAGCCCAAGTCTTGATGCCACAACAGGATGAGACTTGGGGATCGCCGTAGCCTTTTTTATGTGGAAGGGACATGACCTTAGTGGAAAGAGCAGATTCTATTTTCCAAACATGCCGCATGGATGAACCCTGCTCGGCACGCCCATCCCGCCCAGTGAGATTCCCCTGCGCTCACAGTTGAGACCCCGTTCCCTCCCCTTCTACGTGGCAGGCCAGGGACTGAGGGGGAAGCAACACAACATGACCTCCCCGCCTCGTGAGAAAGGTGACCCGGTTCCACCTGGCTGTTTTCTCAGGTCACAGTCCGTGGTGACCCTGACTCAACACACAGGGAGTCCACTGCATCAAGGCTGCCACGCTGCAGCGAGTACATGGACGGTCACACAGTGACAGGGGAAGGTCCCCGAGGGGCCCCTGCTGCGCCAGCCCCCAGTGTGTGAATCCTCCTGGCGCAAGCCTCAGGCAGCAAGTCAGTGGCCTCCATGGTTCCAGCCCTTGGCCTTCAAGCTCCGCATCTGGTGCTGAGTGGCACCAAGGTGAGCTGTGCCCAGCGAGACTGCAGACTTTTAAGCAAAATGAATGCTATTGCTACGAATACAGGAACAGAAAACCAAACACCACGTTCTCACTTATAAGTGGGAGCTGAATGATGAGAACACATGGACTCAGGGAGGGGAACAACACACACTGGGGCCTGTAGAGGGCGGCGGAGGGAGAGCATCAGGATAAAGAGCTAATGCCTGCTGGGCTTAATACCTAGGTGATGGGTTGACAGGTGCAACAAACCACCATGGCACACGTTTACCTATGTAACAAAACTGCACCTCCCGCACATGTACCCTGCAACTTAAAATATAAATAAATGCTATTGTTTTAAGCCACTAAGCTGTGCATGGCTTATTGAACCACCATGATATTGGAACAAGGGTCGTGATACGAATATTCAGAACTGTGAACTGCATCTTGCAGGAATGGGAAGCTATGAAAGGCCCACTATTGTAAGAATTTTAAAAAATAATTGCTCTGAGCTGGGAGTGGTGGTTCATGCCTGTAATCCCAGCACTTTGGGAGGCCAAGGCAGGAAGATCACTTGAGGCCAGGAGTTCGAGACCAGCCTGGCTAACATGCTGAGACCCCATCTCTACTAAAACTACAAAAAAAAATAAATAAATAAGTTGGGTGTGCTGGAGGGCGCCTGTAATCCCAGCTACTCGAGAGACTGAGACATGAGAATTGCTTGAACCCTGGAGGCGGAGGTTGCCGTGAGCTGACATGGTGCCACTGGATTCCAGCCTGGATGACAGAGCCAGACTCCATCTCAAAATATAATAATAATAATAAAAATCATTGTTCTGACTACTGCAGGAGGACCTGTTCAAAGAGAGGATGTGCAGAGCCTCTCCAGAGACTACTGCAGGAGTCCAAGCATGAGATGGAGGTGGCCAGGACAAAGATGGTACACTTCATAGAACCACACCCATATGTATGTCCCCACGACTCTACACCTTTCTAATAAAACAGTAACAATACCAGCTAACATCGGCACCGTGGTTTTTCATTTACAAAACATTCTATGTGCATCTTCCTATTTAATGATTTCACTTTAGGACTCGGGAAGTCTCCATGCTACAAAATTAATCCATATGAAACTCAGTCAAGCTCTAAAGCAGGGGTCTCCAATCTTTTGGCTTCCGTGGGCCACACTGGAAGAATTGTCTTGGGTCACACATAAAATAGACTAACACTAATGATAGATGATGAGCTTAAAAAAAAAAAAAACTCATAATGTTTTAAGAAAGTTTACAAATCTGTGTTGGGCCTCATTCAAAGCTGTCCTGGGCCACATGTGGCTCGTGGCCCATGGGTTGGAGGACCTTGCTCTAAAGTGTGAAGCTCCATCAATTTAACTCAGCCATAAAATCGGCTGACATTACACTTTTACTACACCCTGCTCCAGCGCCCCTCACTGACCTCTCCGTGCTCTAGTCCTCACCACAGGGCCTTTGCACACAATGTTCCCGCAAACTGTCCCCTCCTGGGCTCCTGAGCCACCCCTCTCATCCCTTAGTTCTCGGCCTAACATTCCTCTGTTACGTGCATTCAAGGGAATGTATTCCTCTCCTTCAACGCACTCATCTCCGTGTGTTATTACCTAAGAATTAACGTAATTATATGCTGAATGCCTTTCACTGTATTAACGTCTCAGCTGCAGATAGCAGAGAACTAGGCTGACTTTACTTACAACTGTATTCCCAGCACCTAGGACTGAGCCTGACCCACAGCAGGGTGGGGGGTGGGGGAGCAGGGGAACTCCACAAATATTCAGAAGAGAAGGAAATTCATGCTAATCCTTCAAACAAAATGCACATAAGACATGCAACGGTTTCTATTTCCAAGACAACATTTATTTCAAAATCATTTCTAGCAGGAACCTGGCTGTTGGCAAAAAGTAAACTAGATGCTTTAATTTATTCTTAAAGTTTTTGCTCATTGTTAAATACTTTGCAAACATGTGCTGGATACCAACACTATACTTTTAGCTTAATTACAATGATTTCAAGAGGAAAAAAAAAACAAACTCAAGACCACAATTGACACGATGAGCCCTTGACCTCCGGAGAAGGGCAGATATCGCCCTGAGTCACCAAGGGAACACATGCTGAATGACAGGCTGATTTGTGATCAGGAAACCCGCTGTTCTCCGGGCCCTTCTCAAGCCCACTCAGACACCAGTCCTCCTTGATCACAGCCTTGGATGCAAGGAGGCTTAGAGGCACTGCAGCTGCCTAAGTGATTCCAGATTTGCAGGAGAGCTATTATTACTGAGCAATCTGTGCTCTTGGTATTTAGAAAACAACTGAAACATGTGCCCAGATGGAGGCGTCCACAGCACGGAGAGTCTCTCTGTATCAGCACAGGGACAAAGACGGGACCTGCTGGGCTCCCACTGCCAAGGTTGCTACCTGTACCGGAACATATGGAAACCCCATTGAAGCGGGTTTGTATTGGAGTTTACAAATGATGCGATAAGCTCCAAACCACCTTTCCGGATTCTTCCATCCACCCAGAGCAAGGTGCTCTGAGGTTCAAGTTAGGCCCAGACATCAGTCAACACAGAGTCCTGCTCCCTGGGAATTTCTTTAGTCTCAGAGCCACAACATTTAAGCTTTCTCCCCTCCTCCCAAGCCCAATGCTGGCTTAAATACAGTCACGAATGGTTCAGATGCAGACAGGTTCTGAGAAATGATAGTTAGATAACTTCATCACTGTGCAAACATCACACAGGGCACCTACACACCTAGGCGGTGCAGCCTGCTACACACCTGTGCTCCACTGCACAGACTCCTGCTCCAGACTGCACACCTGTGCAGCGTGCACAATACCGCAGGCAATTGTAACACAATGGTGTTTGTGTATCTACACATTTCTAAGCATGAAAAAGACACAGGGAAAACAGTTTTATAATCTTACAGGACCACCGTCAACTTGGCGGTCTGTAATTGATCCGAACGTGGCTGTGCTACACATCACTATAATGTAAGCAACATCTTTTAACTGATTTTATTATGTGCTGTCCAATGCTATGGCCAGCAATGCCTGTGCAACTGACATGGAAAGTTCAAAGGCTTTACCTCATTACAATTTTTACTTAGTTATGCCCTGATGGGAGCATTGCAATGCCAGTTACCATAAATCTGCACACACGAGGTTGTTGCTGGAGCAAATCTGAAGGCAATGGAACGCTCCCTTCCGTGATGTCAGGAATGGGGAGGATTATTCTAATAATAGCACACTATTAGCTCAGGATAAAAGGCTGAAGGGTTCCATTGACATCCATTAAGGGGTCCTAATTGGAGCCTGAGTAACTGCTCCTTAGTGGGAAATGGAGGCGGGAACCGCGGGGAATCGGGCGAACTTCTCACTCAGGGCCTGAGGGGATGGCTGGAACTTTAAAATCTGACGGCGGCGCCTTTCGTGGGCTGAGTAGAATAAAGCTCGCTGCACTGATTTGTTCCTTTTCTTTTCCTTAGAATAGACACTGGAGTGGGTGGAGGGGGAAACGTGGTTTTGTAGGACTCTAAAGAGGTGGAGGGACTTTGGTTCACCCTCTTTTCATGCTCCAGAATGAGCCCCGCCTGAGAGGAGGGACCCCTGCGGAATCCCGCCCAGACCGCCCGGGGGTCTCCCCAGCACATGGGGCGGGGGCTGCAAGGGGCGCCCGGCAGGACTCGGGAGCCGCGGCGCGGTGGGGCGGGTGGGTCGCGGTGCTCGGGGCTCGCGGGGGTCAGCAGCCAGGACACCCCCGCACCCCGGGCGCAGCGGCGGAGGACCAAGGGCCGCGCTCCCCTCCCCAGGGCCCCGAGTCCAGGAGAGACCCCCGTTCGCTCCGGACAGCCGATCCCCGCGACCGCCGAGAGCCAAGCGGAGCAACCCCGGGAGGAGCCCCCGCCCTGGCCCCGCGCGCTTGGCTTCGGCTTCTGCTCCTGCTTCCGTGCCGGCTGGGGCGGCGGGACCCTCGGCGGGGGCGGTGACTGCGGGCGCGGCGCGGGCGGCTCATTGTCTTCCGGCCGGGGTTGCCGCGTCCCGGGGGAGGGCCTGTGGAGACCCCGCGAGGAGGCCCCCACGCCCCCCACGCGGCCTCCCGGAGGCGGAGCGGAGACCACCCACCGCCGCCCACCCCGCCGCGGGCAGCGCTGCCCCCTCCTCTCCCGGTCCCCCCTCCCCTCCCCTCCGCTCCGCTCCCCTCCCTCCCCTGCCGGCCTCCCCTCCCCGCCTCTCCCCTGCCGGCCTCCCCTTTTCTCCCCTCCCGCCTACTGCCGCTCTCGCCGACCACCTCCCACCCGCCGCCCCCTCCGACCCGCGCCTCGGGCTGCTTCCCGCTCCGCCCGCCAGGCCCCGCCGCTGCCTCCCCGGGGTCCGCCCTACCTCGCCGCGGCTCCTCTTCAGCCGCCGGGCCCGGGACGCGCAGCCAGGCGGGTGGGCTCCGGCGCATGCGCGCGGCCGCTTCCCGGCACCTGTGGGAGCCGCGGCCCGGCCTCTCCGAGCACCTGCGAGCGGGAGCTGCTCCTCCGACCCGCAGCGGGGCGTGGGCGGCAGAGGGGGCGGTGGACAGGCCTCTCCGCCTCTCCAGGCCGCGCGGAGCCAGCGCTCCGGCTCCAGGCTGCGAGGGGCGCGCGCGGGGCGCGGGGAGGGGGGCGGGCGCGTGCACACGGGGCGTTTTCGGGCGCGCGCCCCCTGGCTGGGTCTGCGGAGGGGCTGTGGGTTCCCCGGGGCTTCCCTGCCCCGCGCCTGCCCGCCGGGCGCTTCTCCCCCTCCAGGACCGCGGCCCACGTCGCCACTCGAGCCCGAGCCCGAGCCCGCGCCCACGCGCGGGGGCCGCTTCCTGCGAGGAGGCGGGGACAGGTGTCCGCGGGCGCAAACAGCGGAGTTTCGTGCGCCTATTTTTTGGTAAAAGTAGAGGCGATGCGTTGTTGACATATTTAGTGGTTAAAAACTTATTGCCAAATTCTCAACAGATTCCAGAATTTTTTAAAGTTCACAACACGAGAGTGGACGAAATGTCGGAGCTTTTGCTCATATCCAGAAATGTGGCCTCTGCCTCCCACTCGGGCCCTGCGGTGCAGACGGGTTCAGGGCGGCGAGGACTGAGCCAGGAGCGCCGAGAGTTCCAGCTGCTCCCAGGCTGGGTTCTAATTAACGCTGGACCCCTGCTGGTAAATGCTATTTTTAATGGCTTTGTGCAAATTAATGACGATGAGATTTCCATAAGTACCGAGAGCCAGAGCCTTTACTTTCTCTTTTTGTGTTCTTTTTGCTTGTGACAGTCTTTGCCAGTTCCATGCTGTATACACATAATGAGCCGTTACAACTCCAGCACCAAAGCTAACGCCCCGGGAACATCTTTAAAACCTTTTTCACTCTGTTGCCAAGAAGAGTAGTACCTGCTGTCAGTACTTGAATTACAGGAGGCTGAAACTCAGCGAGCTACTGGGATTTTTTGAAAATTGAAAACTTCCGTTAACTATAGCAGAAACAGACCCTTTTGGTGGAAGCTAAAATAATTCCCATGCTGCTCCGTTTTTATTTTGTTCAGTTTACTCCAAAAATGTTCCAAACTCTACTGTGATCTTCTTAGTGCATCTCTACTTCCTTTCGGCTGCAGAATAATACTTCTTTTTCTCTTTTGTTTTTTTTTAGAGATGGAGTCTCACTCTGTCGCCCAGGCTGGAATGCAGTGGTGCAATCTCGGCTCACTGCGATCTCTGCGTCCTGGGTTCAAGCAATTCTCCTGCCTCAGCCTCCCAAGTAGCTGTGACTACAGGCATGCACCACCACACCCAGCTAAATTTTGTATTTTTAGTAGAGACAGGGTTTCACTGTACATTGGCCAGGCTGGTCTCGATCTCCTGACCTCAAGTGATCCACCTGTCTTGGCCTCCCAAAGTGCTGGGATTACAGGCATGAGCCACCGCGCCTGGCCTAACTACCCCCATTCTTTTCCAGAGAAACGTGAACAGGCCAAACAAAGCCTCACCTGGCTATCCCGCCACCCTGGGGTTGGGCCTCCAAAGGCCCGGGAGGTCACCTAAGACACGGTGTTCTGAACATGCAAGCCCGACAGCATCTTCTCTACCATTCTGCCAGAGTCCAGAGACCTGGGAATAGGTCATACCCCCCACTGCATTTTACAAGCTTGGCATACATTAGGTTCTCAATAAATACTGAATTAATGAAAAAATTGCTGAAGTAACTGAAAACATCCATCCAAACCCCACACCATCTGGTAGATAAGTAGTCTGTGGGGAGTCCCATATTTTTCTTACCTTAGATATTTATTTGGAAATGGACTGTAGGCCCAATATGGTCAATGAAACTTGCAGAGGAACATTTCATGCCTTTAATTAGTTCTTCATAACTGCAGGGACCTCTAGAGTTCCTGAAATTGAACTGGGTTGTAATACTGTCAAGAAAAAGGAGGACCTATCTTAAATCTATTTCAAGGGTAATACTATTTTACTATGTAAATTTTCCCCTGGTCAGGGACAGCCTGATCATGCATGGTAGACTCGAAGCATGCAAATATTTCAACATGCAAAACCGCCCTAAAAATATAACCGAAGCTTATGGAGTTGTCCAGGGTACAGTGGTTTACTGGCCCCTGAATGCGGGACTCCATCAAACTGGGTTCCAGGCTGGGAGGTCTCTGAACCCAATTTCTAGACAGCCTGCTTTGGAGTTCAACTGATGGGACCTTAGACACCAGCCTTACCCTCTGCAAGTCTTGTGATTTGGAGCCAGATACTTGGCCTCTCTGTGCTCCAGGGAGACACCACTGCACCTACCTGAGAGGACTGAAGGAGAGGATCTGTGCAACTCACTCAGGATACTGGATCTTAAGCCAATGGGTGGACTTACATTCGTCACCTCTGATTCTGTCTCCTCCTGCGCGGTGACTTAGCAAACACTTCTTCCTCTCCAGCTCTGCTTCTTACTCTCCAGCTCTGCTGCCCTGTTCCAGTGCTGACGCCAGACAACAGATAATTTCCCAAATGCTTGTATTAGCCCTTAGGAGTTCATGTGTTCCTCCCCCAGCCAATAAAGCTGTTAAATCCCAATAACTGTCAGGAATGGAGCCAATTGCTATAAAGTACTTCCAGCTTCTTGGCATGAAGAAATAATTAGAATATATGTGTTGGCTTTGAAACAACACTCACTGGTTCATTAAAAAATTCTGTGCATATTGTACAAAAGTAGTCTTGGCCTTGGCACTCCCTTAGGTGAACCTTACCCGGCCCTGGCACTCCCTTAGGTGAACCTTACCCGGCCCTGGCACTCCCTTAGGTGAACCTTACCTACTTCAGTGCTTCCTCAGCTCTGATGAACTGTGTGCAATTGCGTTTTTGTCGCAAGCTGCTGCTTAAATACTGTGAAGCTCTTTCCTTATGTCAGTCTCTCCACCTATGTTACCAGCCAGCGCCTGAGACCCTCATATTAAGGAAACAGTGTGTTCCTAAGTCCTCTTTGATATTGTCCACTATTGACTATCGATAGCAAACATGCATTGGCCATGTGCTAAGCATGTCATTCCCCAAATTTTATTTTTTTGAGACAGTTTCGCTCTTGTTGCCCAGTGTGAAGTGGAATGGTGTGATCTCAGCGTACTACAACCTCCACCTTCCGGGTTCACGTGATTCTCCTGCCTCAGACTCCCGAGTAGTTGGGATTACAGGTGTGTGCCACCACGCCCGGCTAATTTTTTTTATTTTTAATAGAGATGGGGTTTCACCACGTTGGTCAGTCTGGTCTCAAACTCCTGACCTGAGGTGATCCACCCACCTCGGCCTCCCAAAGCGCTGGGATTACAGGCGTGAGCCACCGTGCCTGGACCCCAAATTTTAAATTACAGACAGTCCCAGGTTTAAGATGATACCCTAATTGTCCTGATTCGAATAGGGAAACGGAGGCCATGCTTTTTAGTTTTGTACCCCTGGGCCCAGCAATGTGAGGGCATGAAGCCAAGCTCGGTAATTGTTGACTAAATGAAGGAGTGAGGCCTGTTGAGCCCAAATGCCCATTGCTCATCATCCCTGACAGGCTCTCCCAGGGGCTGCAGGGGCCTGGGCACGTGGTTCCCTCAAGCAGATTGCAGGTTACCCACAGGCAACACGCTCTGCCAGTGAATTAACGCTGCTGTCTCCACATGGCCAGTACGTTTATTAGGGGGAATCCTAGTAACCATTTTTCAGAAAAATAAAGGAAATAAGATGGCAACCATTACTTTAAAATAGTTTCAAGGCATATATTAATAATGTTAGAGCAAGTTAGCTGCAATTTAAAATATTTTGAGGGTCGGGGGCAGTGACTCACATCTGTGGTCCCAGCACTTTGGGAGGCTGAGGCGGGCAGATTGCCTGAGCCTAGGAGTTGGAGACCAGCCTGGGCAACATGGAGAAACCCTGTCTCCACAAAAATACAAAACATTAGCCGGGCGTGCTGGCGTGCACCTGTAGTCCCAGCTACTCAGGAGGCCGAAGTGAGAGGATTGCTTGAGCCTGGGAGGTTGAGGCTGCTCTGAGCCATGATTGCGCCACTGCACTCCAGCTGGAGCAACACAGTGAGACCCTGTCTCAAATATATATATTTATGTATTTTAAATATAAATTTTATGTTATATTTATATTTATATATTTATATATATTTATATAGATTTATAGATTTATAGATTTATAGATTTTATTATTTATAAAATCTATAAATATATAAATATATATAAATATATAAATATATAAATATATATTATATATAAAATATAAAATATATATTTATATATAAAATATAAAATATATATTTATATATAAAATATAAAAATATATATTACATAATATAAAAATATATTTTATATATATTTTATTATATATAATATATAATATATTTATAAATATACATTTTCCATATAAAATTTATAAATATACATTTTCCATATAAAATTTATAAATATACATTTTCCATATAAAATTTATAAATATACATTTTCCATATAAAATTTATAAATACAGATTTTATATATAAATTTATAAATATAGATTTTATATAAATTTATAAATATGTATTTTATATATAAATTTATAAATATATATTTTATATATAAATTTATAAATATATATTTTATATATAAATTTATAAATATATATTTTATATATAAATTTATGTTTTAAATCTAAAACATATAAAATATATGTTTTAAATCTGAAACATGTAAAATAGATGTTTTAAATCTGAAACATGTAAAATAGATGTTTTAAATCTGAAACATGTAAAATAGATGTTTTAAATCTGAAACATGTAAAATAGATGTTTTAAATCTGAAACATGTAAAATAGATGTTTTAAATCTGAAACATGTAAAATAGATGTTTTAAATCTGAAACATGTAAAATAGATGTTTTAAATCTGAAACATGTAAAATAGATGTTTTAAATCTGAAACATGTAAAATAGATGTTTTAAATCTGAAACATGTAAAATAGATGTTTTAAATCTGAAACATGTAAAATAGATGTTTTAAATCTGAAACATGTAAAATAGATGTTTTAAATCTGAAACATGTAAAATAGATGTTTTAAATCTGAAACATGTAAAATAGATGTTTTAAATCTGAAACATGTAAAATAGATGTTTTAAATCTGAAACAAGTAAAATAGATGTTTTAAATCTGAAACATGTAAAATAGATGTTTTAAATCTGAAACATACAAAATGTATTTTTTTCAAGGTATCTTTTAATAATGTTAAAACAAGTTATCTACAATTTCCACATAAATATTCATGGTATATCTATATGTGGTCTATCTACGGTTCCAAAAATAACAGGTGGTAGCGACTATTTCCATTTCTCAGTTGAGGAAACTTAACATTCGAAGAGGTCTGCCTAACTCATTCAGGGGCACGCCTTTTCCGTGAGGCGGAGCTAGGGCTCAGATCCTAACTCAGGGCCCTTGTTTACAGCAGTCGCCAAGGAGAACTGCTGTCCAGAGGGGTGAGCAGGTCTGTGCTACAGGACGTGCTTCGTACAGCAGGAATCTGTATGCTAAAAATAACTAAAACTGGCATCCCAGCACCTCCTATAGCTTAATTTCACCCCATGGGTTTCCATACCAATCCTGAAAATATTTCGTGCTATGATTTGAAAGTTATCCTTAGAGTGTAAATGTCCCAGCGTGCATCCTCTTGAACTTGTCTGGGTCGCCCGAGATGGCAGGAACCCCGAGTTCGACGTCAGCAGCAGGAGGTGGCCTGTGGCTGGTACAGCCCAGGAACTGGGATGCGGCCAGGGTTGGCCATCCTGCCAGCGAGGCAGGACCTCCGCAAGGGTGTGTCCTGTTGTCACATAAATCAGTTCTAAACCATGCTGCTATCACTAGAAAAGAGTATTAGCCATAGCTTTGATGCTGTGCAAGGCTCAACAAGACAAAAACCCGAGTAAAAGTGTATCTGTGGTGTTCCTGATCCCACTGCTGGTAATACAGTGACTGCAAACAGATTTCATTTTCAAGCCACTAGTTACTTAGAATAGGTATAAGTAATACATCCTCAAACGTATAAATCCAGTAGGACCATCTGCCAAATAACACATTATTGTGAGCCACAGTTTAAAGATTGTTAAGGGTTGAATCGTGTCCTGAAGAACAACATCCGTTGAAGACCTAAGCCTCGTCCCTTGGAAGGTGACTGTATTTGGAAAGAGGCTTTTTTAGAGGTGATTGCGTTAGTGTGAGTTCGTTAGGGCAGGCCCTCATCCAGCATGAGTGGAAAGAAGTGGAAATTCAGACACAGAGACACACACAGAAAGAAGATGATGTGGGGGTGCCCAGGGAGGAGGGGGGTGCGGGTAGGCGGGGATTGCAGCGATGACCTGCCAGCCACAGAAAGTGGGGAGGGTTCCTGTCCACACTGGCAGCTGGAAGAGATGGGAAGCCTGCTCCCCAGATCCTTTGAGGGAGCGTGGCCCTGCTGACGTCTTGATCGTCAGTGTCTGGCCTCCAGAACTGCGGAGAATCCACCTCTGTGGTTTTCAGCACCCCTTCCCCCATCCCCCCGCGTGTGGTACTGTGTCACAGCAGTGCCAGGACGCTCATTCCAGGGTTTTGTGTCTCTTCCATACAGGCAGGGCTTTCCACGCTATTGGGAGTGACATGTCAGTTTATGATTTTAAAGTTTTCAATCCTTTATAGACAGACAGCATTTCAATTTGCAATACAAATAAAAATTGTAAAAGACATACAAAATACAAAACCATTACCTTAGGTTAAACAGGTGCAAAATCACGCTGTCAAACTGGTACACAACTTTCTAAACACTGGTTTTAGTTTTAGTACTGGTGGCGATGTTGGTCCTTCCTGGAGGGTTCATGGCCCACAATTGTCACACTTTGAGCTGCATAGCTAAGGGTCACCGGGTAATGACTGAGCAATTGGCTGGTCCCGGAGAAACGCAATGCGAATCCGTGTCCTGGCAAAGGCCTCACCGTGCCAGGTGGGCGCAGCTGGAGTGCTTCCCAGACTCGGTTTTTCCAAACAAAGTCTTCCGGCCGAATTAGGCAATACACTTGGGAAAAAGTACTTGTGGGGTATAAATGTTTGAAAATGGCTCTAAACTATTTCCATCAATATAAGAGGATATCTAAGTGCTCAGCCAAATAGACCTCGATGTCTTCTGACCAGGATGACGAATCGCTCCTTCCGGCTGCTGTCTGGGATTAAAATGCTACTGTTTGTAGGGTGCCAGGAAATCACTTTAAAAAACACTAACAGTGAAACTCGGATGGCCTCCCTGTGTAACACCCAGGCCTTTCGGGATGTGGGGATGCACGGGGTTGTGTACTTAGGAGGGTGCGGGACACTGATCAGCTGCAGAGCTTCTGCTCGGGCGCCCTGGGAGGTAGGTCAGCCGCCTGTGCAGCTGCATGGGGCTGGGTCACAGGGAGTGGTCAGACCCGACCTTCCTCCCCGGCTGCCCCTCCCCCAGCTCCAAGGGTGTCTTCTGCAGCAGGAGGCGTGGGAAGTGAGGAGAGTGGGGGCTGACCACAGAGCCTCTCCCAGCTCCACCTGGCTCTGTGGTCCCTGCAGCCCTGAAGCCCCCACACCATCCTGAGAGCCCCTGTTCCTGGCATCCCAGGCGGGAGCCTGCAGGGAGCTCTGGGAGCCACAGAGGAGAGGACTCGGAGGAGACCGGGTCAGAGGGGGGTTGGCAGGACCTTCTGCCCTGGGCGTTTCCTCAGATGGCTTTGCCCTCCTTCTGGGCAGCCCCAGCTGCTCAGCAGTCCCCAGCTTCAGTGGGTTCTTTGCTGGAAAGGACCTGCAATCCTCAAACTGCTTTGGCCTCTGCACCTTCCAGCAGGACCCTGCTGCGATCAGAACTCCTGTGTCCAAATTTTAACACACCAGAGAGTCTCCAGAGAAGTCGCCTGCCGTACCGGGGTCCCACCAGACAGAGCTGAGACAGGAAAGGGACTCTGGATCCTAGGGAACCACAGACCTGGAGCGGTGGTGGGCAGTGTTGGGGGCGCCTGTTGGAATGGACAGCTCTCAGGTAACTCTTGAACCAAAGCACATGCTGAGGAAGGTGAGCGGTGGCAGGCAGGTGGCTCTGTCTGGCCTGGAGGATTGTGTCTCTTTCTCCTCTGCTTCCATTTTCACATCTCCTTCTCCGTCTCTGCCTCCTTCTTAAACAGACCCCTCTGATCAGGCTGGGCCAGCCCAGATAGTCCAGGGTCATCTATTCATTTCAGGATCCTGAGCTCAGCCGCACCTGCAAAGTCCCTTTGCCACATAAGGCCACATATCCACTGTATCCAGGAATGAGGACATGGACATCCATGAGGGGGCCGCTGCCCAGCCGCAGGACACTGCAGAGAGGTGTTAGGGAGGAAGCAGAACACCACGGACGGGACTGCATCTCGGGTCAGGGCCCAGCAGGCCCTGCTCCCCTCCAAGCTCCAACCGCTGCTCAGAGCCGACCCACTGCAAGCAAGCAGTACACGTTTGTTGAAAAATCGAAACCATCTAAGTCAGGAGTGAGGAAATTATGGGATAATCGAAGCAATCGCGGCCCATAGGGATGCATGACTGAGATGGAGTTTGGGGGAAACTGTTACTACGTAAGAGCTCCTACCTACCGACCATGGGTGACACGCAGACACCTTCCCATGCCTGATTCATTCACATCTCCTACTAGCTGTGTGAGGCAGCTCCTACTGGCTCCGTTGAAACAGATGTGAAGTAACTAGCTCAAGCAGCTCTAAGTCCAAGTTAACGTTTGGGTTTCAGGGCCTGTGTGCTTCATCCGTCATTTGTGTTTCTGAAAAGCGAGATGAATAAAAGTTCCAGAATGGCAAACGCGATCTTCGGGCCCCAGGACAGCAGCATTGAGTGATTCTGGTCACACGGGGAGGCAGCCGTGGGCACGCCTGTCCCTGGAGCTCACAACCCGGTGGGCAACCGTGGACCCACAGATCCTGGAACCTGGGTGAAGAGTTCCCATCTAAAGCCTGCACCTCCTCCAGAAAATCAAGAGGGGTCTGTTGTAAACTTTGAATATGTGAAAAACCAAGCCCAAATTTACTGCTTGTGCGAGCCAGATGTACATATGTTGAATTTGCTCAAAATAAGGTAAACTAAAATGTCTCCTGCCACCAGAAATTGTTCTTTCTGTCTCGGCTGAGTATGGATCCAGATCCCTTTAGGCTGTGAATGTACTGTTGGGTTTGGCTTAGAGATGAATGAATGGAAGAGTGTTCACATATGGGCTAATTGGCACTGCTAACTCCTGCTAGCCTGTATGAGAATTCCATTTCATGACCTAAAGAAGAAACTTTTAAAAATTCAAAATAGACCAACAGTGCCGAAATGAGACAGGCACAGTGAGAACAGGGGGGACGTTAGAGACCAGACCAGGACCCCACATGCTGGCAACAAAAGGGAAACCAAGCCGTTGATTTTTGATTGGGTGGAAGATGGTGAAGATGAATCGTCCCTTACTTAACCGACCGACCAGGGTCTTCCAGCCTCTGTGCCATCGGCGTCTGGGGCTGTTCGGGCACTGCAGGATGCTTGGGGTGTCCGTGGTCTCTGCACGTGGAAGCCTGGCGCCCACCCTTTCCCTGACCTCTCCCTGTATTGACCACCAAGGTGTCTCCCAACATTGCCGAATGTCTCCTAGGGGGTGGTGGAAGGTGGAAATTGCCCTGGGTGAGACCCACTGAACTGGAGATGGAACGGGACTCTTGTATGTTAGCACCAAAAAAGCAATTATTTTTTTCATGAGCAGAAGAAAATAAACGCAAGCCCCTCATTGCTAACAAGAGTAGCCCCCACTTTACTTTCTCTCCACTTTGCTTCTTGAGCCTGTGCCTCGCACCCACAATCCAAGGGGTTGGACTCTGGGCAAGCCTGTGGGTGTCGAGGGGAAAGGTGCCTTCTGGGTCACCCTGATTCTTGCACCATGGCATTTGAGCCTGCCTCCAGCACTGTGTCCAAAGACCCTGTCCCAGAGGCCCAGCAGGGCAGGACAGAGACTGGGGGCCAACGGCACACACAGGTGCCTCCTCCGCATCGCAGGCCTGCCCTACCCCAGCGCCCTCCACACACCCCTACCTCCACCACAGAGCTCTAGGCTTTTGTCATCGATGGTCAAGCATCATTCTAGAAGCCTGCAAAATGGCCCCGTCTCTTCTTTATCCTTGGAAAAGGCGGTTCTGCCACCCTTGGCCATGTGCCATCTACACAGGGTGCCCGCTTAGAACCGGAATGTACAGAACCCTCTGGATCTCAGAGGCTGCCGGCTCTTTGGGACTGGAGGGCAGCTTTCCAGCCAGCAAGCCGGGCTTTGTCACCACCGTTTACAATACGCCGGAGGGAAGAGCCCCCGGATGGCACCAGGGCACGGATTCCTGTGGGCAGCTTTTGTTTGGTTTCTGCTTCCAGCCCTTTTGTTTGTTTGCTGCGTGTCCAGGCCGGGCTCCAGGCCGTGCGGTTATGGGCCCTGGCTGAGCCTACAGCTTTCCAGGGCCTGTCTCACTGCCCCTTTACTCTGTAATCCCAACCCTGTCATCCTGACTCGGGTCAATTCTGGTAATGAGGGCGGCCACGTGCCACAGAGCCAGGCTGCTCCACCCAGCAGGAGAGCAGCTCCTACCGCCCCTGGCCAAGTAGCCCGTGGCGAGACTCCCACACACGGAGCCGTGGTGTCCTCGTGTGCAAGATAGGAGTGAATGACACCTCGCATCACTAGGGCCGTGCTCAGAAATGCACTGATCATGGGGAAGGGGCTGCAGCGGCCAGCGCACCCGAGGGGACACGTGCCTTGCGTCGTCCCTGTCACCCTCACTCTGCAGATGGAGGAGGCAGCTCGTAGCTCTGATTTGACAGCTGACAGAAAACCAAAGAGCATGGACTTTCCGTTTCCTGCCCTAGCTCTGCCACTTTCTAACCAGGAGCCCAGAACTTGGTGCATTTTTGTTAGAAACAGCAGAAGCCATCGGACGCAGGCCCGGGAGGTCAGGTAGGCACCGGGGGACCCCTGGGAGCATGATGGTGTTTTCAGCCACCAGAGGCCTCCGCGTCCACAGCAGCACACGTGCGTCCCTCCCCACAGCAGCTGGGGATGCTGAGTTCACCGCCCTGCTCCAACGGTCAGTTCTTCTCAAGGCCCCTTGAAAGAGCAGATGGGAGCAGGGAGCTGACGGAGCCACTGGCTTCCCACCCGAGTGCGCACTGCTCAAACAGGGCCGCAGGGGCCTGGCGGGGAGCACCGTTTCCTGCCCAATACCAATCTGACTGGTACTGGGCTGGTCTTCCCAGGAAATGATGCCAAACTGAAGGAGCCACAAGGCTCTCTGTTACCGGCAGGCTGGACACTCGGTGTGGTCTTAGCAAGGCCAGGCTTGGTGCCAGGGAGCCCACGATGCTGAGCTGGGGGGCCACACACGACCCCACCGCAGTGGCCCGTGTGTTCCTACACCCATTGCACAAACCGACTCTGGCCAACAGCCCCAGACAGACCACTCTGCTCACCCCGGGGTCGGGGGCTTTCTCTCTGGGGGGCATTAACGCAGACACAAAGACACAGGCTTTTGCTCATCCTCCTTCCAACTGAAAGGATGACTGCGTGCCCTGTGTGCAGCCGTTGTGTGCAGAGGCGTGTCCTCCACAGCTTCCCACTGGGCCTTCCTCGCATAGGACGAGACAGCCAGGGCCACAGTTCATGTAGCAAGGACAGGAGCGTCCCCATGCTCCCCCAGGGGCCGGCTGCTGCATGTGGCTGGGTGTGGGTGGGGCAGTGCGATGGACACGGTCAGAGCCACCTGCTTCCTGCATTTTACTTCACTTTCTGAACCTGCTCGGTGCTGTCCCTAAGGTATCGTGTCCACCCCAGCCTGCAACTCACCCATCTCATGACAGCATTCCACGGGCTGCTTAGCTGAGTCGGCATCTGTTCTGGGCTGCAGGTTCATATCCCCCCAAATTAATATGCCAAGGCCCTAATTCCCAGTGTGATGGCCTCTGGGAGGGGATGAGGTCACCAGCGTGGGGCCCTCACGATGGGATCGTGTCTTTGTAAGAGAACTTGCTTCCTCTCCCCGATGGGAGGACATGGTGAGAAGGTGGCTGGCTGCAGGCCAGGAAGGAGCCCTCCCGACGACCCAACCGTGCCGGCACCCGGATCTGACTTAGCCTCCAGCACAGGGAGAAATCAACGTGGTGAGGCTGCCCAGTCTATGGTGGTTTGTTCTGCAGCCCGCGCAGAGACAGTGGCCTCTGCAGGGATCCTGGCGCCCAATTTTGACTGGGCCTAGTACCACCCAAGCTCCATTTTTCAAACGGGAGATAACTGAGAGCCTGGCTCCGCAGCTCTGTGGGCCGTGCTGTTACAGCAACGTCTCAGCATAGTCATATCTGCATCACCATGAGGCCGGGCAAGGCGTCTGTGCTGCAGAAGTGGCTCAGCAGGCTTTTCCCCGCTCTTGGCCCCATTCAAAACCGCCAGCCTTAGAGGCTCCCCAGAAATGAGTTGGAGCAGTCTTCCCATGTGTAGTGCATGCTGGGTCCAAACTCCAGAGGTCCCCCAGTCACTGCTCCCCAGAATGGCATGGAGCGTGGGGTATGGTTTGCCCTTTACCTCATAGGGTGTATCAGGGCATGCTCAGATGCTGAAACCCCAGAAGCTTCAATGATGTGGCAGGCCTCCGATATCTCCCAGCCTGAGGCAGGTACCTGCATTCCTAGGTCACCTGGGTTCTCCCAGGTCCAGGCAGCATGAGATCATCGACACAGTAGTGACCCTGTGGCCTTATAGTAAAGCCAGTGTTGACAGCACAGTGGGCAAGGCAGTAAGTGTACTGCAGTCCTCGCCAAGTCAACACAAACTGTCTTCTCTCCATGGATAGGGTGTGGAGAAGAGTGCAGTTGCTGAATCGGCAGCTGTGCTGATCTGTTCTGGTAAAGACGCTATTTGTCACAGCGGCTGTGACTGGAGAGACTACCTGGTCACGCTGCAGGACCCCACCGCCACCTTCCATCACAGCCTGGTGTCTGCAGTGCCCAGTTCCATGAATTACATGGGAATTGGCGGGCACTGGAATTTCACCATCCTTTGAGCCTCTGACAGTGGCTCTGATCTCTGCGATTCCTCCAGGAAGGCAGGATGGATTTACTAATTTGGTAGGAATGGGGAGGGGTGTTCAGAGCCTTCCAACTGATGGTCCCTAATTCAGTGGCTCTGACTTCACAGGTTAAGGAACCAGTGATGGTTTCTGCCAGCTGCCAGCTCTGTCCATCCCAATTATACACCTGGAGACCCATAGGCCCTTGTGAGACGGACATGGGCCTAACTCTACGCGCCATGTGGCTTTCATAAGACCCCTCTACAGCCCAAGGTGCCGCTCTGCTTGTCTGCTCAGCGGCGACTCAGAGCCTGGACAGTTTCCAAGGTCTGCTCTTTCCCGTTACCACTGCAGTCTTCCCAGCACACGCATGCAGGTCCCTTTGGGGAAGCATCGACCAAAGGGACCTGCAGCCTACGTGTGGGGTCCTTCCTCAGGTGAACCTGACTCCCCCTTCAGTCAGTGAGCTCCGAGCCTGTGAGCTGACTCAGGTGTGGGACTTGGACCATGACCTGCAGGTTTTTGTTCATTGCTGAGCAATGCCTCTTGGTGCCTTCCTGTCTCCGTTCGGGCTGCTGTGATGAAACACCAAGCCTGGCCACGCCCCAGAGGACAGGGGCCCCATCAGGAGGTGAGATCGTGATGCCAGCCAGGCTCCTTGTTGATCAAGTTACCGAGGGTCTACCCAGCAGATGGGGGCCCGGAAGCTGGGGGAGACGCAGCCATTTGGCCCTGGGCTCCCAAGTGTCCTGCTGTCACTGGGTTAATCCCTGTCCAGGAAGAGCCCAGGGCTCTGCAGAGGAGAGGGGGAATAAACCAGCAGTGGCAACCCCAAAGGGAGGCTTTTTCTCTCTTGTCCCATCCTCAGGGCCTAAGACAGAGCTTGGCCTCACCTCTGACACTCATCAGGTGCTCAGTAGAAGCTTGTTGCTTAGAGAACGCACTTGCCTGTCTGCACGGCTTCATTTGTTGGTGATATGCTTGTTTTCCTCATTCACTGTGAAAGCAGAACCCGCGTCCTGGCATAGCGGGAGTTCTTTGTAGCCCACGTTCTCCAACCTCTTCCTCCCTCAAAGCCCTCCCGCGTCTGCCTCTCTCAGGATCTCTGGAAGTCTCTCTTCTCTAGGAGGGCAGAGGGAGTTAAGGAGTCAGTTACACAGACCCCACTCTGTCCATGTCCCGCACCATCAATCGTGTGGAAAGATTTCTGTCCCAGCAAGTTAACTTTACACATCCATTTCATCTCTCCATGTAAGGTGTTGGCCCTGGTCTGGTAAAACACCCACAATAGGAACATTTTACAGGAAACTCATTCTACTCATAACTCAAAATGGAATGGCCAAGTGTAGGCTGGGCATGACTGTGAAGTCAGAACCACTGAATTAGGAACATCAATTGGAAGCCTCTGAACCCCCCTCCCCTTTTCTACCAAATTAGTAAATCCATCCTGCCTTCCTGGAAGAATCGCAGAGATCAGAGCCGCCATCAGAGGCTTGAAGGGTGGCAAAATTCTGCCAACCAACTCCTGGCTCACACTAGGAAACTTAGCACTTTGGGAGGCTCAGACACGAGGACTGCTTGAGGTCAGGAGTTTGACACTAGCCTGGACAACATAGCGAGACCCCATCTCTACAAAATGTTAAAAAGAAAAAAAGAGTTAGGTGTGGTTGTGTGCATCTGTAGTCCCAGCTACTCAGGAGACTGAGGTGGGAGAACTGCTTGAACCTGGGAGGTTGAGACTGCAGTGACTGTGGGAGCCCAGGGGGTTATGGTGAGCCATGATCACGCCCCTGCACTGCAACCTGTGCGACAGAGGGAGACTTTGTCTCTTCAAACAAATAAAGAACAAGTACATGAGTTGCTTGAAAGATTCCCAGTGCCTACTTCCAATTCAGAGCGCGGTGCTCCACGCAGTTGGGTGCGTTGCTGGGATTCAGACACGGAGTCTCCCCAAAGCAGCAAGTGGTGATGCAGCTAGGAACGGGCAGGCCAAGCCCCCCACCCAGCCCCCCGAGGTTGATGTCCCTTTCCACTTGACACAGAAAAGAGGCAACTCATCCTACTGCATTTTAAAATAAAAATACTTTATTGATGAAGTCAGACAGCAGCTAACAGTTTGAGAAGCTTGGGAAGAAATCACTTTCACATGGGGGATATATGCAACCTAGAACATATTTGGCTAAGTCATAAAATTAACATTTTTAGTCATCTGTAAAGTGCTGAGACATTTATTTCTGGTGCCTGCCTGTGTTAGGATTTTTTTCTTGTTATCCGTCCAGTAAGTGAAACACTGAAATACACGTTCAGCAGGATGGCGCTCACTAAGTATGCACCTTGACATGATGGTGTGCACTCATTATGCACGTTCTCACGCGGGGCTGGCTCTGCAACTGCAGAATAGAAACTGATGCGTTCTGCAGAGGAGGCGTCTGCACAACAGACAGGCTGGCCCGAGGTCACGCCTCTTGGCCTGAGTCCCGCTCAGTGACAGCAGCCAGCATGGCCTAGCACCAGGAGTCATTCGGAGCGTGCGTGCTAAAGCAGACACAGCATTCCACGTCAACAGGGGCAAGAAGCTGCACGAAGGAACTAAGCAAGACTTCTCTGCCTATCTCCTCTAATACTAAAGCACACACTTTTCTCCTGTGGATAGTCACTCTATTTATACGAGAAGGGAGGAATAATTTGGTGTTGATGCTTGAGTCCAAATGTTGATAGGCACTGAGCATTTTGGTTCAAAGCAAACATTATTTGTGAAATGCTACAGATAATACATTGACTGAAACATTAACTGTTAATTTTTTAATAGAAAAATGCAATACAAAAATATTACTTTGTTAAAATATACAGTACACACATTATACCACTTTGGAAAACCCAGCTCACTTCTGAAAGCAAATCATGCTAACTGGACTGGTAGGTGTTACCTGGCTTTTAAAATTGTTAACAAATTTTACTCTGAAATTCAAAAATATAGAATATAAATAAAAGTCGTGAATCTGAATCAGGTAAAACTTTTAAGAATTGTTAATAAATGCCTGCACTACTGAATACATATATTTTCTCATAAATTCTTAGTCTGCAAATTCTCTAATATGATACAATAGGTCTGACGCTGATGAAGTTTAACATTTAGTATTCACATATGGACTACAGCAGTCAAAAAGAATGTGGTATTTTCCCAGAACTGCACTCAATTACTCGAAAATTGCATCAGTCTTCTGCCTTCGTGAGAAGTGCTTGTAATTACTTCTGCTGTACAGAAGAGAAGGAAGGAATTGGCAGGGACACCACCATTACGCTATTGCACGTTTCTCCCCCAAATACTGTTTTTAATTTATTCCCAACCAGTGTAGACACAGCTTAACCACTCAGGCTGTAGGATTAGCTGAGAAGTCACCCTTGATTGCAAATTCTGACAGCAGAAGGCGGCCGTCCTGCTTATATATTCAGCAGAGGGATCTGCCAGACCATGACGGTCGGCGCCAGCTCTTCCTGGTGGGGCTGCCGGGCCTTCCTGTGCACCCGGCGGTGGCCCTGCCCTCCACAGACCACCAGCGCCGAGCTGGCCTTGGCTTTCTTGGCCCGGCGTGCTTTGCTTCTCAGCGAGACAGGATCCTTCAGGAGATCATAGATGGTGCTGTCCTCTGATCTGTGCTCTAGAGAGCTGGAGCCGTGAGACAAGCTCAGGGACCCAGATGAGGAGGACAGGTCGCTTTTCTGAGTCATCGATCCCAGCGAATCTCCCAACCAGATGGCTGCGTCAGGGTCACCCTGGCTCAGAGATGAACCAGCTCCTCCACTCGGAAGTGCGTCCTTCTGGTCTTCGTCCTGAGGCTCGGGGCCAGGAGCCAGGCTGTCCCTGGATTTGTCCTTGTCTTTCTCGTGCAGAGCCGTGGCCAGGACGATGAATTTGACAGGACTGTTGTGTGCATGGTAGGAGACCATGCCTCTTCCTGAAAAGGGAAACAGTTCAACAGCTGTCTTTTAAAATAGGCAAAATTTGAGACAAGGAAGCAAAAAGTGCAGGGCTTAACCCCAACGCATTCCTCCCTGCCCAAATAACAAAGCCTGTAAGTAACTTGCATACATGAATAATAAGCTACGATGAAAATATCTGGATTATATTCCTCTGGGTTTTTACTTAATGTGAAAAAGGCTTTAAAAATGATTTTCTAAAATAGAAAGTTGTGTTTTCCTCAGCACTATTTCAGTTCTAATACTCCTACTGTACTTTTCAAAGTAATAAAATAGTCATTTTTCCATTCTGCATAAAATACCTTCTTACTTACCCTATGGAAATATCCCAAATTTTCCTAAGTCTTGATTAGAAATATTAACGCCTGAAATGTGTTGGTTTGGGAAAGAAATGACTAAACTACCGGCTGCCTGCCATTTTTCATTACAAAAACGTTCTGGGGTTCAGAACAATTTAACTCTATAATTTGATTAAAATTAGGACTTTCAGTTTTCAGGTGATGTGATTCAAATTTTAAAGTCACGATCGTATCAGAAACACCTGCAGGTCTTCTTAAAGCCACACACAGCCCCGCAACCCCCACACTGATTCTGTAAGCATCACGTGGACCTGGCGTGTCTTCTGGATGCTTTGTGGGTGACATGACATATGGACAGGGGCACGTGTCCTTTCCCCAAGTGCTTTCAGATGAAACAGGCCCCAGCCCTCACCATCATCCTACTCTGGCCAAGGCAAATGACATCACTGAATCTTCCACCGTGGTGAGAGTCCATTTCCCAAAGAGGAGAGTGGCAAAGTGAAGTCTGCAGGGAGCAGGAGCTGGGGGGACTGTGCAGGGACAGGCCCGCTCATCACCTGGCGAAGCACACACCTGTGATCCCTGCACACCAGCGATGCTGCCCCTGGGCAAGCCCCCAGAAGGAGCTTCTGCCCATGTCAGCAGAGCCAGCCACACAAATATACAGAGGCTTGATGTGTAATGCAAATGGGTAGCACCTAGCTACCATCCAAAGAAACACAGTGAGTGCACGTCCTTTCAGGAAGCACCTAGCTACCCATCCAGAGAAACAGTGAGAGTGCACCTCCTTTCAGGAAGCACCTCGCTACCCATCCAGAGAAACAGTGAGAGTGCACCTCCTTTCAGGATGCACCTAGCTACCCATCCAGAGAAACAGTGAGAGTGCACCTCCTTTCAGGATGCTCCTAGCTACCCATCCAGAGAAACAGTGAGAGTGCACTTCCTTTCAGGATGCTCCTAGCTACCCATCCAGAGAAACAGTGAGAGTGCACCTCCTTTCAGGGAGCACCTAGCTACCCATCCAGAGAAACAGTGAGAGTACACCTCCTTTCAGGGAGCACCTAGCTACCCATCCAGAGAAACACAGTGAGTGCACCTCCTTTTAGGGAGCACCTAGCTACCCATCCAGAGAAACTGTGAGAGTGTGCCTCCTTCCAGGATGCACCTGGCTATCCTCCAGAGGAACAGTGAGAGTGCACCTCCTTTCAGGAAGCACCTGGCTACCCATCCAGAGAAACAGTGAGAGTGCACCTCCTTTCAGGGAGCACCTGGCTATCCTCCAGAGGAACAGTGAGAGTGCACCTCCTTTCAGGGAGCACCTGGCTATCCTCCAGAGGAACAGTGAGAGTGCACCTCCTTTCAGGGAGCACCTAGCTACCCATCCAGAAAAACAGTGAGAGTGCACCTCCTTTCAGGGAGCACCTGGCTATCCTCCAGAGGAACAGTGAGAGTGCACCTCCTTTCAGGGAGCACCTGGCTATCCATCCAGAGGCAATGAGGGCACCTCCTTTCAGAGGCAGGCTGCAGGCAGGGAGAGGAAAGCACTATAGCTGTGGCACCAGCAGGGACTGACCCCAGCAAGGCTGAGAGAAAAAGCAACAGAGGCTGCTTGCACCATGGGACAGCTAGGAAAATGCAAAAGCCGGAAAGGTGAAAAGTACCCTTTAAGATACAAATTGGTACAACTACAGAGGAGGACCAAAGGAATAATTGACGTAAAACTCAGCATCATCATTTCCTAGGGTTGTGAGCAGAGAGGGCTGAGGCTGAGAAGGGGCAGCTGAGGCTCAGTGTGTGAGTCACAGCCCCTTCTGACCTGGGCACAGGCAGGTGGCCTCTTCTCGTTACCATTTAAACTGTGAAACTGTGCGTTATGCACAATTCTATGTATTTACAGGCTGAGTGTCACTTATCTGAAATTCTTGGGACCACAAGTGTTTTGGATTTTTTTTTTTAATGTTGGAATATTTGCATTGCACTTGCCGGTTGAGCATCCCAAATCTGAAATCCAAAATCTGAATTCCTCCAATGAGCACTGCCTTTCAGCATCACGTCGACACAGAATTTGGAGCATCTGAGGCCAAGGCAGGCGAATCACTTGAGTTCAGGAGTTCGAGACCAGCCTGGCCAACATGATGAAACCCCACCTCTACTAAAAATACAAAAATTAGCCAGGCATGGTGGCTGGTGCCTGTAATCCCAGCTACTAGGGAGGCTGAGGCAGGAGAATAGCTTGAACCTGGCAGGCAGAGGGTGCAGTGAGCCGAGACTGTGCCACTGGACTCCGTCCTGGGTGCCAGAGTGAGACTACGTCTCAAAAAGAAAAAAAAAAAATTGGAGCATTTCGCATTTTGTTTTTGGATTTGGGGTCCTCAACATGTACAATCCCATATATCATAATAAAAACATAAATTAGGAAATGAATGGCAAAACTAGAATTCCTTAATCCTTGTGGGTGGACCTGCCAAAATCTGAGTGCACGGAAGCCACCGTCAGGTCGGCCTGGGAGGAAATCACAGAAATGGAGCCCGTAGGAACAGTTCTGCTCTACAAGCTTCCTGCAAAGCGTTTTCTCTGTTAGTATTTCCCCCTGGCTGACATAGTAACCCACATAGAATCTAAGGCTGTGGTTTACTGAACTTAACAGGACGAGGAGTTTTCCGCGTCACTGCAGGCTCTGCACACACCACTTCTGCTGGCTGTGTTCTACCCATTACCGGCAATGCCACCATTTTATTAAATGGCCCAATCCGTCATTACGAACTGCGGGTCACCTCCTGTTTCGTGCTGTTAAAAATTAAATGCTGTGGCAAATGTCTTCTTGCATCATACTTTGTTCCTAGCTTAGGCTGTTTCCTGGGCCAATTCCCTGGATTGGGAATCCTGATTCCAGACACACAAGCATGTTTTAAGGCCTCCAATCCCTAACGGGACTGTGTCCAGAAAGGCCATGTGTTCCAGCCTGAGCTCTTACTGACATTGCAATAGCACAATGGAGCCTTTTCGGATCCCCGGCTTCCTTCTTCACAATATAAAATACAGAAAGGAAAGACGGAGATCCCGGCTTCCTTCTTCACAACATAAAATACAGAAAGGAACGACGGAGATCCCGGCTTCCTTCTTCACAACATAAAATACAGAAAGGAATGACGGAGATCCCGGCTTCCTTCTTCACAATATAAAATACAGAAAGGAACGACGGAGATCCCGGCTTCCTTCTTCACAACATAAAATACAGAAAGGAATGACGGAGATCCCGGCTTCCTTCTTCACAATATAAAACACACAAAGGAACAACGGAGATCCCGGCTTCCTTCTCCACAATATAAAACACAGAAAGGAATGATGGAAACTAATTCTGGCAGTAAACAGAATATAAAAACATAAGATTCTCCTTGGACTACTAAGGTAAAAAATGGAAAAATATATAAATTGATAATTCCAATTAAACAGTCTATTAAGTCATTATAATACACTGAAAAACCACAGATAATATGAATTGTTTAAAGAATCCTAGGATGTTAAATCACACTACACACTGCTATGCTCCACGAGCCTGCAAGACAGGATGCAGCCACTCAGACTGCAGGTGCCACTCACCGGTCACTTTGGGAATCCCTTGCAGACGTGGGACCGGCAGGGCCACGAGGACTCCCAGGCTGGTGCCGACCATCAGCAATCCGTGGCAGACGAGCAGGCTCGTCACCGACAGCCGCTGGTGCCCTGGGCGGAAAGACATGAGTGGCTTCGGGTCTGGTTTGTGTAGCAGAGTTGGTGGGGCGGTGACGGGGTGCTGGAAACCCCACAGGCCTGTCGTGCCACCACCAAATCCGCCAGGGGCAGGATGTGGCACAGGAGTTCCCAAACCCGAGCACCAGGCTCCCTCAACCACATGAGCAAGACAAGGGTCTTGAGGGCATACCCTGCACCTGCACCTGAACAGAACAGGCCAGATGTCTGGTTGGGTCTCCTGGGCTGTCGTCTGCATGGCTCTGCTTGGCCGCTTCAGCCATGAATCAAGCCCCTGGATGAATCTGTCTAAACCTTTTGCTTCTGGGCCGTGTAGCACGTGAGCTCGTGAGCCCCCGACATACACAGCGGCCTGTGGTTCTTTGGGAGCAGAGAGACCCCTTTACAAGTGAGGAGAGGTCTCTTAATGGGCGCGGCTGGACTCGAGTAACCGGCCCTCAGCCGCAGTTGGACCCTAGAGGGGAACTGAACGGCCTCTCCAGGGCTCTGCGTGAAGAACAACATCGTCACACAGCCTCAGCGCTGGACACAGCAGGGAAACATCACGGTGGATGGTGGGGTGAGAAGGGCCTTTGAGGCTCTTTGTTAGTTTGGTTTTGATTTGCTTTACAGCCAAGGATCTGAAGCCCAGAGAAACTAAACAATTTGCTCCGGCAGTGACAAGGCTAGAAAGTGGCTGCAAAACAATGTGGGAGACGCATGGCCTATTCCAAGACCCCGCCTCACGGCGGTTACAGGGAAGACCCCGCCTCACGGTGGCTACAAGGAAGACCCCACCTCACTGCAGTTACAGGGTGGGAGCCACATCACCTGCTCCAAAGACCCCGCCTCACTGTGGTTTCAGGGTGGGTCTGGACTGTCACATCATTCCACCACAACTCTGACACAATCGTCAGCATCGCGGCCTTCACACACAGAAAAGCTAATCCCCAGTGTTTCTCTGTTTAGCCCCAAAGCTGAGGAGCACAGTAGGCCCATTTAGCTTGCTCCTGAGAAGTGACGGTGAACACTTAAAAACAGTTTGATTCTTTTCTGTAGATATAAAAGCTATTTTAAATATCCCTGCATTTGACCCAAAGTTCATCTCTGATAAAGAGCATGAAAAACAACCTCACACCAGAGCCAAAGACTCCGTATCGACAGAGGTCAAACAGCCTCCCCCAAAACAAAAAACCCTCACTACAGAAAAAGAAAGACATTTGGTTCTATTTCTAAACGCCGATTCATATTATTTTTAAAAGCTCAATAATATGCATGTCCCAGGAATTCTGAATGTTGGCCTGGTCGGCGTGACTTGGTCAGGGCGATAGTGAATCCACAGCGCTGTCCTGTACGTAAGCCGGTGCTGTTACTTTCTAAAGCTAATGAGAAACACGGCAGCAGCTTCAAAGCTGATACGCAGGGTACGCGATTCCCAGCTGCTCCGAAGTGCTGACCGCTCTACAACACGGGGAGCAGCCCGGGGCGCAGCCGCAAAGGGAGTGTGGATGATCTTTCTAGAGCAGCAGTTTGACTCAACAGTAAGTATTTTAAGCATGAAACATGATTGTCTTATGAGAGAGAAAACCGGTGTGCATATGAGTTCAGCATCAAACCTGAACCCGGCCTCCCCGGCCCTCCGTGTGGCACTAGGATGGGAAGCAGCCCCGCTGTGGGAGCAGGGATGTGAGATACTGGGAAGGGGAGAAGCCCCACCTGCGTGCCGGGCAAGGCTGCGGCTGCGTGACTGAAACGATGGCCCGGCTTCTGGAAGGGCTCCTGTAATGCTGGCCAAAGCTTGCATTTAATAAAAAGGGTAGGCCGGGCGCAGTGGCTCATGCCTGTAATCCCAGCACTTTGGGAGGCCGAGGTGGGTGGATCCCCTGAGGCCAGGAGTTCCAGACCAGCCTGGCCAACATAGTGAAACCCCATCCCTACTAAAAATACAAAAAAAAAAAAAAAAAAAAACCTAAAAAACAAAACAAAAAAATACAAAAAAACTAGCTGGGCGTGGTGGTAGGCACCTGTTATCCCAACTACTCAGGAGCTGAGGCAGGAGAATTGCTTGAACCCGGGAGGCGGAGGTTGCAGTGAGCCAAGATCGCACCACTGCACTCCAGCCTGGGCAAAAGGAGTGAAACTCCGTTTCAAATAAATAAATAAATAAATAAATAAATAATAAAAAGGGTAAAAGCAGGTAGAAACCCGATATGAATGTTTTTAACTGGTTTCAAAGTACCCAGGAACGACGTAAAAGAGTTAAGTTCCAGAGAGTGGTTTTCCATTGCATTTTCCAAGCAGTCTGCCAATCAACATCTTTAATTTTACATGGGAAAGCTGAGGGCCACAGTCACGAGGTCATGCGGTCATTTTCCGATTCCAGAGGCTGCGGTGAGTGCCGCTATCCAGGCGTCCCGTGCCCGTCCGGAAGCACCAACAGTGACCTAGAACAGGACAGCAGGGCGTGTCCCAGATGGGGCTGGGTCCCGGGAGTTGGAGCCCACGTGAGGTCCGCTGGCGAGGTGGGAGGCAGGGGCAGCTGAGGTGGTGAACGGTGATGCAGCTGCACAGTGAGGTTGGTAAATGGGTTACACGTGTGAAGTGGGACTGACTGCACTTGAGCGGCTGCTGGATGGTGACTCCGTGGGGAGTCACCAGGGCCTTCTGCAGGCAGCCACAGAGGCAGACGCATCTCCCGCCCTGGAGGCTGGGAGAAGCTGGGGGTGTAAACAACACCATCCAGGTTCATTCAAATAACCTCAGAGACAGAACAGTGAGTAGAAGAAGCAATACGTCCCCCAAGTATGGGAGGGAATGCTACCAGGGGGATTCGCCCTCTGCTCTTCCCAGCCTGGAACATAAAACAAAGGACAGGCCAGGGCCACACCGGCCACCGAGAAAGGCTGTGGCTCCCAAGTCCTCAGTCTCGTTCGTTAACTCACCATCTTGAGTCCGGTTTCATTTACTGAATTCCCTTACGGTGTAGTCCATGGTCTTCAGAAAAGTTACACGTTTTTTGTCTTTTTTTTTCTAATGGAAATTTTGGCCATTTTATTTGGTCACATAGTTCCTGGAGGCTCTGTATTCGCTCGGTGGAGACTCAGAAAGGCGCAATTTACCATGTGTCTCAGCACTTTCCCATCAAAAATATCCTCCTTTGAACATGCGGGACAGAGCAGGAAACATCTGCCTGGTGATGTAACCTACTGCAACTGCTCACAACCTAAAAGCTGAGGCGCCGTGAACTCACTCGCTGTAAACTCTACTCCTTTATAACTTAGAAAGGTAACGACCGCTCTAACGAATGTGTATGTTAATCACAGACCTTCATCAACTGTTAGTCTGTGTTGAATCTGATGTAGCTTATGTGAAAGAACGTGAGCTAAATGGTTTTCAGAAGTGAATTCCAAATAGAAGGAGAAAAGCCAGGGCCTTAGCTACAGATTCACGGATTCCCCAGGGGCCAGCGTGCTGAGACCCTGAGGAAGGAAGGAGGTTTCATCACGTTGTGTGAACTTACACAAAAGGCATGAGTTATAATACAGTTTGTTTTTTTCAAATTTTGTTGTTTCGGCTTGGCAAGTCTTCATTTGCAGAAGCTACCTGACTTTTATATTCCAGCAATAGCACAAAAAGATAATTTTATGTCTTGTTGCCACACACACACACACACACACACATGAAAACCCATTTGAGCATCGTCATGAATACAACTCTAGAATGAAGGTTTTGTGTGTGTGCGAACAGAGCACAGAGGACATGTGTGGGCCTCCAGGAACCATCTTGGACGATAAGGAGGAGAAGAACCCAGGAGCAGTGACGGCCCGGCGACCTCAGCATCCGCGCACTTCAGCACGGTATGAGCATGCCCCCACCGGAATGTCTAAATACAGCATGAAATGCAATAATGCTTATTTCTATGAAATATATGAAATATTAGCTGAAAGGCAAAGACGACTAGACAGAGGAGATGAGATGAAAGGACTCTCTGGAGGAAAGGACTCTCTGGCCTGCTCATTCCCTCTGAGTCACAAAATGCAATGAAAATCAGAACCATTTCAGTCTATGCCGCACTGAGGATCTTACAGAGAATCACTGTCAGAAGCATCACAAACAAAACTGAACTTCTGGTGTCACCGAGGTTGCCTCTAACCCGTGTACCTTTCTCCTGCTGACAAGGCCACGGTGGCAGCAGACCACAGCCTGGGAGCAGAGAACTGAATGTGGGTAAAGCAGTCAGTGTACCCCAGAAATCAGTGAAGCTGGAGCTATTTCCAACTTAGTACCGAAATGCCGGAGAAACCTGCCAACGAGAAGCACGGCACTCCATCTGGACAGACTCATGTGTTTGCTTTCATGCGGGTCTAAAATGCAGACCTGACTATGTCGTGTAGGAATAAGTAAAGACCCACGATTCAGGGGCCCCCGGAGCAGGGGGCTGAGAGCACGCACTGTGGCCATGGAGAGCCAGCCCAGGATGTTGGAGGGGCCCGGGAGAGTGGGCGCCAGGGGATGGTGGCTCTGCAGAGCCCCATGCATCTGCTGCCAAGTGAGAGGCTTGTGGTGGGCTTGGGATGGATCCATCATCGGCCGCCTGGAAACTATGAGCTGAAGGGTGAAAAGTCCCAAGGAAGGCTCAGCGCCCAGCCACAGACAACTTCATCATCCAAAACACGCAACACAGGCAGCTGCGATTTAGCCAGAACCTGCGACCTGAGCAGCCGGCAAGGGGTCTGCATTCTGTTTCTGGGTGGGTGCAGGACTGTGTTGGGTGCTCTATGCTTGGAGGGAAGCAGGATAATTCCATCTTTCTCTTCTACAGGAGAGGTCAAAGACAGTATCTAAAACAAAGCATCAAGAACCTGCCATACAGGAGTGGCTTTCGAGCAGCAGCAGTAGGGAGGCGGGCGGGAGAGGCAGCTGACAGCGGGGTGGGGTATGGGGACAGTGCGGGGGGCCGGGGCGGGTGCTGACAGTGGGTGGGATGCTGGGATGAGAGGGTGGGTGCTGAATGCGGGGTGGGGTGTGAGGATGGGGGCAGGGTTGGGTGCTGACAGTGGGTGGGGTGCTGGGATGGGGGCGGGGCTGTGAGTCCCCAGAGCGCAGGCTTTCCTATCCTGCTTTGCTTTTCATAGCCTGGGCGTGAGTGCTGTTGGGTTTTATTAAATCGTGTGCAAGGGTTATTTTATTAAGAAATCAAATTCAAAATACAAACTCCACTCACACTTGCCAGAGCCTTCCCTTGATTAGGAGTTTCTTTCTGATCCCACCCGGAGAGGGATAAACACCAAGGATCCTGCAGGGCCGCTGCATTTCCGTGGCTGCTCTCGGAACTCTGAAACCAGGGTAACCGTGGGCTGCTTCGCCCCGGAGGGAGGTCTGCGCTGCAGGGCAGCTGGGGCAGGATTTGGAGGCTCGGGTGCTGGAGCCCACGGGAGGTCGAGTGGAGAGGTTTTTCTCATAACACCCTCCTCACCTCCCCTTGTGTACAGAACTTTGAACACATGGACACTCACTGCCGCGTGAGAGCGTGCTTTGGCAATTACGGATGTGACTTGGTTTTGTCCCAACAAGGACAGCCTATTCCTGCAGCAAACATTTGCTCTAGCAGTGAGTGCTCCAAAGAAAACACAAGGTCCACAGCAGAGCGTCTGCTTTCTGAGCCACAGGGACTTAACCATTTTGGTTCTCTAAATATAAACTTGCATGTTACATAAACCTCCTTTTCTCACTAAGAGAAATCTCCTGTAGTATTTTAACAATGACTTGTACAGTTAGCCCCTGAGAAAAGAACGGCTATCATGGACCCACCGTGCACCGAATATATTCACCCTCCCATCTCCAGTGGGAGTGCGGCGGGGACACGGAGGCCCCGAGGAACATCCTCAACACCTCCTCGGCCTCCTCATCCTCCCCTTGTCAAAGGACGGCCTCACACCCGTTCTAGAACCAGACCCCTAATCATTGTGGTTTTTTTCAACGTATCATAAATGGCCCGTCATGGACTGAATGTTTGTGTCTCCCCAGATTTCGATGTTGAAGCCCTGCCCGCAGTGGGATGGTGCGAGGAGGCGGGGCTTTGGGGACGTGATTAGGGTTAGATGAGTTCATGAGGATAGGGTCCCCATGATGGGATTAGCACCCTTATAGGAAGCGGAGGAGACCCCAGGGCTCTTTCTTCACCACATGAGGCCCCAGCCAGAAGGCACCAACTGCAAAGCAGGAAGCAGATCCTCCCAGAAACCGGCCCTGCAGGCACCGTGCTCCCCGGCATGCTGCCTCCAGAACGCGGAGGGGCAGCCTCTCTGGCTTGTAAGCCAGCCCGTCTGTGGCGTGTGTCACAGCAGCCGAAGGGCTCGGAGGCAGAGCCCTTACTTCATGCCTTCCCCTTAAAACTGCAAATGTCTTCCAATACCCACCAGCAGGCAAAGAAGCAAAACAGCCCTTCCACGGACCCCACAGCGGCCTCCGGCTACCCGTGAAAGAAGCCGGTTGGGCCCCCTCCTCATTTCTTTCCTCCATCCTGTTGTAGGATGATCCTCCCAAAACTCAATGTGTAATGGCCTTCTCCCCTGCCCAGAAACTTCAGTGACACCCACCAGCAACAGGGCATTCACAAACATAGGCCTCTGTTGGCCTCTCCCCAACAGCCCTCCCAGCCAAAGGGAGGCCTCCTGTTCTGTGTTCTTCAGCCTCAGGTCCTGGCTTCCCCAGGGCCTTGTTGCACCGATGATGAGAAATCGTCTCCCACCCACTCTGACCTACAGAGATGGCACTGCCACGCGGCTCCTCCCAGCACGCGGCTCCTCCCAGCACGCGGCTCCTTCAGGACCTGTGCCCTGCACCGGGAAGCGCTAAAGTGGGCTGACCATGCTCCGTACTCCCACGTCTGTCCCTGGGCCTTGTCCCACCCCATTACCTGGCAGCATGTTGTGAACAGTGTCCTGCACTGGGAAGCGCTAAGGTGGGCTGACAGCGCTCCGCACCCCCCACGTCCGTCCCCGGTTGCTGTCCCATCCCTGGGCCCCGTCCCGTCCCCTTACCTGGCAGCATGTTGTGAACAGGGGTGGCGATGTTGATGTCCTGCAGGTGCTTGAGAGTTTCCGTGTGAAAAAGGCGGAGCGTGGACCCTGAGGTGAAGGCAATCCAGATCCCGACGCCGGACACGGCCATGTGGGAGATCACCATGCCTTCCTCCTGGTGGGCCTCCAGCTGACCCTGTGAAATCGAGAGGTCAAGTCTGCTAGCCCCGTGGAGTGAGTCTGAGTGGGGCCTGTTGGGTCCACGTGGCGTCCAGCTGGAGCGCCATTCAGTGGCTGCAACACAGTAGCAGGCTTTGCTCCAAATCACAGGCGTCTCCAGCAACCAAACACCAGCAACCCAACTGCCTGCCATTTTCCAATCATCCTGGCTCCTTTGTGAGCCCAGAAAATGGCCATTCCAAAGACACAGGCATGGTGCGCCTGCCGAGGGGCCACTGAGCTTGTGTCCTAAAGGAGACATGGGCAGGCTGGCGAGGGGAGGCACAGGATCCATCCCCCCAGGCCCATCAGAACCTGCTGGAACCTTCCTCGATGTCTCCAAGCTATGGCATGGGGCCCCACTGCCTGCCTGCAGCCTGACCCTGGTTCTGAGTCTGTGCCTCCTCTTAGCTCTGCTGTCCTGGAAAGGCACCTTCTGCTTCTCCAAGCAACTTGGTCCTTCTGGAGCTTCCAGGCTCAGCTGCAGCCCCGCAGCTCCGAAAGTGCATCCCAGCGGCCTGCTCTGAGGGGTCCCACGGGTGCCTGGGCCTGGGCCCTCGTCACCCCACAGCCAGCAGGAGCTGCTAACACAGCGACCCCCCAACATGGCCTCAGGGGCTGCCTGGAGTTCAGGCTCTCTGGGATCAGTCCCAGGAGGACTGCCCCCGCCTTGCCCATCAGGGATTGGAGGGGGTGACAGAGGGTGAGGGCTGGGATGAAGCTTAGAGACACTGCGTGCCCCAGGAACCAGCAGCCTCACAGCTCTTGAAATTAAAGAAACTCACGATCCTGCACAGTTATCTAAAGTAAAGTGATGAAACTCATAAAAACCCACAGGAAATAACCAGACTGACATCTTGGCCCTACGAGTTGTCCCACAATCTGAGAATAAGGGAAAAGACGACAGCCCCCATGGTGGAGACTGCTGACTCCACACACATGCCCCGTGGCACCAAACCCCATCCTGCGGCACTACGCCGCGCCCAGAGCCCAGTGAACCCGGCGGGCAGGAATTCAGGGATGCGACTTCAGTGGATGGGAGATCCCTTCTCCCATGGCATCGCCTCTTATTTCAGTTGAGATTCCATCAGGGACAGGGGCCAGAGGACTCCAGCCTACACAGGGGCGCTGCAGGGCCTGAGAGCTGAGGAGAGGACTGTGTCCTCAGGCTGGGCACGCAGGGCTGGGGTCCCGAGGGAGGCGACACGGTGCGGGAGGCTGGGGCCCCCAGGGAGGCGACATGGTGCAGGAGGCTGGGGTCCCCAGGGAGGTAGCACGGTGCGGGAAGCTGGGATCCCGAGGGAGGCGACACGATGCGGGAGGCTGGGATCCTGGGGGAGGCGACACAGTGCGGGAGGCTGGGGTCCCGAGGGAGGTGACACGGTGCGGGAGGCTGGGGTCCCCAGGGAGGTGACACAGTCAGGGAGGCTGGCCCACACGGCCCCAAGTCCCATCACTGTGGGTCTTGAGCGGGCTCCACATCTGACTGTCCACCCCCCTGGAGCAAACTGGAACCCCCCAGGTCCCCTGATGTGAAGTGAGAGCCCCACCTCTAAAATGCCCATTCTAGAGTCAGCCGTGTAATACCTCTCGCCATATGCCCGTAGTTTCCTCATAAAATGCCCATTCTAGAGTCAGCCGTGTAATACCTCTCGCCATATGCCCGTAGTTTCCTCATAGAAAATTTCTTCAATAATCACAAGTTGAATTTAAATATTTGTCAATGAGAAGGAACTGGTGCTCACAATTGCAAAGGAGTCTGCATCACTGACTTGTGACTTGGTTCCTAGGCAGATAATCCAGCTCTTACTCCCCAGCGGAACACGAATCTCACACACAAAGATCCCAAGTGTTTTTATGAACTGAAGCTTCACAGGATCTTCACAGTCTAAACTATCTGGGCTGTGCGGCGTGGGAGACAGAGCATCTGCCTGGGAGTTGGGAAGTCTTGGTTCGGATTCCAGATGGTTCTAGCGTGGGTCTGTTTTTGATCCCTCCTCCCTCTGACTTGGCCTCCTGCGTCACAGAGGAGAAGGTGTGCAGGCCCACACTTCCCTGACACTCCACCTCCAACCTGCAGAGCTCCCTGAATCTGGCCTCCTCGCGGCACTGGCTCCTTCCTCCCCTGCTCCTCGCCCTCCTCCTGGAATGGGGCCCTGTCTCTCCTGGCTTCTGTCATTGAGCCCCAAAGCATGCACAAGTCTCACTCAAATTAAAAAGAAAAATAGGGAAAAAGAAAAGGAAGAAAAGCCTGTGCCCCTTTCCGGCTGGGCTGTAGGGTTCCCCTCCTCCTGCCTGTGCTAGGCAGGCCGCTCCCCGCAGCCATTGCTTCAGGCTAACTTCTGCTAACTTCTCAGCTACTTCCAAAACTGCCACCTCCTTTTGAAAACACTGAGCTATAATTCACATATCATGAAGTTCACCCTTCTATAGGGCGCAATTCTGTGCTTTTTAGTATATTCGGGAAGTTGCCAACTTTAACCACTCTTGAATTCCAGAACATTTTATCACCCTTATGCCCCCTTCCCCAGCCCCTGACAACCACTCATCCCATCCACGTTCTGTCTCTGGATTTGCCTGTTCTGACATTTCATATAAACAAAATCCTACAATGTTCGGCCTTTTGTGTCTGGCTTCTTTCACTGAATTTGGCATTTTCCAGGTTCATCCACGTGACGTGAGTTGGGGCTTCACTCCTTTCTATGGCTGAAACCAATCCTCATGTATGAAGGAACCACATTCTGTTTGTCCATTCACCAGTTCCTGGGCGTCTGGACTGCATCCGCTTTTTGACTATAAATAACACTGCTATGATAATTCGTGTCTGCATGAGTATCAGGTTCTTCTGAATCTACACCTACGACTGGAAATGCTGGGTCACCTGGTCATGCCACGAGTTACTTTCTGAAGAAATCACAAACTGTCTTCTCAGAAATTGTACCATTCTGCATTCCCACCAGCAAGAGTCTCCCAGCATCCTCACGTACTCTGCAGTGCGTGCTGGCTCCACTAACATTATTATTCCTGCCATCCTAGTGTGTGACACAGTGTCTCACTGTGGTTTCGCTCCATGATTCCCTAACAAGCAACAATGCTGACCATCTTCTCGTGTGCCTATGGGTCGACTGTACATCTTCTTTGGAGAAATATCCATTCAGTTCCCTTGCCTTTAATAGCGTTACTTTTCTTTTTATTAAGATCTAAGAGTGAGTTAGATGCTCTGCATACTAGATCCTTCTCACATGAGCTGTACGTATTTTCTCCCACTCTGTGGGTTGTCTTTTCACCCTGCTGATAGTGTCCTTTGAAGCAAAAAGGTTTTAACTTTAATGAAGCCCAGTGTATCTTATTTTTCCACATTGGTTGCTTGTGCTTGAGGTGTCAGATCTAAGAAACCACTGTCTAGTCCAAAATCATGAGGATTTACCCCTATAATTTCTTTTAAGGTGTTTATAGTTTTAGCTTTTACATTTATGTTTTAATTCATTTGAGATAATTTTGTATGTGGTGTGAGGCAGGGGTCCAACTTCATTCTTCTGCACATGGAAGAATGAAGTTGTGCCAGCAGCACCTGTTGTGCCAGCAGCACCTGTTGAAGAGGCCATTCAACATTCAAATGGAATAGTTTTGGCACCGTGTTGAAAATTATGTGAACATAGACACACGTGGTCTCCGGTCTATGTCACTGATGTATGTGTCTGTCCCGTGCCAGCACCATGCTGTCTTGCTTACTGTGGCTATGTGGTAAAATCTGAAATTAGGAAGTGTGGGCCTCCAATTTTGTTCTTTTTCTAGATTGTTTTGGCTATTCTGGATCCCCTGCATTTCCAGATGAATCTCAGGATGTGCTTGTCAAGTTTTGTTTAAAAAAAAAAAGGCAGCAGAAATTTAGATAGGGATTATGTTGAATCTGCAGATCCAATTGGGGACTGTTTTCTTCTTAACAATAGTACATCTTCCAATCTATGAACATAGGATGCCTTCCCATTTATTTAGGTATTCTTTAATTTCTCTGAATGATGTCTTGTAGTTTTTAGAGTATAAATCTTGCACTTTTTGATTAAAAATTTCTCCAAGTATTTTTCTTTCTGACAGCATTATAAATGAAGTTGTTTTCTTGTCTCATTTTCAGGTTGTTTGCTGCTAGTGTATAGAAATTTAATTGATTTTTGTATACCGATCTTGTGCCCTGTAACCTTGCTCAACCTGTTTATTAGTCTAGTAGTTTTGCTGTGAATTCCTCAGAATATTCTACATACAAGAGGATATCATATGCAAATGCAACTTTACTTCTTCCTTTCATCTGAGTCCTCCACTCTTTTTCCCTTGTCTAATTGCTCTGGCAGATCCTCCGGTACTACTGTGAATAAAAATGGCAGAAGGCATCTTTGTCTTGTTCTTGATCTTCAGGGGAAAACTTTTCTTCTTTAACCATAAAGTATGATGTTAGCTGTGAGTGTTTTATAGATGTCCTTTGGCAGGTTGAGGAAAAATCACCTTCTAGTCTTAGTTTGATTGTTTTTATCATAAAAGGGTGATAAATCATGTCAAGTACTTTTTGTGCATCAATTGAGATGATCATGTGGGTTTTTTCCCCATTATTCTGTTAATGTGATGCATTCCACTGATTGATTTTCACGTCCTGAACCATCTTTGCATTTCAGGAATCCATCTCATTTTTCCAGGGTACACAATCCTTTCAGTACGCTGTTGATTTCAATTTGCAAGTCTTCCGTTGAGGATTTTTGCATCCGTGCTCACAGTGGATACCGGTCTGTGGTTTTCTTGTCATGTCTTTGGTATCGGGGTCATGCTGACTGCAGAATGAGTAGGAAGTGTTGTTCCGTCCTCATCAATATTTTTGGAGAGTTTGGGAAAGAGTACTGTTAATTCTTTTTAAAGATGTTTGGTTAGAATTCACCAATGAAGCCATCTGGTCCTGGGCTTTTTGTTGTTGTTCAGAAGTTTGTGATTACTGATTCAATTTCCTTACTACTTTTAGGTCTATTCAAATGTTCTATTTCTATTTCTTCATGATTCAGTTTTGGTAGTTTGTGCCACTCTAGAGTCTGTCCATCTCTTCTAGATTATCTAATTTGTTGGCCACCTGCTGCCTGTTTCACACACAAGTCTCCATCATAGCTGGTTTCTTTAGCTAGTTCAGAATAAAGCAGAAATTACTCCCTGGAAAACTGTTTGGGGCAGAGGAAGGCGACTTCCATAGAGAGGATTTTAAAAAGCAAAACAAACAACCGTGGCGTATGACAGAACTCTGGTGTGACTATAGAGGAGCAAAGCTTCTTTCTTTCCTCGGGCTTTTGACTCTTTCACAATCACAATCCAAACTTCTGGAAAGATGATTTAAAAAAACCAAACCCATGGAGTTTTTAACCCAGCGCAACCTCCTTTGTTCTAGTATCCAAGCGTCTCGCACCCCGTTACGTTGCTGGCAAAATACTCTTCTGAAAACAAATTTTGACATCTGTTCCACGCTGAAAACCCTTCAATGGCTCAGCACCGTCTGCTGCAAAAGTGCTGTTTAAAAGAAAACTACACAGAACTGTGCTCCAAGAAGTCAAGTCAAAGGCTGCTGGCTACCTTCAGCGGCATGGGGATGCCTGCACTGCCCATGCTTCCCCCCAGTCCCCGGGAGCTGAGCCAGTGACAGGACCTAAGCTCCTTGTCCCCTACTGTGCTCGCAGACCCACCCTCTGCTTCCAGCAGCCCCTTGGGGACCAGTAGTCTCGAAGCCTGATGCATCTCTCCCTCTCTGAGGTGGCATCCCGGTTTTTCTCCTAGTGAATCCCTCCTCACCCTCGACCAGCTAGCCACATGGGCACCATCCCTAGGCAGCTGCCGAGGGCCCTGTGCCTGCAGGGACGCATGCTTGGCTTGACGCTTTGCTGCTGCCGTCGTGAAACTCGTAGTAACCGTGGGATGCAATGCCCCTGGATTTCGGCTCACTGTGCCAGCCTGAGGCCTGGAGGGAGTGTTGCCCCCAAAACTCCCACAGCACCCTCACTCACGCTGGCAGCCCAGCCATCCTGGGACTGAGAGCCGGGCCTGTGTCATCAATGTCTTAACCATCTGTGGTTGCTCTGTTTTTGCACAGTGCTAGGTACTTGGTAAATGTTTGCTATGTTTCTTCTGGAGGACAGATTATATGGGTATTACCTTAGCACTGATGTTGGGCATGGCTTCTCCTTTCTCTAAGCCTTGGTTCTCGAAAATAAGAACACTGGGCCACAGGATCTCTAAGTCTCCGTTTGCCTTGAAATTGTGTGATTCTGAAGGTGTCTGAAAGAAAGCAGGCTATGGATTCCACAGTGTTCAGGAGTCTCCGGGGACTGGGATTCCACAGTGTTCAGGGGTGTCTGGGGACTGAGATTCCACAGTGTTCAGGGTTTCTGGGGACTGGTATTCCAGAGTGTTCAGGGTTTCTGGGGACTGGTATTCAACAGTGTTCGGGGGTCTCTGGGGGCTGGGATTCCAGTGTTCGGGGGTTTCTGGGGACTGGGATTCCACAGTGTTCAGGGTTTCTGGGGACTGGGATTCCACAGTGTTTGGGGGTTTCTGGGGACTGAGATTCCACAGTGTTCAGATTTTCTGGGGACTGAGATTCCACAGTGTTCGGGGATCTCTGGCCTCTTCTGCTGACCTGGGCCTGTTGTTTTATTTTCTGTGTTTAGATATAGGGTCTCGCTATGCTGCCCAGGCTGGCCTTGAACTCCTAGCCTCAAGCAGTCCTCCTGCCTCAGCCTCCCAAGTGGCTGGGATTACAAGTGTGAGCCACCGTGCCCGCTTAGGCCTGTTTTGTTGCCCTGTGTTTCTTTCTACACAATGACAAGAATTAACTTCCTATGAGAAAAAAAACGCATTGCTGCAGCAAATCACTATGTTGCACTATTTAGGTCATCTTTAATATCTCGCCTATTTTATTATTTCATTGTTTTTCCCTTCAGTGGAGGATGAGGGCCAGAAACCTTTTTCCTCTCTTTCCTTCCTTCCATCTGTCTTCAGTCAAGAGCACTGCATATTGCAGAAAATCAAGAGTGAGGAAGAAAAGGTTTGCACTTTAAGCAGCTGTAGTCATTCCACTGAAACTAGCTGTGACTCAAGGCTCTAAGCAAGAAACCTGTCCAGGCAACGCCCCCCAGAAATCCAGAATGATTCACCCTTTTCCTAAACGTCAGACGTCAGATCCCTTAGCACTGCATCGTGTTCCTAACACTATGAGATTTAAACAGCAATTGGACAAACCCAGGGTAAAGGGCCATTTGCAGTTGGAGAAAAAGAGATACTTCCCCTCCCCTAAAGCATCCAGGTGACTGTGACTGGCACCGTGCGGCAGCTCAGCGTCCATGGCATGTCTTCCCATCTGCTCCTGACGGCCCTGACAGACAGGTGGGTGCCCCCTGCCACGTTGGGGGTGCTGCACCAAGCACCCGGCTCAGCGTCTCTACTGGTTCGCCCAGTGCTGCTTTGTTATGGCGCCAGAGCTGGGACGGGGCCAGCCACCCCCACCGGTATGCTGACTCCTCCACTGGCACAGTCACTCCAGGAACACCGAAGCCTCAGAGCCTCAGGTGCCTTTTTCTTCCAAATATGGCTAGCATCTCCCAACCCGCTCAACCCAAGCCCAGATCACATGCAGCTCCCAGGCCGGCACTGTTCTGACAGCATATGGCCATTCGGGACGGATCCCCCCGCAGCTGCTGCCCTCGCTGTCAGCAAGGCGGACACATACCCAGGGCTCGAATCTTGTGGGCTCAGGTCCTGTGGGCTGCCCCAGCCCCTGGCCACAGTTCCCCTGCACAACGGGAACGACAGGATGAATATCATGTTTTCAGAGAGCAGATTTTTGCTTCTTTCTAAAAATGTATTTAGTTATTTTGGTACTAAAAATGCAAGGAAAGAGCCCTATATCTGGATCCAAACACATTGCTTCTCTCTGAGTCTTCGAGATTTACAGCATATAAATTACAAGCAGCCTGAGAAAGGGGAATTACCCCCAGCTGTCAGCTCAGACAATTGAGACCCAGGTAGGCGGCTGATCCAAGATCACCGTATACTATATGGCTGAGCTCCCTCTGTAAATACGCAATTACTAGGATGGCTGTACTGATGGGGTACAAGGGCTGTGAAAAACTCAAGAAGCTGTGACCGCATCCACGGGGCTACCCTGCATGGCCGCACTAGCTAATCCCTGGCTCCCCACGAAACTGAAGGCTTCTCATTCTCAGGGCACGTGAAATAAGAAGTGTCAGATGGATATGAAAAGTAACAGGAACAATACTGCCAAAAATCATCTAACATGTACCCCAACCTCCCTGTCCAGCTATTTTCTGTTCCTGTCTAGCAGACCAGGTCTCGAAGGACGTCGGGGAGGCTGTGTCAAAAAAAGACTCACGCGGGAATGCTATTCATGATCCACGGCAGAGCGTCGGCCTCCAGGAGGCTCAGGACCCAGGTCCCATCTGCACCTTGCCCCAGTGTGGACCTCGCATTCCTAACCAAACCCACGTCTCCAGGGGCCAGCCGGAGAGCCCTTTCCTGGCTGAAGACGGCATTAGCCCGCATCCCACTGTGCTGCAAGCCAAAGCGGTGTCCACGTGGCAGCTCAGGAGCCACTTTCCCTCTGAGATGACAGAGGATGCAGCCTAGGCACATCCTGAAACCGGTCTCGTCAGTGTGTGCAAATATGATTCATGAAATGTCAGCAAAATGTCTTAAAGTTCCTAACCTGGGGAACTGATACATCCCTCCTAACGATGGTCTAGAGAAGTATTTTTAGAAGCTCTTAATGATAACATTTCTTTCTGGATTTGTGTAGATTTAGTCATTAGAACGTCTTCAGAGGCTTCAAAGAGATGAAATTAGACCCCTTGCCCCAACTGAAGACACTTTCCTGTGACATTTTGTGTGAGGGTCAAAGGAATTTTTTTTTTGAGACAGGGTCTTACTCTGTTGCCCAGGCTGGAGTATAGCAGTGCGATCTTGGCTCACTGCAGCCTCAGCTTCGTGGGCTCAAGTGATCCTCCCACTTCAGCCTCCCGAATATCCTACAGGCATGCACTACCGTGCCCAGCTAACTTATATATTTTTTGTAGAGATGGGGTTTTGCCATGTTGCCCAGCCTGGTCTTGAACTCTTGAGCTCAAGCGATCCACCTATCTTGGTCTCCAAAAGTGCTGGAATTACAGGTGTGAGCCGCTGTGCCCGGCCCAGAGGAATTTTTAATGATGAGTTGGTCCATTTTATTGGGTGAAAACACACCTGTGTTATCCCAGTTTGTTTAGGGACAGTGGGGTCAAGAGATGGCCAAGAACAGACAGTAAAAAACAAGACAGCGCAACCTCATAATAAACACCACATATGACACGGCTGAAAAATGCAGGTGTGAGGGGAAGTATGTAGCCTTTTCCTCATCATTTCAGGAATGTCAGTCCAACTTCACACACACACGCTGGCACGTCACACGGCCACTAACAGCAGACACGGGTGGGCTCATCAGGCACCACAGCCTCCCTCGGAGTGAGCTCGGACAGTGTTCCGCAGCCTGCTTCCCTGCACGTGCCCCCATGGGCGTGCATTTAGGAACACCCACAAGGAGAGTTTGGGCCTCCTCCCGCTGCCTGAGCTCACCTGCTCTGTGGGGCATAGATGCCCTCATTTCCCCAGCTCCTCCCATGCACATGCATTTAGGACACTCCCAAGTGTTTGTGATACCAACAAGGTTGCAATGGATACCCTTAGATGTGCGTGCACAAGCTCCTCTGTAGAGAGGATTTCTCTAGGGTGCGGAGTTGCCAGGAAGACGTTATGAGCCCCAGTGCTAACTGGTAACAGGTGAGTGCCCTCCGGAGGGGCTGCCCTAAGACCCCGCGGTCCTGAGAGCCCTGTGTCCCCACGTTCCAACCAGGTCGTACTTAGTGTTTACCTTCTGTCAATCTGAAGAAATGGCACCCTGAAGACCAGTGGTTGCCGAGACTGGGGGAGGGAGGGCTGAACAGAGAGCAGAGGATTTCCAGGGCAGTGAACCCACTCTGCGCGATGCTGTAGTGGTGGACAATGCTGAGATACATTTGCCCAAACCCACAGAAGCACGGCACCAAGAGTAAGCCCCCAGTGGACCCTGAGTGATGAGGGACTGTGGACCCTGGGCAATGATGACAGGCCCATGCAGGCTCACTGACTGTAACAAACGCACCACTCCAGGACGGGGCTGATGGGGGGTTGTGGGGGGTGTGCGTGTGTGGGAGGAGGGGTACATGGAAAATTCCGCACTTTTCATTCAATTTTGCAGTGAACCTAAAACTGCTCTAAAAATAAAGTTTATTAATAAAACAGTACCTTGTTTTAATAGGCAATGTTAGTTGCTAAGGAGGCTAAGTTATATGTGTATGAGTTTATTGTTTATTTCTTTCTTTTTCTGTGAGCTGCCTGTTCATGTCCTTTGAACATCTTCTATTGGGTTGGTTACCTTTTTCTTAGTTTAATAAGAAATCTTTGTATTTTAAGAACATTAATTCTTAGTCATATATACAGGAATTTTTTTCCCAATTTTTCCTCCATAAATATTTGATACACATATTTCAATGTGAAAAAAGTTATTAAATTGTACCATTTTATTTATTATGGTAACTTCTGGGTTTGTGGCATGCTTGGAGAGGCTTTCTCCATTGCAAAGTAATAAAACTGTTCTACTGCTTTTTATCTTAGAGGTTTATAGTTTCGTCTTCATGGTGAAAGTCCCATCCATCTGGAGTGTTTAGAGGAGGAGAGGGCTGGGGTTTGAGAGCCAGCTCCGTGTTTTCCAAACGGCTGCCCACTTGTCTCCTGATTCTTTGGTGAATGATCCATTTAGCCCACTGAATTGAAATGTCACCTCAATCAAATGCAAATTTTCCCTAAGTCCTGGAGGACTCTACAGGTTCATACTGAACACATTTCTTAAAGCAATGTTTCTTTTACTTAGCAGATAACCAGTGAACACAGGTAAATGGTTAAAAAATGGTTAGTTGAATTTTCTTGCTAATCTTGTCTTTCTAAGCAAAATCTAGAAGGAATTTTCTTTCCCTTTCCTTTTTTTTTTTTTTTTTTGGAGACAGGGTCTTGTTCTGTCACCCAGGCTGGAGTGCAGTGGCGAGATCTTGGCTCAATGAAGCCTGGACCTCCTGGGCTCAAGTGATGCTCCTGCCTCAGCCTCCCGAGTACTTGGGACTACCGGTGTGCAACCACCACATCCACTACAGGTGCGCACTGCCCTACCCAGCTAATTTTTTTGTAGGGACAGGATCTCACTTTGTTGCCCAGGCTGATCTGGAACTCCTGAGCTCAAACAGTCCTCCAACCTTGGCCTCCCAGAGTGTTGGCATTACAGGCATGAGCCACTGTGCCCGGCTAGAAGGAAATTTAGCCACAGGCAAGAAGCCTTGACTTCGGCACCAGAAGTCAGCTGAGCTGTTTCTGAAATGCATTTTTTCCACACCGTGTAGCCACCTAAGTGACTTACCTCTACAGCATGAGTCTCCACACTGATGATGAAGACTTGACCTCCGGAAGCCGCCCACAACGTGTCTTCCATCATGAGTAGACTTCTAACTGGTAGGACGCCTAACTTGATCACTTTTTGAGGTTCTGAATCCCAGGATCCATCTTAAAAGAAAATATTTCATTTCATTCAAGTTCAGTTTTCTGTGCACAGGAATGGGAAAATGGGGTCATACATCATTTTAAGTAACTGACACCCGAAGGATCACCTGTAATGTTAATGCTTGTGCCTGATCCTGGCTGTGTCTGGGGATCGACAAGCTGACACCCACCCCAGTTGGGCCATGGTGCACAGTCGGGAAGCACAGACAGCTGTGGGACACGCAGCCCTCAAGACCCCCCACCCGCCCCCCTGCCTATCCCCTCCATGTGTGTCCCAGACAAACCACTCATTCACCCTGAATCTCAGCTTCCTTCAGGGTAAGATCGAGACCATCCTACCACTAGCCGCAAAGGTTGTATCAAAAGTTAAAAATGAAATAATGCATGTACAAAGCTCAGCACAGTACCCAGCACACAGGTATTCAGTCAATACGACCATTTACAATAATAGCAGAGAAGATGATTCAGTCATCATTAAAAGGAACTGCATCCAAAATAACTGGGCAGATGTTACATTTCCCCATTAGCTGCTTCCGTTCTAACATGTGCCTTGCTCTATACTGCATCACGAAGAGAGGCCATATCTTCACAGAATACTTTAAGAAATCAAAATTGAGGTAAAAGGAATTCCTTACTTTTGATGAATTTGTTCCCTTTCTTGAAGCCTAGACAGTCGTGAAATATTCTGGTTTGAAAATATATCCAAAGATCTACTGACAAGGTCTTTCACACTTTATATCAAGTATGAGTTGCTACCTTGAATACCAATAAAAATTATTTGAGGCAAGATTTACCATAAACTTCTAAAGTGACTAATGTAATTATCCTATAAATAATTAAAATGAATTCTTCAATTCTCAGTCTAACCATTAATTAAGGCATCGACCTTAAAAGTGTAACTAAATTATTAATCCATCAATGCCGTCGACTTCCTAATCAAATAAACACACTTCACTCAGGAGAACACGGCCTCAGTTCTTATCTCTTTGTTCTGGATTTCAAGCACTGAACCTTTGAATACAAAACAAGTGTCTGAAGTGGAGGTGTGCAGTCACTAAAAGGCAACTATGCAAGCTCTGACTTCTGTGGCATACTTTTAGTTATAATTCAACGTTAATGGAAATGCTTTTATGTTGCAATTAGGCTAAAAGTGTTGTAGGGTAATTATTAGCCCCAGTGAACATGGGCTTGCTTTTCCTTTGTAATATCTGCACAGGGCCCAGTCTATCATTATGTGATTAAATATGCACATGCACCCATGCACAACACACATGCACGCACACACACACGTGCACATGCCATATGCACACACACACGTGCACATGTCACACACATACACACATGCAGGCATGCACATGTGCACACACACCCACAAGTACGTGCACCTGCCGTCACATGCACACAGGGACACACACGTCTGCACATGTGCACTCAAGGCACACACACGCCTGCACACACATACGCCCTCACAATCACGTGTGCATACACACATGTGCATACATGCATACACACCTGCTCACACAATGCACACCCCTCACACTCCTGTGCATACACACATGTGCATGGGCCTTCCCATCTGGTACTCATAGCCCTTTAAAGCACGGCACACGGCAACCTCCAGAAATATGTGGGCTCAGGGCAGAGCTACAATTTTCTCTGACATTCACACACTCTGAAGGGCATGGAGTGGCACAAGAACGCAGGGTTGTGAATCCTAGGTCAGAGCTCTCTCTATGCACCGCCCACTGTGCTTGGATCCTGGCTGTCAGGTGTGGCTTGGCAGTGTCCTACCAATAGCACCATTCCTTTGAAACGAGAACTCAAAGATCAATGACACGATGGCCTACTTCAGACGTTTCCCTCGGTTAAGGTTTAACTTCCAACAACTGAACTTTGTTCTCTGAGCACCTGGGTGGGTCATTCTGCAGTGTGGGCTTGTCTTTCTTGGGATGACTTCTCCCTGTGTATGTGTCCCAGGCCAGAGCCCTCAGCAGGATCCCAAATCGCAGCCGGAACCAGGCACACGCTAATGACGTTTTGAACTAACACTTAAAAATCTGGAAATTGCCCACAGAATTTCACATTTTTAAGTCCCTTGAAAGCTCAGAGCTCTGGCAACAGTGAGGGGCTAGGAAGCAGCCTCCCCCTCCCTCTGCCCGGGCCGAGGCCTCCAGCCAGCCACGTCCCTCACCACCAAGAACGAAGTGGCAGGCTATGCGCTTCTGCGCAGGCTGCCTCGCACGCTCCCACACGGTACGCCGGACAGCTCTTGGTGAGAAAGATGCGAAGAGACACGTTCAGCAGATCTCAGTTACAGATCATGCAACGCGTCTGACAAGGCGAAAACACAGCCCTGCACGGGGCTCCACAGTGGACAGGACAGCAATGCAGCCAAGTAAGAGGCTGGAGAGATGCTCGCTAGTAAACCCAGGGGAAAAAAGGGGGACATAAGCATAAAATACATTTTACGTAATAGAAATGTTATTTCTATTGCATTTAATAGAAATTAGAAAAACAGAAAAAAATCCAGATTATATGAAAAAGTCCTATCAACACACATTCCTCCACGAAGCTTCATGAAAGAGTTGAGTGCAGAGTGGTAGGAACACAGGCAGCAGGGAGGCGGCTCTCGGCGCACATGCGGAGGGGCCTCCGCCTACCGTGGAGCAGAGACAGGACGGGAAAGCCGGCCAAGGAGGCTGGCAGAGGTTATGACAACAGGTGAATGACAAAGCAGGACTGGAATGGGAGAGCCCAACCCCGAAGACACAAAACCGTCCATGGAGAACTGAAATCATGAGGCCAAGTGAAGAGGGGGTGCAGACCGGAATCCAGGCCGGGGCACCCACCGGATGAGAGGGAGGCAACCAGAGGCCCGCCAAGGAGCCAGGGATCGGCCAGGGATCAGCAGGGTCACACTCCAGATGGCTGAGGGACGAGACAGGAGCGGCTCCTGTGCTTACTCCACCTACCGGAGTGAGAAAGAAGTCCAGGCCTTCTTGGCGCAGGTGCGCACAGGCCAGGCCGGAACCACACGGGAGAAGGAGGGGCCGTCCCCGTGGAGCAGGTCGAGAGAGCCTCCCCAAGGAGGAGGTGTCAAAGTCCGGGGGCAAATAACACCCCAGGCTCTGGGAGGGGCTGGCGCAGATTTCTAAGGAGGGAGGAACTCCAATAGCAGCACTCAGAGCAGAGAGAACGGGGGTGGTTGGAGGGCAGAATGCCTTGTGAGCAAGGAACAAGGACTGGAGGACTGGAATTCTATTCTAAGTACACTGGGGACTCACCACACAATTTTCAGCGGGGGGGCGGGGAGGGTAAAAACCTTATTTACAGTTTAAAAAGCTCAATAACAAATATTTGGAGAATGAATCAGTAGAAGCGGAAGAATGAAGGCGAGGCTACGCTGCCATCCAGGCGGGAGCTGGGCGGTGTGGACCAGGGTGGTGATGATGGGGGAGTGAGCTGGGACATGGTCTCGGGGTACAAGAACAAGTGGTGGATGGCCTGGGAAAGATAACAGGACCCGCCAAGGCGTCGCTCCCGGCCGTGGGGAGGGTGGTGCAGGGCAACTTTCGGTGAGGGAAGCCCTGCGTGTTCCACTCCAGGATGGCAGCACCGAGACTGGCTGGGATCCAGCTGGGGCTCGGCACCCCTGCGCTCAGAGCTGAGTGAGGGGCCAGGAGAGCAGCCTCAGCCAGCACCAAGGAAGCTGGAAGGAAAGCCCCGTACCCAGAGCTCCCACAAGCAGCGGCGGCCAGATCCACAGGAAGAGCCTGCAAAGCACAGCTGCCACCAACGCGGCAGGGGCTGGAGAGAGAACAGACACACAGCAGCTGCCCACCCCCAGCGGCTGCGGGGACCAGGCGGGATGGGCCAGGGAGGGCCTCGTCTAAGGCACCCAGCAGAACACAATGGAGTCCTTAGCCCTGTGGCCAAGAGAACAGCAGGGACCGAGGGCACGGGACCGAGGGCACAGCACCGGGGCAAAGAGGGCTGGCCCAGGTACAGGAGGCCCCGCCGGGCGGGCAGGCTGCTCAGCTGGTCAGCGCAGGACATGCTGAAGGAGGCTCTGCATGGCCCGGTGCCCCCATCCGAGGGGGAGAAACAGGCAGGCCGAGAGAAGTGGGAGGGTGGGAGGAGACGGGCAGACTGACTTCTGAAAGATGTCTGTATATTCAACAAACACCTTTTGGGGAAGAAGCAAGGCACCCGGGCCTTGGGCAAGGGTGACGAGCGCAGGGGCGGAGGCACAGGGGCGGGAGGCAGGAGGCCGGTGGGGAGGTGGGGAGGCTAAACCGGATGCACAGTCCCCTGAGTGAACCCCAAGGACCGGCCAGGAGGCCGTGAGACCCGCCTCACCTGGGGCTCTGGCGTAGCTGGCGACTGCCCCGTTGACCAGGCCAGCGTACAGGCTCTGAGACGTGCAAGCCAGGCTCATGACTGTGGACTTCTCAGGAGTGAAAAAGTGCTGAAGTCTCACTTTCTTGGAGCCTTGACTGCTTTTATAAATGGAAATGCTTTAAGAGAAAAATACAAGCTAATAAATATATTTGCTCGTTGTAACAAGAACGAGGGTGCCTGTTAACATAAACACAAACATTTCAACTCTTCCCTCTTGCCCTTCCTTCTCCATTCCTAGGGACACTTGCCAGTACTTTTAAAAAATTTGCAACCACCTTGATTTCTTTATTTTTAAAAGGGAAATTCTGGGATATATGAAAAAACTTAGTTCTTCCTACTGTGTATCTTGGAACTTCACATCAGGAAAATCATTTTAACTCTCCTTTAAATGGTGTCAGCAATTCAGTATGATCATGACATAGAATATGGCTGTTTTATTCCAAAATATAAGGGGGGAATGTCCTTTTCAAAACCATTAATATAAATGAGACATTTCAGTGGCAAACAGCCAAACTGTCCCCTTTAAAGAAATACCACTTCTCTTTAAGAGTTTCCTAGAATAATTTCCATGGGCCCAATTCACTAGTTATTTCAAAGTGCAATGACCCTAAAAATTTCCCCTGGTATCCCCTAATTCCTGCACGGGCTACTCCTGAGTCAAAGTCAAGGACTCTTTCCAGGACAGGCTCCCCACCACGCCCTCCATGGGCAGAGCTTGCTAATTCTCTGTAACGCAGTGAGCATGCCCTACCTTCCCTCCTCCGTCCCTACACAGATCGTGGGGACATCAGAAGCTCTCACGGCCGGGGTCTCGGGGTCCGGGGGTGCCCCAGGCTCTCTGCGCTTCTCCTCGACGGGAACGTACAGCATGCACAGGATGCGAGATTCCACGTTGAAGCACTCAATGACTTTGGGAGTGGAATTTTGAAACGAGACGATGGCAATCTGACCCATTTGATGGGTGCAACTTCCGATCTGAATCAGAGAATTAGGAGGAAAGAAGAAAACGACCATGTGGCGGCTTCCATAATACGCTGGAACCTGACCCTTAAAGGCCACGACAAGCTTCGATTTTCATGTGAGAATCAACACACTTAAAAAAATAAAAAAAAATTCTTAAACAATTGCTCACAGAGCCCCTTTTTCTTTTCAACACATTTAATTCAGTTTTCAAAAAATTTTAAAGCAAAAGCGTAACTTTCATTTCTACAAAGTCACATTTCTATACTTTAAAAATCACGTACTCATCACAATATGAAGGTAAGGGCCCATCTATCCTCAATTTAAAATCCTAAGAAGCAGATTATTATCAATTTTAATAACTTAACACTAATATTCAATGACCTAGGCTAAGAAAATAAACCTTTCAAATAGGAAAAACATCAGTAAGAATGCATCCCAAGTAGCTCATTGGAAGTCAACATGTGGTATGCTGTGGAATTTCTTTTTTTTTCTTTTTTTTGGAGACAGTCTCACTCTGTCACCCAGGCTGGAGTGCAATGGCATGATCTTGGCTCACTGCAACCTCTGCCTCCTGGGTTCAAGCGATTCTGCCACCTCAGCCTCCTGAGAAACTGGGACTATAGGCTCGTGCCACCACATCCGGCTAATTTTTGCATTCTTAGTAGAGATGGGGTTTCACTATGTGAAAGTACAGACGGGGTTTCACTATGTTTGGCCAGGCTGGTCTCAAACTCCTGACCTTGTGATCCACCCGCCTCGGCCTCCCAAAGTGCTGGGATTACAGGCATGAGCCACCACGCCTGCCGTGGAATTTCTAAAGTAGCATTGCTGCAACAGTGTACATGAACTTCCTGTGTGTTTGAATCTCTACAACGAGAACACATAGCACAGTTAGTTTCCCAATTTAAACTTAAATTTATTTGTCTTTTTTTTTTTAAGTGGGAAGGGGTCTGATCCCTGTAAACAGAAAGCACTAGCTGGTTTAGGGTGATGTTTTCATTGATTCTTTTTCTTTTCCACCAACTTTGAGAATGTTGTTAAACTCTCCTTATTCTTGTATTTGTTGTCGCTACATACAGACATCCTACTTTCATGCTTTTGTGGGAAGGATGCCAATCTGCCAAGCCCCTGTCCTGCCTACAGGGCCTGGGGGCTATGACCAGGCCAGGTGATGAAGCTTCAGCCATGACAGGTCTGCCTACCTGGACGGAAAACAGTTCTCTTAGAAGTGGAAGCCCCCAAGGGAATTAAGGCTACTCCTCCATTCATAGGTTGGTACAAATGAAATACCAGCTAATTGGGTTGTTCAATTTCTGACACTCAACTAGGAACACTGACCAAGCAGGAGCTGTGGATGTGAGAAGTGAGAGGCAGTGGCGTGCTGCACAGGACGCCTGGGAGGAAAGGATGAGAGTTTGGAAAAGCACAGTGGAGCCCTGGAGGGCGAGTCTGAGGCTGCAGGGAGGGAACACAGGAAACCAGAGAGGGGAGAGCCTGGGACCACACAGCTTCAAGAATGTCCTCTGGTTTGCAAGAACCAGGAACGTCTACTGCAATTCCAGCCTAATTTCAGATGCAATATTTCATTTGGAACAAATTAATTTTAACTGCTAAGTTTCCACTGGAAAAAGCCAGTCTTGGAACAAGAAAAAAAATCCATGCAATGTTGACACCAAAATGGAAAAACATATTAAAATTATTCTCTTATTAGTTAGTTGTCTCTGGACTCAACTTTATCTGGTAAATGTTTTAGATGAAAAGGAAAAGAAACAAATATTTGCATTCCTAAGAACTGTAAATCTTTTCCAAAAGTGATCAGCTCCCTTTCAAAGAAGTTTTCATGTTTCTAAGTACACTCTGGGATACGCCACCGCCAACTCTCTACTGAGCAATTCACATCTCAGTCTCTCATCACACCGACCATGAACGTTGATTCTCTGTGAACTTGTACCAAAACCAAATAAACACATCTTACCCACAGGAAACCATGTGCCGTGGAAAATGAATCTGGCTGGCTTTCATTATTTAGGTAAGGTTCAGGGTTATAAGCAGCACATTCAATCTAAAATGGAATAAAATCAAACGCTCACATATAAAACAGAGCTAAGAGGCTCCTAGACTACATAACGTCTTAAATGGATGACTTACTTCCAATGTATAAACACAGAAATTACAGGTTCATTACCTACCAAAGATTAAAATAGGGAGGATGAAAGTTTAAAAGTACAACTCTCAGAAGTTAGCTTTTTAGAAGTGAACACCTAAGGAGATTCAACCTTTGGTATCTTAATCTTTAGATCCCATCAGCACACTGAAATCCGGCAGCTCAGGGCGCTTCAGATGGGAGGGCTGGCCCTGCAGGCATCAAGTACAGCCTGTGATGGCCTGTGCCTCTCCCCTTCCCTGTCCCACCCCAGCCTCTCCCAGAGGAGTCCTGTGCACCGCCTGCAACTCTCAACAGGAGGGGTCAGGGGAGCTGCTGGGAAACCCTGGCCAGAGACCAGGGTGAGAAGAAACATCTTTATTTCTTAAAGAATAAGACATTGTCAGTGTCACTGAAGGCCCTGGCCTGTGATGCCTGAGTCAGCAACACTGGGAACATTAATAAGACGCCACCCTGGAGATGGAGTCTGCCAAGGCAAAGAGCGGGCACGGTACCTCAAGCAGACAGGAGACCTGGAGTTACGATCCACTGTGGAAACAGACTGCTTGCCAAGCAAAGGCAAAACAGAGCTACAAATGTGAAACACGTGTCCCCTCTTTAACTAACAAGGCCTCAGGTGCTGTGGCACTGCTGGAATACCCCAGGGTCCTGGCCCAGGACTGGGCTTCAGAGACAATGGCTGGGCGTTTTTTTAGGTTTCAATCAACAGCAGTCTTATTTCCAGATAAATGACCTCTAGAGAAGCGGTCACTGTGGTGAACCTGGGAGGACCATGTTCTGACCACGCCCCTTAAGAATCATCTCCCAAGTGGCCCATTCAGAGCTGCGAGGTGCGTCCCACCCCGGGCCGCGGGCCCTGCCTCCCTTCACCTTGAACTCCTGCTGCTTGGCCACCATCACGGGCATGTGTCCGACGAGGAGAGGATGCTTCTCCTTTTTAATGTGATTCCCATCGTCTTCCACACAGAACCAGCCCATGTGGTTCTCCTCTTCTGCAATTATATTCAGAGAGAAATGAGCAAGAATGCAGTTAACTCACATGCAAAGACCTGCAGCTCCACAGGTCATAGCAGGGGAAGTTTCTGGCATTCTGTTTGTACAGGGCCAGACAACGCCATGTTTTACTTGTGGAAAGCAGTACAATCTCTTCTTACAGCATAGGCTGTATATTCGTGGCATTATTTTAGAAGGCAGCCTGGCCCCATCTAAGTGGCAGGGACCTCTCCCTGTTTGCGCCTCCTGAATACGCTGGACCCAAAGGCTGCCAAACGTCGCTGTATAAACCACATAGGTCCACTTCCCTTTATCTTTCTCCAGTTTTTCCAAAGCAAAAGAAATGTTTAGATTCAAATACCAGAGATGTACTGAGAAACTTTAAAACATGGTATAATGCTATGGGATAAACAAAAGTACAACAAAATGGAGAAATATTTTACTCCCAAAGCAAACTGTCAACCTGAGCATTAAAGAATATATAGCTGATCTGAAGACGAAAGGGGGCTTATCTGCACGTTCAGCTCATTCTCTTTAGAGAGTGGCCACTTCCTTGTTTGCTAAGTCACTCTGAACCTGACCTGAAAAATGACCAAATTATTCAGCAAGAGAGAGAGGGGCTGTGTTTCTGCTTCCTCATCAAGTGAGCACAAAGTCAGGACGGCTTTCCCGTCCGGGACAAAGCCCTTCCACTAATCAGAGCTCCCCGGGGCAATGGCGTTACCCACGCTCTGCATTTCTCTTCTGTATTTTATACTCCGTTAACATTTCAGATTATCTACAGCAGAAGGAAAATTTTACACACACATGACATCCCAGTGTGTTCTGGGTAACAGGTCTGTAAGCATGTGTATAAGTACATTACACACACACACAGAGCAAAAAATAATCAAGGCTGAAGAGACATAGGAACAAGGAAATCATAAAGTCACATCCATCTACAGTAAAACCACAGGGTTGATCTTTGGTGCTGGGAGGATCTTTAGTAACCCCCCAGCCCAGCCCTGTGTTTTGCTTCTCAGTGAGGGGTGAGCAGAAGGGCCAAGAGGAACAATGACCCCCCTGCCATTTGAAGGCCGCCGCCCGCCGCCCGCCTTGAGCACCTGGCTCACGGCCAGGCTCCACGGGCTTCCTCTGTGTTCAGCTGCCTCAACTGATATTCATGTTCTGGTACCAGAAACACCATCCGTTTTAACCCCTCCATTTTAATATGCGATCCCTCTATTTTAATATGAACATCTAAAAAATCGCCGGTGCCAGGGTGAATTTTCCTGTTTAGAAACACTCTTTCAGGTCAATGCATGGATCTACTGCTGAGTTTCCTTCTCAACCCTGACCTCACCCTCGTGGGCAGGAATTCATCATCACGCCGCATGCCTCATTCAGCCTCAGCCAGCCAGGCCTTACCTAGGGCGAGCTTGGCCATCTGTAAGCTGTTGACCCAGGACTCCTTGATGGCAGGGGTGAACGTATTGAACACAGCTGTAAAGAACGTCGGTCGCCCAGATCTGCCAGAAACAACAGACAAGCATTCATTTTATAAAACGTGCTCCATCCTGTGAGGTTAAATTACACATTTTGCCTGTCTGATAGAATCAGCAAACCAAAAAACATACATGTCATGACAAAGAACCATTTTCTCCCCAGCATTGGCCAAGAAGGTTTCGTTTTAAAGCTACTACTAACTTGTCCTGCTTCCCGGGAAGCTGTAACTGAATTCTGCAGCAGTCCGCAGCTCTGATTTCATCTTCTTTCTTCAAAATAAGCCTTTGTAAACCTGATGTCCAGTCATGGGCTACTGACTGGTTTAAGTTCTACAAAGGAAATAAATACGCACATTTCAAAAGTGTTTAAAAACTAGGGCCATCCCAAGGAAGATAAAAAGACACAATTTTAATATGAGAAATTCAGACCAAATGAAACTATTAGATTATGAAAAAGAAAGCTTTGGGAGTCAGATCACACTGTGGGGGGCTGAGACATTTCTAAGATAGAACTGATATTAAACCCTATTTGCAAAATGAAGAAAAGTTACCATTAAATAGTCTCACCTTATCTAACGTAAGAGAAAATGTACATTCAGATTAATTTTTAAAGTCAAAATGAATTCTCACTTCTGGTAGAACTTGGAGATATAATCACATACTTACAATGACTTATAAGTAAAGGCAGAATCTTAAATCCAATTGCTTCAATTGTTACCTGATAGTTTCCTTTAAGGTTTCCTATCAGCTGAGTGATTTGGCCAATTACATTTAAGTCATGCAACAAGTTTTGTAAATCTTGATACAGTTGTCCTGGCCCCATGTAAACTTTGTCTACAAAATAAGCAAAAAGAAAAAAAAAGAATACAAAGGTAAAGCCATATTTACTCCAATACTTGAGGGAAGAAAAGACTCAAATACTAAATAATTTTTAAGTTGAGGGGTGAATCTAGAACTTTTAAAAAGTGGACATTTTCAAGCATTTAGTGGTTTTTCCTTTTCTAACACTTATTTGGAAATAATTTTAGATGGAAAAGTTGCAAAGAGCTGCCTCCTGAATGCCCAGGCCTGGCTTCCTCAGAGGATAACATCTGACGCAAGCGTATCATGACCGTCAAATCCGGGACACCACAATGACACGGCACTCCTGACTGACCTACAGACCGTCTTCAAACCTCACCGCTTTCACATGAATGTCATTTCCTAGTCCCGGATTCAGCCCAGGGACTCGCACTGCGTTCGGTGGTCACGTCCCTGAAATCTCCTCCAGTCTGGGGGAGTTTCTCAATCTTCCTCTTTCGCGACCCTGACATTTTTGGAGGATGCTGGTGAGTTAAAGAATGTCTCACAATTTGAGTTTGATTCATGTTTTGTCCCTTTTGTATTTTTTAGACACCGTTGACATAACAGCTATTAGTAAGAGGCACTTAGAAATGACATTTAATCTGAACCACATTTCCAATAACTGGGGTCATCTACCATGAAAATGAGTTCCCCAATGATCTTTCCTAAAGTTTTTTTTTTTTTTTAAGGGAATAGAAATGGTTTGTCTTCGATGACTTGGGTTAGAGGAACGACGCGTGTCCCGGGGTCTATTTGCCCAAGTGAGAATTGCTCTACCCCTCACAGAGGGCTTCCTGTGTACTACAGGAAGTAATGTTCAAATACTTCCTCACTAAATCCCACGACGGGCCCACAGGCTCAGAGGACAGATTCCCCCATCTCCCCATCTGACTGATGACAGATGAGAAGGATTTGATCTCAGAATTAGCCTGAGTGTCTGTACTTTAAGCAATATGCAGTAATACGCTCCTTCTTTTCCACTTCTCATAGAAATAAATTGTCTAAGGTCAAAAAACCAGTAAGAGAAGGAGCCAAAATTCAAACCCAAGGAGAAGAAATTCATTTAAGTTGAGTAAAGTGCCTTGTGTTTCAGCAGGACAGGCTTCCCGGCCATGGGTCTGTAGAATCGCACAGACCTGAGCTTACAGGGCCCAGAACTTGGTCTCAGGCTCGGATGTGGACCTCCTGAAATTCTGTTTTTTCTTTTTTCTTTTTTTTTGAGACGAAGTGTCGCTCTTGTCCCCCAGGCTGCAGTGCGATGGCACGATCTCAGCTCACTGCAACCTCTGCCTCCCGGGTTCAAACGATTCTCCTGCCTCAGCCTCCCGAATAAGCTGGGACTACAGTCACCTGCCACCATGCCCAGCTAATTTGTGTATTTTTAGTAGAGGTTTAGTAGAGGGTTCACCATGTTGGCAAGGCTGGTCTCGAACTCCTGACCTCAGGTGATCCACCCGCCTCGGCCTCCCAAGTGCTGGGATTAGAGGCGTGAGCCACCGTGCCTGGCCTGGACATCCTGAAATTCTTAATAATTTTGAGGAAAGGACTCTGCATTTTCCTTCTATGCTACGTCCCACAAATTATGCAGCTTGTTCTTTTAGTGTATATAACAGATATAATACATATATATGTCAAAACTGAAAGAACCTACATATTTCCAATAAAAAGATTTCAGATATAGGTATCTAAAAATATTTACTATATAACTGAGGAGTAGCATAACCATTTATAATTTTGCAGGCACTTTATGTTGAAGACATGATTACATGGTATTTATGAACATGGTAAGCCTGATTTGTATCAACTATCTAGACAAATGCAATTACTAACTGCATTTGAAGTATCATGAAGTTTCGTAACAAAGGGAGCGGCCAGGCATAGTGGCTCACTCCTGTAATCCCAGTGCTTTGGGAGACCAAGGCAGGAGGATCACCTGAGGTCGAGAGTTCGAGGCCAGCCTGATCAACATGGAGAAACCCCGTCTCTACTAAAAATACAAAATTAGCTGGGCATGATGGTGCATGCTGTAATCCCACCTACTCGGGAGGCTGAGGCAGGAGAATTGCTTGAAGCTGGAAGGCGGAGGAGGTCATGGTGAGCCAAGATCATGCCATTGCACTCCAGCCTGGGCAACAAGAGCTAAACTCCATCAAAACAAACAAACAAAAAAAAACGAAAGAGCAAACTGATCCAGTAGTTACACATCGCAACTTTATTTATCCTTACAGAATGCTTATAATTTAAAATGTTTCATAACACACATATTTGCTTTCATTCGCAAACTTTGATGATAAACTCTATAAACACAACCTTGTAACACAAGTATAGGCTGGTTGTGGTAACTGATGCCTATAATGTCAGCACTTTGGGAGCACAAGGTGAGAGGACTGCTAAAGGCCAAGAATTCAAGACCAGCCTGGGCAACATAGTTTTAAAAACCAAAAACATAGAGTTTAAAAAAAAAATTAGCCAGGCATTGTGATGCGCGCCTGTAGTCCCAAATACTTGGGAGGCTGAAGTAGGAAGATCGCTCGAGCCAAGGAAGTCAAGGCTGCAGTGAGCTATAATTGTGCCACTGCACTCCAGCCTGGGCATCCAAACAAGGCCTTGTATCAAAATTAATAAATAAATGAGTAAATAAAATTATAAGTGCAATGTTAACTTTATTAATTAGTTGACTTCTTTTAAAATATGATCTTCACAATTATCATCCAATCAAATTGACCCTTCTATTTTTGGTGTGCGGCTCTATATATTTTCACACATGTATAAATGCACGTGAACATCTCCGCAGTAAGCCTGAGGGAGAACTCCAGGGCACACAGAACAGCTCCATCACCCACAGAACAGCTCCATCACCCACAGAACAGCTCCATCACCCACAGAACAGCTCCATCACCCACGGAACAGCTCCATCACCCATAGAACAGCTCCATCATCCACAGAACAGCTCCATCACTGACAGAACAGCTCATCACCCACAGAACAGCTCCATCACCCATAGAACAGCTCCATCACCCATAGAACAGCTCCATCATCCACAGAACAGCTCCATCACTGACAGAACAGCTCATCACCCACAGAGCAGCTCCATCATCCACAGCACAGCTCCATCACTGACAGAACAGCTCATCACCCACAGAACAGCTCCATCACCCACAGAACAGCTCCATCACCCATAGAACAGCTCCATCACTGACAGAACAGTTTATCACCCACAGAACAGCTCCATCACTGACAGAACAGCTCCATCACCCACAAAACAGCTCATCACCCATAGAACAGCTCCATCACTGACAGAACAGCTCATCACCCACAGAACAGCTCTGTCACTTGACAGAACAGTTTATCACCCACAGAACAGCTCCATCATCCACAGAACAGCTCATCACCCATAGAACAGCTCCATCACTCGACAGAACAGTTTATCACCCACAGAATAGCTCCATCACCCACGGAACAGCTCCATCACTGGACAGAACAGCTCCATCACCCATGGAACAGCTCCATCACCCATGGAACAGCTCCATCACCCAAGGAACAGCTCCATCATCCATGGAACAGCTCCATCACCCAGAGAACAGCTTCATCACTTGACAGAACAGTTTATTACCCACAGAACAGCTCCATCACTGACAGAACAGCTCCATTACCCATAAAACAACTCATCACCCACAGAACAGCTCATCACCCACAGAACAGCTCCATCACTCGACAGAACAGCTCCATCACCCACGGAGCAGCTCCATCACCCACGGAACAGCTCCATCACCCAGAGAACAGCTCCATCACCCACGGAACAGCTCCATCACCCATGGAACAGCTCCATCACCCATAGAACAGCTCCATCACCCACGGAAGAGCTCCATCACCCCTGGAACAGCTCTATCACTCTACAGAACAGCTCCATCACCCACAGAACAGCTCCATATCCACAGAACACCTCCATCACCCACAGAACAGCTCCATCACCCACAGAACAGCTCCGTCACCCACAGAACAGCTCCATCACTGACAGAACAACTCCATCACTCACAGAACACCTCCGTCACTTTACAGAATAGCTCCATCACCCACAAAGCAGCTCCATCATCCACATAACAGCTCTATCACCCACAGAACAGCTCCATCACCCACAGAGGCAGCTCTATCACCCATAGAACATGTGGGATAGGTCACAGGGATTCACAGGTGCACAGATTTCAGTTCATTGGGAGGAATAGGTTCAAGACGTCTAATGTAGTTAATAAGGTATTGTATACTTGAAAATCACTAAGAGTAGACTTTAAGGTTCTCACCATGAACAAATGGTAAGTGTGTGAAGGAAGGCATAAGCTACTTAGCTTGATTTAGCCATTCCACAATGTATACATATTTCAAAACATCATGTTTTAAACCATACATGTATATGATTATTTGTCAACTAAAAACATAAACATTTTTAAAATAACACACACACACACACACACACACACACACACACACACACACACAGCCATCAAATGTGAACCTATCATGGGAAGGGAGAATACTCTTTCCCTAGTGTATTAAAGAACCTTCTGAACTGAGATGAGGAGGAGTTCCTCGACCTTACGGACCATGGAAATGTGCTGACGTTTTATGTCTGCCGGATCATCAGACAGTTCATAATAGGGCACCTCAGGGCACAGATGACACCACAGAGCAACCTGAGGCTTCCTCATGAATGGGGACAATGTGCGCTGCCAAAGAAAGCGTCTGCACTCACATCCCAAGAATAACAAGAAACCACACAGTGCGGCCAGTGCTTTTCAAATGTGATTCTCAGTTTCAGAAAAACTGTTTCATGTTGATTTTCAGGCCAAAATTGATTAAAGAAACCCCTGCAGTTCAGGCGCGGTGGCTCACGCCTATAATCCCAGCACTTTGGGAGGCCAAGGTAGGTGGATCACCTGAGGTCAGGAGTTCGAGACCAGCCTGGCCAACATGGTGAAACCTCATCCCTACTAAAAATACAAAAAAAAAAAAAATTAGCCAGGCATGGTGGTACACACTCTGAGTAGTTCCAGCTACTCAGAGAGGCTGAGGCAGGAGAATCACCTGAACCCAGGAGGTGGAGGTTGCAGTGAGCCAAGATCACGCCATTGCACTCCAGCCTGGGCAACAGAGGGAGACTCCATCTCAAAAAAAAGAAAAGAAAAGAAAAGAAAAAGAAAGAAACACCTGCAAATCAGAATTTTTGTTAGAGTTGACTTCCAGCCCTCTAGCTGACAGTTTCTAGAGTTTTCAGTTCTGTGAGCGAAGTTCTTTGTCGCTGCAGTGACACACAATTGCTGCACTTCCGCAAAAGCACTTCCCGAGTCTTTCTCACGGACGCTTCTCTTGTTTCCATGGAAATCCCTGCAATCTGTTTGAAAATTCAGGGTCTGTCAGTGAAACAGAATTTGTGCGGCAAACAAGGAAGGGTTTGTGTGGCCAGATCAATAGCAAGGACGGCTGGAAAAGCCCCTGGGGGTGTGCTCGGTCCCTGAGAACCTCCATGCCTGGGTTCAAGGGGCACCCTCACAGCATCTTAAAGCCTCTCCTCCACGATGTGAGACCGAGACGTCAGAGCCAGAAGGCGTTAAAAATTTTTAACTTAAATTAAGGCAAATGTACAAAACTGTTTTTCACAAATCAAATCATAAAAGTTTCATTGTGTCATCAAAGTCAGACATAGCCAGTAGAAATGGAAACTGGGGAAAACTTCCTGGAAAGCAACTTGCAAACATGCATCAGGAGTCTAAAAGAGGATACAAATGTTCTACTCTTTGACCTGAAAATTCCACTTCTAAGGAAATTATCAGACTAATGTGTAAGGATGTCTCCACGTCACTGTTCGTAGTGGTCTAGTAACTGAAGAAGCTTGCAGTATGCAATAAACTCAGTTTCAATCATGAGGAACGTCCTGTAGTCAGTTTAAATGACTTCGATTCAGAATTTTTAAAGACTGAGAAAATGGTCAGCCTATAATATTAAATGAAAATTCCCTATACAGGATCACATAGAGAACTGTGGTATACGGACAATGGTGTGAGGAAAAGGCTGGAGAGAAATCACTCATGTGTTAATACAGTCTCCAGATACAAGAATTACAGGTCATTCTTACTGTCTTTAAACGTTTTAGTGTTTTCAACAGAGAACAAGAATTAATTCCCAGGAGAAAGAGGGTAATTTTTAAACAGCATCATATATAAGTCCCTAGTCTGATAAGAGGCACAAATTGAATTTCTCTATAAGCAAGTAGTTTTCTAACATGGAAAGTATAGAGAAATCTTGGTTATGAACCAGTAGTGATCCCAGCTATATTCAGGCAAAATAAATCCTATGTGGTTCTGGACACGTTACGGCAGCTCCTCCCAGCGCAAGGCCTAGGAGACTCCCAGGTGCAAAGCTGAAACCACAGCACTGAACAGAGAAGAACAATAAGAATTCTCCCCCGTGACTAAAATCCAGTTTGGTTTTTAACAAAACCCAAGCATTTTATAACGTGAACATCACACTGTCACGAAGATACATGTCATGTCTCAAATTCCAGATATTTAATCAAGTAAAACCATCCCTATAGCTTCATGGGGTTCAAAAACCCAGAACATAATATTAATTTGCTCAACACCTAACTTGTATGTGTCCATGTGTAGTAGGACACACGTGTGTGATTCCCACAGAGATAGGACCCCGTCCACAGGCCCTCCTGCATGCGCACCTTTCCGTGGCTGGCCGTCTGCACTTAGGACACAGAGAGAGGACCCTGTCCACAGGCCGTCCTGCGTGTGCACCTTTCCGTGGGCTGGCCGTCCACACTTAGGGACATGTGCCAGCTGCACTTTCCTGAGGGAGTCTTCTCCACGAGACTTATGGGAATGACTGGCATGTGACACACAGGCATGGCACTCATCTGGCCCATCCCCATGGCTGAGGAGCTATGATAGCTTTCCTGAGACGCTGGCTGTCAGGTCCTGGACAGGGCCGTGACCCTGAATAGAAGGTTTCTGGAATGTCAACTTGACTGACAGTCATAGCTCCAGGGATGCATCGGCGTCTAAGTTCACAGGTCAGCTATACAGGCCGTTAGGAATGAGAATGAGTATTTTGGCATCAGCAGATCACGTGGACTAGTGTGCATGTCATATTTAGAAAATATGGGTATCCCTCTTTGCATGGAACCACTTCTCCCTGCCTCCTGTTGAGCTCCTAAAGACAGAGAGTTTGAAGGGTGTGTTACTGAATACCCAGAAAATTCACACCAGTGTTTGTCCCTGAGGTAACGGGAGATATAAACAGACACAGTGACGGAGAAGGCGGCAGCCACCTGCATGGAGAACAGAGCCACGCATGTGGCATCGCCACCACTGTGGGACTGTCCTGAAAGCACGTGTGATGCTGGAAGACCCTTTCCCACTTTCCGTCCATCTGCCATGCTGCCCCCGTTTCCTCCCCCAGACAGAGGCTGGGCCTGGGGATGGGCTTGGAACAGCCATTCTAACAGGGACCCAAGTCCCAGGCTGGCTCTGGGCTTCCTTAATGGGCTCTCATTTTGTGAAAGTATGAAATACTCTTTAAATGTAGAAAAGTAGAATAACTCATGGACACATTTTTACCCACTGCCCAGAATCTGTGATGTGACTGTTTTGCTCCATTCACTTCAGATGCCATTTTCATCAAAAATCCCTGAAAAGCCATGGCACGCCTACCCTGTTTTCACTCTGCCTTCCATCCGGAGTCAGCGCCCATCCTCTCTGAGAGCTCTTTGTGGTTTTACTCCCTATGTATGTTTGAAGGCCTTTCTCAGCATACAGATGTTGTCTGTACGAAGGGAGGCCGTTCATCTGCACTGAACACGCCGCATGAGCACACAGGGGCACAGGACACAGAGAGTGGTGGCAGGAGGTCAGCAGCTTCACAGTAATGAGCAGCTGCATCCGCTCCCCCAGTGAGGGGCTCATCTGTTGGTGTCACATTCCACAGGCACGCCGACCTCAGTGTCGCATTGCAGGAAAGCTACTGAAGACTGTTTCCGGACTATCCACGGTATTCAGTGTGGAAAGCCAACCTCCCTGCTACCTTTGGCCAGGTGGTGTGTTTGCTCTCAGTACTCGTTCAAGGGTTATAATGACACTTTTGAGTCGTGGGAAGGACCTGCAAATCCACACGCCATACAGGAAAACCAGCGCCGAGTCCTGGCCTCATCTCCCACACACACACACGTGCTGTTTTACAGTACAACGTTCAGATGACGCAGAAGCAGCCCTTCCCACAGCAATGGAGCACAGAGGCATTTTGTTCTGTTTCCTTCATTTCGACTGCTGTGTATTTCAAAACACGACAGCTTTGCCATGGTGGGCTTCCGCTGTGCCTGTCCTCTCACCTTCAAAACGAAGTTCACTCTTACAGGCATAAGGAGCAAGAACAGTGACCCTTGCCGCCCAGAAGTACCTTACTCTGGAGAGGACACGTTGGAGACCAGGCACTGTCCCTGCCTACAGGCGAGGCCATGCAGTGCATCGGGCAGGGGCCAGGGAGAGAAATCGGGGCTAACCCGTCACTCCTGGGGTCCCACATCGGTCACTGTGTCCAGAACCCTCAGGGCTGTGGCTGGACGCGCTGCTCAGACCCCTCCGTGCCTCCACAGAACGGCCACTTGGCCACACATCCCTGGAGGATGCAGCTCAGGGGAGCCTCATGAGGAACCGTTTCACGTTTTAAAAATACAGCTCCGCTTCTCCTGCTGCCTTCTACTTCAGGAGGATCAGTCAGGTGTATATTCAGCTGTTCAAGCTTCCTTCGGCCGGGCTCACTTCTATTTAAAGACTGTAAGTCACGCCCGCCTTCCTCCCTCCTTGGTGCTGGTTCTTTGCTAGTAGTGTTTTGCTTTGTTTTTTAAAACCGTGTGAATTTTGTGGGGGAGGTACTGTGTTTTCTGGGAGCTCCCTCAACTCTGTGACCTCACCCACGACCCTTTCCGCGTTTGCCTGGAAGTTCCCCTCTCTATGCTCAGCAGGGACCCTGAGGTTTCAGGAGCTGTCTCTCACCCTCCTCACGGTACAAGCTTGCTGGCAGCTCCTCCAGCTACCTGTTCATAATGACTGTGTCTTGTTACAAATCCTCCTGTACCAACCGCCATATCCAGCTCAACTGTACAGAAGCACTCCTGGCACTCAGGACACGCTTCCGGGACAGAAAGCGGAATGGGCCAGAGCAGGGCGGTCTGAGTGGACTTCCCCTCTTGCTGCAAAGTTCTGAGAACACACAGGGAGGCAGCGGCCTTCTGGAAGCTGCAGGGCCCCTTCTAGGCAAGCTGCCAGTGCAGGGACGGGACGCTGGTATTGGACCAGGTAGATGCTGGTCCAATAACAAGCAAAGCCAGAAACATCAGAGGCCAATCCTGTTCCGTTAAAAGGTGACCTTACAGCGAGGAACACAGATGCTTTTTACCTTCATTCATTTTTAAGGATTAAATAACTACAAAGTAATGTGACTGATTTTTACAAAAGTAAATGATGAATATTTGCACATCTGAAGGAGTGTTTCCTTTCAAGTAGATTCAAGTTGTACTCACATTTCTCTAAACATTTTAAGAACTTCACCTGTACACTGACTTGAGACCAGTTGAATAAAAGTGCACACACACACACACGAAGAACTTCTCCCTGGGAAGGATGGGCGGTAACAGCTCTCCAGTGGCCATTCTTCTGAAACACCCTTGAAGGCCAGAGCCCGGCTAGAGCAACTGATCTCACCTCTCCTCCCGTTCTAAAGGCTCCCAAAGGTGGGGCTATGCGCCACCTCCCCACCCACCCCCACAACTCCTACTTAGTACCAGACCTCGAGAACTAGGAGCGCTTGACAGTCCATCTGTTGAAAATGAATTGAGGTTATAAAGATCCTGCATGAAGAAACCCCCCCACAGAATGGCAACAGTGAACATTACTTTCTCATAAATCCACCTGCCAGACAGGATGGAGCGCAACGTGAGAAGGAACAGCGGCCGGGTGGAGTGCACCAACAAAGACGCTGCACCAGGCCAGAGCAACTGACGGCTCACGCTCGATCTTCCTCCTCCCCGCCACCAGTCCCAATCGGGGAGGCTGGCAAAACCTTTAAAATCACCCCAGAAAACTACACAGCATTTTTCAAAATAGCATCAGGGAGTTTGGGAGCTTAAACCAATCCATGGATCCATAGGGGACACGACATTTTTCAAAACAGCATCAGGGAGTTTGGGAGCTTAAACCAATCCATGGACCAGGGGACCCATGGTCACCAGCCTGCAGCCTCTGCAAGAGAGGAAAGTGCCACATCATAACTCCGGATGTCGAACACCACAGAGCAAACCCGCGATCCACATGGCGCTTTTGCAGGGACAGGGAGCTCCCTGCTGAATCTAACATCGGACAGCAAACCCACAATCCACACGGTGCTTTTGCAGGGATGGGGAGCTCCCTACTGAGTCTAACACTGCACGGCAAACACTCAACCCACACGATCCACACAGCACTTTTGCAGGGACGGTGAGCTCCCTACTGAGTCTAACACCACACAGCAAATGCACATTCCACACAGCACTTTTGCAGGGACGGCGAGCTTCCTACTGAGTCTAACACCACACAGCAAATGCACAATCCACACAGCGCCTTTGCAGGGACGGCGAGCTTCCTGCTGAGTCTAATACCGCACGGCAAACGCACAATCCACATGGCGCTTCTGCGGGGACAGCGAGCTTCCTGCTGAGTCTAACACCACACGGCAAACACACAATCGACACGGCGCTTTTGCAGGGACAGGGAGCTCCCTGCTGCAGCTGCTCACTGGTCTCAGGTGGTTACCACGCTGCCCGCTCTGCAAGCAGAGGTTGCTGGGCAGTGCTGCCTACACTCTGTCAATATCAAGTAACACACCAACATTTCCAACACTGAATTTTAGAACAGTCATTCAAGCAGCAGAAGTCCTATGACTATCGACTGAGAATGAGAATTTCTGACTTAGCTTCTCGATATAATTTAGAAGTGACAAACCAAGAGAACCGGAAGAAACAAACACTGAGAGTGAATTTGAAGCCATTTGATGAAAACTCTGAGGGAGGTATTACAGGCAGCCCCATGGAGATGTGGTTCATGGATGTACCTGGGTTTTGTCAGCATAAACGGTAAGGAGTGAGCTGAGATGAGCAGAGTGAAGGGACGTCATTCACCGGCTGCAGCGTGGCACTCATGGGATCAACATGATGGATGTGATACCACATAGACCCACTCAAGATCAATGCTAACAAGAGACTGTCGGTCCACCCTGGATGAATCCAGACGTGTCGGGATAGAAGCCCTGCCAGTCCCAGCACCAAGCACGGTGCCCACTTTCACCTTCTCTGTAAATGCAAGACAGCACCATGCTCTTACCTGACGCCGGAAAAAAGCCCCAGAGAATTCTGACTTGAGTTCTATCTTCAGACACATACAGAATTAGCACATTTTAAATAATTTGTTTTAAAAGTTTCTTTTTTAATCTAGAGGAACAAAACACTATTGATGGCAAAACAAGTTTATCATTTAAGCTCTCTGTTTAAGGCATTGGGCAAAAAGATGTCCCATGGAAAAATGGTTTCACTGAGGTTAACTAGGTGCTTTTCCATAGAGACGTGATAAAAAAAAAATCAATGCAGGTATGCAAAACACAATCATATACGTTTTCAAGTGTGTTTCAAAGTCCCCTTAACTGGAGATATAACACCAAAGACCTCCTTGAATTCAGAATAAAGAAAAACATTTACTCTCCAATGTGGCATATTTCTTTTTAATAGACAATGAGAACTTGTCCATACTCAGTGTTTCTCCTCTTGCTGTGGCTGATAGGAAGCTCATAGTTAAATCCAGGGTGCAAATGCAATGATAAACTCACTCCAGGTTATTTCCTCCACATAGTATTTTAAAAATGGGTTGAATCACCCTGCTTTATGCTTTTTTCACATTGCTAACTGAATCAATCTAAGTTAGCTCAGCATAAATCATAAATAATAAGATGAATAAGAAAATATAACATTGCATGGAATACATACTATTTTATGGATCAAAGTCACCTTTAGCTATTTAAATACAATAAGGCCATCTTAATTATGAATAAATTCTAAGATTGCTAGCATTATAAAATACATGAAGGTGTTTTTGTTCACAAAACCACAATATAAATTTGATTGCCAATCAATGTTTCCAAATAATTTAAAAGGATTTTTAAAAATCTTTAACAAGGCATCCAATTTGCTCTTGAATAAAATGTTAATGAATCATGTCAGAAATGATTTCTCTGTCCCCATGTCCCCTCTCCCTCGGCTCCTCCCTCTCGCTCTCCATACCACCCCCCAGAACAGCTCTTTTGGGAAATCTGGGTTTTGGTACTTCAGTTATTTGTGGAGAGGGTTTGATACAGACGCATACCACTTTAAATAGGACGAGGATTTAAGAGTCAGAAATTTAAGAGATTACAAATTGTAATAATATGCTTGACGAATTAGCCTACTAGGCAGATTACCAAACAGAATGACTATTAACATCAGGGGAATGAGAAAAATAAAAGCGGTCCCAAAGCGAATTAGACCTAATACTCCTTACATCATGTTCTGCAAATCCAGGTGAATATGCAAATTCAATCAGAAAAGGTTAAACGTTCTCACGTGGTTTCCTTGCTTCTGAACATGTCAGAAACAAAATAATCTGAAAAATTCATGCATATTTAACCTATGAAAGGTTAACTGAAAGTTCCCATGCATCGTGTTTTTTAAATTGTTCTACAATTCAGGGGTAGAGCCCAAAAAGTGAATAAAACTTAGCCAGTCGTTCTTTGGATTTTTTTTTTAATAATGAAGAGAAGGTAATGATTTTTACACTAAGATTAAAATCTGCAGTCTGAACAATGTTAGGTAATAATAATCATAAATCATGTGCAATGCTAAGACATTGCCAAAGCATTCTGACTCCTCTCCTTTCACCTTGGGAAGTTCATGGACAAGCACTGCCTCCATGGGGAAACTGAGTAAAGACATCACAACGCTGCCCAGCAGTGTGAGCAGGTGAGCAAAGAGCCGAGCTGGAACCACCACCGCCTCAAGCTCTATGACTTCCTGCACGCCAGCTCCACACACTCAAGAGACCAGCACTGCCAAGTCCTGATTTGGTTAACTGGAAACGCAAAACTGAGCTCACTGGACCGGGAAGACGGAATCCACTTCTGACTGGCCAGGTGCACGGCCCGAACCCGAAGGAGCCCCAGCTGCACGTGGGACAAGTCAGTGATGAGCAGCCGACTTGGCCATGTTAGTCAGACAGCATACAGATTCTAGAGACTGGATCACCTCTGCAGACTTGCCATGTTAAACCCTGAACCTGCTGATGGTGGAGCTTACGCTGGCCCCACAGCTAGCATGAACGTGAGAGTTACCCTGGCCCCACGGCACGAACGTGAGAGAAAGCATCACTTACTTGGTTTCGCGTTAGCAACCACGGCCAGGCTCTCCGGCGGGTGAACGGCAAGGTGCCTGCTGTGCTCGCCCGTGCCTGCGCTGCTGCCATACTCGATGGCGTCCACATGTCCCAGTGGAACGCTCCACTTCAGCAAGTACCTCTGGCTGCTCATCACACGGCTGTCATGAGAGGGGCTGAAACGACCAAAAGATCCTTGTTTTACGAATAATTACATGAACACGTTATGGTAATGTTCATCCCTCAGATGTTCAAGTGAGAAACTTCCCACTGCTGAATTGTAACTCTTCAGACTTTCTCACAATAGTAATTGTGCTTCTGACTTTCTTACTGAGTCCCCACTTGCTGCCATAAAGAGGCCTCGAACTGGATGAGAGAGAGTGCAGGGAAGAGCCGCACAGGGGACGGATCTCCCGGAAGCTCCGAGGTTTTCCATAAAGGCTTAACAGGAAGCAGCTCGGTGCTTGCTGATGACTCTGAGCAAAGGTGCTCGATTACCAGGAAAAGTCTCCTATGTGGATAGAGATATTCTCTGGCGGTTTCATAAGAGTTAACTCTCAAATTGCTGCTTTATTCTTTTATGGCTACACTGTAACCACTTTAATAGAATCAAATCATACCATTACACTCCATGACTAAAATATTTATCAAGTATACGGAAATTGAACCGAAAAAAAACCCTATGACTTATACAGATTATTTTCTTCTTTTATCATAAATAGAACATATACGTGAAGAAACACAAAACACATATGTACAGTCTAGTGGAAACGACCTGCGCCAACATCTGTGTAGCGGACTCCAAGGCCAAGGCTGTGACATCGCCAGCATCCCCGCAGCCCCAGGAAATCCCACCCTCCAGAATCAACCATTATTCTCACTTAGTGATCATCACGTTTTGCTTTTCTTCAAGATATTGCCGTTAAAAATCAAAGTGTGGGCCGGGCGCGGTGGCTCACGCCTGTAATCCCAGCACTTTGGGAGGCCAAGGCAGGCAGATCACAAGGTCAGGAGATTGAGACCATCCTGGCTAACACAGTGACACCCCATCTCTACTAAAAATATTTAAAAAATTAGCTGGGTGTGGTGGTGGGTGCCTGTAGTCCCAGCTACTAGGGAGGCTGAGGCAGGAGAATGGCGTGAACCCGGGAGGCAGAGCTTGCAGCGAGCTGAGATCGAGCCACAGCACTCCAGCCTGGGTGACAGAGCGAGACTCTTTCTCAAAAAAAAAAAAAAAAAAAAATCAAAGTGTGGGTAGAAATAACCAAAATGCCGGGTGCTATGCATTGGACTGAGCACCTGACTGGCTGGGAGCCCGTCTGCACCCAAGCTCTCCAGTTCCTTCTTACACCAGAGCACTCTGCCCTCCATGAGGACATCCAGTCCATACAGGAAGGGAAAGGAGGAAGAACAATTCAGACACAGTAAGAGGAAAGATGGGTTGTGTTCCGTGAATTAGACTGTGCCTCCAATTTAGAAAAACAGAAATGCCCATGAGTTCTTACCAAAATTCCGATTCCTCCTCTTTGAATGTAAAAATCTCCATCCCTACAGAGGAGGTTTAGAATCTTAATGTTCACAGGGCCGACCAAAGGGTCCTTGGGAGCTATTTGAAACAAAATGCATTCTCATCTCATCACCTTCGGGCACTGTCGCTGAAAATCTCACACTGACAACATGTCCATGGGAAAGGAATTGCGACTCACCACTGCACTTCGCAAAAAAAGAAATTCAAGCCCTGGCATCGTGGGAAAGGCAGGGGCGTTATTTTAAGGAATCCTCTAGCAGTAAGCACAGCTGAGTTACTTTTAAAGTATCCATTTTAATTCATCTTTAAAGTACACCACGTCTGGCAGCGGGAGAATTTTAAACGTACTTAAAACTGCCCAAGAGTCAAGTGTGTCCTGGCGCTCCCCAACAGCAGCCTGAGGGGTTCTGGAGCAGCAGTCAGTGTCAGACAAACATCAGTGATGAATGCGGAAAAGACTCAACAAGGACCATTATATTTGCTTAGGACTTTGCCGTTTACAAGGTCATTTCACTTCTATGATCTTGTCTCCCAGGGCAGGTGGAACAAGCATTAATGTCCCCAACTTGACACATCGTGTGGGCCAACTTGCAGGTGAGGAGCTGGGTGGATTCAGCCACAGTGGGGCCACTTCACTGAAAACTAACTTTCCAGGTGTTACATGGAGAGGGGGGTTCTGGGACAGTTAAACTTGGAAGCCATACTGTTAAGTGATAAACACCTTTAGTCTCCACACTATGGGAAGCACCTCATAACACCAGGGAAACGGGTGGAGACACCTTACTCTGCATCCTCGCAATTCTAAGCATCCTCTAGAGCAGCCCACACCTGGAGTTCTCCAGCTGCGACCTCCCACGGCCTCACTCCGTCAGCTCCTCTCCAACGCAGGGTGCAGTGGGCTTCACTTCTGCACACAGAAGGCAGGTGGCCTGCGGCTGTCGCCAGGCGTCCACAGTGAAGGCCAAGCCATGGGGTATGAGTCAAATGAACAGGGTTCTTTCTCTTACAAGAAGGAGTGTCATTAAAGACTCACATATTTTTTGGACTTATTTTGTAGCTGCCACAAAGTCACTGACGATGATGAAAAGCAACAATGAAAACCTGTCCCTCGCAGGCAGTGCCGTGTGCCAGGTGCCCTGCAGCAGCTTAATGAACGTTCTCGCCTTGATCCCTGAAGAGACCCGCAAGAGCGTACCACTGGCATTATTTTTATGATCAACCCTATTGCACGGATGAGGAGTCCGAGGCAAAGTCAGAGAGGGTAATTTTCAGAGTTCAGAGAAGGTGGATGTGCAGTTCACACTAAGGAGTCCGACTCCTGAGCGCTGACCTGCACACCCTCGCTGCCTGGGTCTCTAAGGCAAGGTGAGGAGGGCAGGCAGATATATCTGGCCGCTGGAAAATGGGGGCGACGGGCATGAAAAATAGGGCATGTTTAGTGGTGTGCTGGCAAACGTTTAACAGCTGGCTCTCACTGGGAGGACAGGCTCCTAACACATCGTGTTGGGCAAATTCCATGCTGTAAATGTTCCCGTGTGGATGACTTCAAGCTACCAAATGTTTAGCAACTGGATCTCAAAACTCTGGAAGATTCAACACTTGACTCTTGCAAGACATGACGAATTGGCACCACGTTCGCTTGCATTATTTTCTACAGCACCAGGAGTGTTATAGTTAACTTTATATCAGTTCCCTTATCATCTACCTGTATTTGAAGACCTTTTAGTTTCTCACATATCCTCATCTCACTACAATATTCCATGCATTGGAGAACGATTCTGATGTAAAACTATTTTAAGTGAAAATAACTCATTTTCTTGGTTTACAATAAATATGAATATACCCAACTTTATTATATTTAAACATTTATCAAAAATATATTTATAGAGAAGCAGGTAAAGAGAGAATTTAAACCATAAGAAAAAGAACTCTTGATTTAGGAGGGTTATGAAGAAATTCAATTGAGTTTCTAGTTCCGCCATCAGCCCTGTTTAAAGAGTATATAAACCTCTACGTACTTCTACTAACAGTGACTTGGTGACTTACACTGAATCTATTTAAAAATAAGCTTGCTTATTATAAGGGTTCCCTTAGTCACAGGACAGAGCTTTGGCACAAAAAACCAGTTCAGTCTGAGTGACAGAATTAACAAAGTCATGCATGTGCCCTTAGGCAAAGGTAACATGTGATGATGGTAGGACTACTATAGAGAATTTATGCACTTACCGTGAGCTGACGGTGGCACACATTAACACATCATTTAACATGAAGACTCGGCGTTCTTTGGTTTTAACAATCTCTCCTCTGTCGTTGTAAACTGTTTCTATCATATCATCTGATCGAATGAGGTATCGGCTTCCACTGCTGAGAAGCTGGACATTCAAAACACAGCCCAGGGACCACAGTTCAGTTTACCCGGAAAAGAAAAAGATGAGGAGAAGTCTGGTATGGAGTCTCAGGGTGACTTTTCCAAACTGAGCGCTTTACGGAAATCGTTCCTATGTTCCCCGTGACTGCGCTGAACATCCGCCTCCTTCCTCACAGACTTTCACCGCAGTTGGCCCTCCCGCGATTTAAACACTACATTAACCAGGAACGGTGAGGAATGCAAGGAATTGTTTTGTAATTTTACTTTTCCCCAAGTAAACCTAATTAAGCATAGTTAAATGACTATCTTAACTTCTTAAAGGTAGGCCATATTTTACTTCACTGAGCCAAAGCAAAACCATCAGTTCTTCAGAAAGACGCTTTGTATGAACCAAGACAATGGTATGCGATGTAGAAGTCACACTACCTTTTTTGTTTGTTTGTTCTGAGACCAAGCCTCGCTCTGTTACCCAGGCTGGAGTGCAGCCGCACAATCTCAACTCACTGCAACCTCCACCTCCTGGGTTCAATTGATTCTCGTGCCTCAGCCTCTCGAGTAGCTGGGACCACAGGTGTGCACCACCACACCCAGCTAATTTGTTTCTTTTTGTATTTTTAGTAGAGACGGGGTTTTGTCATGTTGGTTAGGCTGGTCCGGAACTCCTGACCTCACGTGATCCACCCACCTCGGCCTCCCAAAGAGCTGGGATTACAGGCGTGAGCCACTGCACCCGGCCAATACTTATAACAACTCAGCCCACAAGAAAAACAGAGTCCTCAGCCCCGGTGGTCTGTGCTGTCTTTTGATTCTAAACCTACGCTGCTGCCCAGCTCTGAGCAACCAGCGAGACACCCGCCTCCCTGAATGTCCCTGCCAAGTGCACGGGAACGATGAGGCATGTGGGTGACATTCAGTGCGAAGCATCATCCCCTCTTCCTGGGCCTCTGGGCTTGCTCCGTGCCCCATGTGTATTCGGAGGTTCAAGTGCCACAGGGAGCATGATTTTAAATAACATGAACCATGTCAAGAATATAACTGAATACAATTTGCTGCTTATAAACGTTCCTACATAAACCACTTGGAGAAATGGGGAAAATATGTGGCTTAAAGTGTATTACCATAAAGTTCGCACAGTTACATTACTGAATGTCATTGTAACGTAAGAAACTACTCCTAATGACAAAACAATGATTTGTAGCAATAATGATTTTTAGCAATAATGAATATTAGATGCAATAACTTAACACAGTTCATACAAATTACCATCTCCCTGTGAGCCAGGGCCTTCAGTGAATACGGGAAAGCCCACATAAATTCAGAGTACTGCTGCAGACAAGTAGTTATGTAAGCATCAAGCTGAAATGTAGCCTGGCAAATGAACTGCCGCCTTCTGGGTCCTGCATCTCTTTTCACGCTCAATGCAGCTTAGCCCATGCATAGGTGAAGACAAAAAATGTTTGTGAATTTTTTTTTTTTTTGAAACAGGGTTTTGCTCCATCACCCAGGCTAGAGTGCAGCACCTCAATAACAGCTCACCACAGCCTGGACCTCCCAGGCTCGAGCAATCCTCTGGCCTCAGCCTCCCACGTAGCTCAGACTATATAGGTGCATGCCACTGTGCCCAGCTATTTTTTTTTTCTTTTTTTAGATATGGGTTCTCACTATCATGCCCAGGCTGGTCTTGAACTCCTGGGTTCCAGCGATCTTCCCACCTCAGCCTCCCAAAGTGCTGGGCTTACAGGTGTGAGCCACTGTGCCTAGCCTGTAAATATTTTCAGCTTTAACTATTACTATCTGAAATTAAATACCGTTATTTTGAAAGGAAAAGTAAGCTAAAGGAGTTGCTCTTAACCCCTTGGGAGGTCCTGGATCCATTTGAGGGTCTAATGAATGTATGAATCTCTTTCCTAAGAAAATGCTGTTAAGACAGGCTGTTAAGGTTTTACATACAATTTCCACATTGGTGTGACTCTCCCGAAGGCCTCCATCCACCCCGGTTAAGAACTCTGGGCGAAGGGAATTACTCCAAACGATCCAAAAGATTAGTATTGCTGGACAACGACAGCTTATTAGCACAAAGCAAAAATAATTTTGGAATAGAGTTGAAGAAAACCTCTCTCAACCTTGTTCAGGTATCTTTCGTTTATGGCTTTGGCTATTTGCTTCACTTCACAGCGTTGATCAGCATCTCTCTTTCTTTCATTTAACTTCTCTGCTAGTGTTTCGAGCTCTGTCAGGGCCATCTGAAGAGGCAGCCTGTCGGGGTGGCCTTTGGAGGTGTTCTTCAGCATGTCCTACAAGCAACAGGGGAGAGGTGGGCAGTTACCACGTGGACACTCCCAGTGCAACAACAGTCGCGTCACCCGCCAGCTGACAATGGAAAGGAGGCAGTGGCATCTGCCATCCTGGGGAAAAATAAAGTCAGTTCTTGGGAAGGGATGATGAGCTGAGTGAGTCACGACTTGGCTGAACATCTGAACAGCTTCCTTTGCAAAAACAAAATTGAAAAAATAGCACTGTACAATAAAGGACACGCTAAATATGAACATATCACAATCTCAGAAATACTGTGCACTTGGAACGATGCTCACGATGATGATAGATTCTCCTTCTCAAGTTGAGTCAGACAGATGAACCCATGCACAGATGGGTCCAGCTACTTTCTTCAAAACACCAGTCTCCCAGTTTCCAATGTGCAGGAGTACTGTGGTGCCGAATACTGCACCCATGGTGTCAACTCACACAGCAGGATCGAGTCTCTCTCACAGTGACAAAGGAACCTGATTTTAGGGCGGCAAAGATGCATGACACTATCGTGGTGGGTCCATGTCACTAAACGTTCATCCGAACCCACCGAATGCACAGCACAAGGGTACGCCCTCCTGCGACTGTGGCCGCTGGGCAGTGGCTGCGTGGCCACGCAGGCTCCTGGTTGTCACAAATGCACTCTGGTGGAGATGTGGGGGGAGGGGGCTATGCATGTTAGGGGAGGGGTAGATGGGAAACCTCTGTACTTTCCGCTCAATTTTGCTGCGACCCTAAAATTTCTCTTAAAAAGTAGTCTTTAAAAAAAGGGAGTTGAGCTACCTCTTCTCCCAGTTAAGGTTTCAGACAAGCACGAGGAGGTCAAAGGGAGGGTATGTGGCACAAATCAACAACAACAGCCAGCAAAAAATGACGCACTGCTGCCAATCACAGGATAAACGTTAACAGGCAGTAACAAAAGGACATTTCTGTCACCTTGGTTTTATGCAGGGCCTTTTGTTTCCCAGCTTTCGTTCACATTCGACACGCTGACGTTTGCTGAAGGGGCAAACGTGAACTTGAAACACTCTTTCTCAGAATTAAATGTGGTTCTGCAATGAGATCACATGGACACAGGGAGGGGCGCATCACACACCGGGGCCTGTTGCGGGGCGGGGGGTGAGGGGAGGGAGAGCATTAAGACAAATACCTAATGCACGCGGGGCTTAAAACCTAGATGACGGGTTGCTAGGTGCAGCAGCCCACCATGGCACAGGTATACCTATGGAACAAACCTGCACATTCTGCACACATATCCCAGAACTTAGAGTGAGAAAAAAAAATGTGGTTCTGCGTCTTGCCTACCATCTTTGACATGTTTATAGGAATATTAGTAGTCATGGAATTCAACAGCGTGCTTATCTTTTTAAACCTTTTTTTAAAATCTGGAAAGGACATTGCATAAATGATTAAATGTTTCCAGTTTGTAATGAATATAAACTATTCTATACATTTGTTTTCCTATGAGTCACAACGAATTCTATCAAGGCAAAAAAGAACAATCTTAACACTAGTTCTGCACCAAACCCACACACTGGTGGTGGCACCGGGGACTAGGCGTGCGATGGAGACAGCAGCCAGCACAGGGTGGAGTCCGACATGCCGTGGGGCCACTGAGCACAGCCGGGGGCATCCGCCGGGCTGGCAGCCACCCAAGGAGGCTCAGGGAAGGAGAAAAGTGAAGTTTCTCGCTGCTGTTATTATCAGAAATTGTTACTTATCTTTGCACAACAACGGAGAGAAATAGGTAGCTGGGATAAAGACAAATGTCACAGGGCCAATGGATGTTTCTGGATCCATGGGAGAAACTGACAGTACCAGCATAGCCAGGGTGAGCCGGTTTCACTGCCTGAGCCAGGGGACAGCTGTGGCTTCACAGCACCTGTCTTAGAAAGAAGGTCTGGGAGCACTAACCAGGAAGAACGCAGGCAAGACCGGAGAGCAGAGACCAGGAGAGTCACTGGGAGGAAGGGGACAGAGGGTGTCCAGGCCTCTCCACACTGTCTCCCCATCCACCTACACTCAGCACACGGACTACGGCAGAAGGCAGGAGGGAGGGTATGTGCTTGTACCTGCTGACTCTCTGCAGCCTGTCTCCTCGCCCCATCCCGGGTGCCCTGAGTACCCACACCTGAGGTAGGGCCCCTCAGGCACATCCACACAATGACTCCAGACACAGACACCACCTTGTTTCCAACTCTGCCTCTTCCAAAGTACGTGGACCCACCCTGCTCCCCTCCGAGAACACTCTAGGATACGCCAGCGTTTCATCAAATGTGGGCAAAAAGTGTCCCTGAGGGAAACTGCTCGGCACATCTAGGATCTGCAGTTTGTTTTGTCAGATCAAGGCAAAGACCATTTTCTCCTTCAGGGGCAACAGACCCTGTGTGGGAAATTCTAAAGAGGGTCTCTCGAGGCAAGGAGGGAGGAGGACGGGGAGAGCTGTGTGCAAACTGACCTACGTAACTCTGCTGGTGACGATCTGGAAGAGCACACTGAATCTTTCTAAGTGCAAGTCTTTTGACACCCAAGTTCTTGAGTTTATTACATAACTGGAATTCTGAGTTTAAGAATGTCCTTCCTCAGAGAACTTAAATATTTAGAAGTATGTTTTCAAAAAAGAAAAGTGTACAAAATTCTTACAAGAACAGATTTGTAAACGGCGCAGTGTGTAACAGGCAGGCCATGCCCGTCCGACAGCGCACGTCTGCAGTGTTCCATCTGCTGCTTTTCCCAAAGTCCTGGCTGGCATCCTTTTGGGGTGTGGACAGTGTACTAGATTTGTGGCTAGACAACTGTGTTAGAATCCCAGCACATCTGTCGGGCTGTGTCACCATGGGAGAATCATCAGCTTCCCTAAACCTCAGTTTCCTAGAGCGTAACTCAGTTTCCTAGCGCATAAAAAAGGGACAACGACCTCCCCAGGACGGCTGAAGGTGGATGGAAACGTGGGAGCTGCTCGGGCTCCTCAAAATCCCGGTAGAGGCTTTTCCCTGCGGTTCTCTGTCCTGTTCCGTTTCCAGCAGCCCGCCCACCCCTTCTGTCTAAAAGAATGTATTTCGGAAAAAACCTAGGCAAAAATAGTTACTTACTTACTTACTTGTAGTTACTTACTTACATTTAACCAAAACCTAACAAGCTTGTTTGAAAATTATATCCAAATTTAATAAATTTAAAAAATTTAGAAAGTATTCTGATAAATCATAGAAAGCCAACAACGTGTGTGACCTCACAACACAGTCAGCACTTGCTGTCGTCCCTGGCGACCAAGAACGACCCAGGGACTCACTGGCGCATCGCTAAACACAGGGCATGTGGGCTGGTTCACCCGCCCGTATGGTTCACAGCCTGGTGACACTCTCCCAGCTGTGGCTGAATAACTAATGTCTAACAGGCGGCCTGACCCCCTTCCTCCCAAGCGCCAGACTCCCTCACACGAGGAAGCTCATTCATCACGTCTGTGGCTGCTTGCCGGAAGCCAACAGCGTCTCGCACGTATTAGAACTCAGTACATATTTGTCAGCTAAAGAAATAAAACACACTTTGAATATTTTGATCTTGGGAAAAAACAGCTTTTGTTATTAATGCTGTAATACAGGCAAACTGCACATTGTTAAAAATATAAGCCAGAGGATAAAATTAACATGAGCCATCAACCTAACCATGGAAAGAGCCCATGTCGATATTTTAGTATGTATCCTTTTTCATACTTTGATGACTACATTTATTTAAAAAGAATGTGCCATGGATTTGGTTGGTCAAAAATAAAAATAACCTCAATGGAAGGGGACTTCACACTATTTCCCAGGCGCCAGTTCATTTCTGGCGATGACTCCACCAGTTCATCTTAATCGGCTCTAATAAGCAGGCAGTCCAAGCAAAGTCCTCTGATTTAATTAGAAAAAGCAAGCTGAGCAATCATTGAAAAATCAACACAGGCAGAAACCAGCATAGACTCTCCTTTGAAATATCCTCCCTGGAGGCATGGCATTCATTTAAATAAAATGGGTGCTGAGCCCCGCAGCCTACAGGGTCACCTGGGCTCCAGGTTATGTGGGAAGGTCGGAAAACGAGCGGGCAACCACACACTGCATCAGACGTGACCTAGAGGCCGTCCGCTGTGAGACGTCACGTCAGCACTCAGAACAGGCCTACTGTTCACAGCCACAGGTATCCAATTGAGAATCCTTAGTTTAGAGAAATGAGGGTCCAGTGGACAGTGTTTTCACCATCGCAGCATCTCCCTGTCCTCGGTGATTTGCTGTTAAATCAGTGATGGGTATGTTTTGTTTAAATCTATTCTTAGCTTTCCAAGCTTGTCCATCCCCTCTGGGCACAGAGGCGAGAATCATTTTTCATGTGATCCTAGACCAGACACAGACACACTGGAGAAGGGAGCTGTGACCTGTGGGCCACTGATAACCAAGCCCCGCGGCCCCCCAGTGCTGGGGCCCTGTGAGAGCACGTGAGGCAGGCCAGGGCCCACAACACCCCTCCCCGCAGCCCATCCCCTCTGTCCCCCAAGGCTGGCCTCGCAGGCACTGGGCCCTACAGCTGCCCCCGGCGTAGGGTGACTCTCCGCAGGTCTCCACCTGCCTCTACCCTCCACCTCCTGTAACTGCCTAGAGAGGAGATGAGGAGGCCCGAGGGGCAGCCATTCCAAAGTGGAGGAACAGACGCCATTTTCAAATGAGTCATGGGCGAGCCAGAGGACTAGCTTGAGGAGGTCTCCGTGAAGCACTTACCTGGAGCAGGAGGATGAACTGTGGGAACCTCTGGATGGGCTTCATCATCAGGCTGTAGAGCGTGGTTCGATCGGGGCTGGCCTCCTGTTCCTGCTGTGGGGGAAGGCACCGGGGTCACCTCCCTGCAGGGCTGCCATGCCCTCCCTGCCCCTGGGGCCGCCTCCTCCCCACCACACTGAACACTCGGGAAAGTCAAAAGCCTGCACCTTGTCTTCAGCTACAAGAAGAAACTTGGCCAAATACCTTCCAGCCACTTTCTGCACCTGCTCTAGGGGCTTCCGCTTTGCTGCAGGGGCCCGACCTCACACGTTGGCCTCAGCTCCAGGGGTGAATTCCCCGGGCCAGGGGACTGGGCAGATTCCAGGGGCTGTCCTTGGGTGTCTGTGTTCTGGCCATAGTGGGCCCCCAGAAAAGGCTGGCAACCTCTTCCGGTGCCATGGGCAGAAAGACGTCCTGGAGGCTGACGGCTCCTCTCCCTGAGCACATCAGGGATGTGCAGTGGGGCCATTTGCTACCAAGGCTGTTGGGCAATGTTGACCTGGGGGGAGTCTCCAGGTCCCTCTGCTGAGGGGGCTGTGCAGTGGAGAGGGCAGACAGCACAGACCTGGCTGTGCCTCGGCCTCTCAGCTCACAGGGCACCCGACTCTTTGGGGCTCAGGTCCTGGAGCAATGAAATGGGATGAGAGAGTCTATCTCCCAAGGCCACGTGGCAGCCACCGAGCTGAGGAGTGGGCACTGCGGTCACGGCCACGGCTGGCATCCTTAATGGGAGTACAGCAAAATCCCCAGAGGGAGTGAGCTCTTAAGTGAGTCCATGTTTTCTTTCCCCAAAAGAAAGAGATGGTTCCCTAGCCAAAGGACAGAGGCCACAACTGTCCACAGTGGGAACTGCAATCCGATGCCTTAGGACAGAGCCCACAACTGTCGAGAGTGGGAACTGCGATCCGATGCCTTAGGACAGAGCCCACAGCTGTCCAGAGGGGGAACTGCGATCCGATGCCTTAGGACAGAGCCCACAGCTGTCCAGAGGGGGAACTGCGATCCGATCCCTTAGGACAGAGCCCACAACTGTCGAGAGTGGGAACTGCGATCCGATCCCTTAGGACAGAGCCCACAGCTGTCCAGAGGGGGAACTGCGATCCGATCCCTTAGGACAGAGCTCACAGCTGTCCAGAGTGGGAACTGCGATCCGATCCCTTAGCAAACCTCCATGGGCCACAGACTGTGCTCCAGGAGGAGCAGGAGCCGCCGTGCTGGATAAGGCAGAGGGAAAAAATTCCAGCTTCAATGACACGTTGCTGTGGGCGAGAATACTTGCCCTGTGTTCACTCGCTCCAGGTAGCAGCAGTTTCCAAGAAACAGTCCAAGTAACAAGAACACACTTTGTCCCCGGGGTTTATCATGCAAATGAGGGGCTCCACAAAGGAGACTCAGTTCCGCCGACGTCTTTGAAGGGGGTTTCAGCTTGGTTCATTGTGCAGCAAACTGTCAGAACACAGCCTCGGACACGCATCCCACGACTGGGGAAGCCCTGCCTGCCTGCTGATTAAATAACGCTAACCCACACCCATCAGGGGACGTGCTCCCCATCACTGCCAGGTCAGAGACCCCTGAGGAAGGCCATCAGTGCTGTCCTCAGCATTGGGAGGAACACAGCCTGCGTCCCCCTCGGGTAGGGCCCGCTCCAGGCTCTGACTCTCCAGGCCGGTGCCTCTCCCCGATCCCAAAGAGGCCTGGAATTGAGATGTTTAGTTTATTTGATTCCTAATACCATACCGAAGGACAGTGAGGGAAAGGTAACTTTGGGATCTGATCTTGACTTCTTTTTTGGGGATCTGATTTTAACTTTCTTTCTGTCTGTCTGCTGATACACTTTTAAGAAGGTGCAAATAAAATTGTTTTCAAAAAGCTACATTAGGACCTAAAATTCATCTTCATTTCTAGCATTAATCCAATATCTAGGGCACTATTGATACTGAAATCTTAATAACGAATAACTGCATTCAGAGTCAAGCTTTGACATGTAACTTGTTATCAGATGGTGTTAAAACCCAAATGAAAAAAAAAAGCGCTTACCTTTAAAAATTCAAGAAAAGCGGGCTTTGTGGCACATGTTTTCTTGAGGACTGCCACGGCTGTGCTGAAATTGTTCACATATTCACTGTATGCATCCAGCACCATGGACTTAGAAAACTGAAACACAGGAGGAAATTCAGAGAGAAATCACAGAGTCCAGATATCCCTTTTCCAACATAAAACAGAAGATTTGAAACTCGCCCTCAAAATACTCTTTCGGTCACTGTGATGTTTTCATAAGATAAACTTTATTATGACTGTGTGATTTTTTTTCTTTAAGCAAGCGTGTTAGGAGTTAAGTTGCTGGTTTGACCTTATTTTTTGACTCCAGAGCACTTTCTGACATCCTTGTTCAAAACCATGGTAATTTGGGTTTCAGTTAAGAATGTTCATGACTACAGACAAATAAGGATGGTGATTTTAAGTTCCTGCCAAGTCTCACTTGGTGGGTTCAACCTCCAGGCAAGAAAGTCATGCAACTCATTCCATGGTGGGCCCAATATCCTGAGAAACAGGCCTCAACCACACCCTAGAAATGGGGGCTGGGGGCGGGGGCTGATCCTGCTTCTCTGGCGTAACATACAATGCCCTACACGTGTTCGTTTTCCTAAAAGCACAAAGGTTTCTGTTAAGAGGCAGAAACATTTGCCCTTGCTATCAATATTCAAAGAGAGAAAAATCACTCCATGTTATTCTAAGAAACCGTAAGTCCTTTAGGATGGATGGCAGAGCTCTGGTGTGACTGGCATTGATAGCAGGAATGTTTTCATCAAAATTCTATTTCTTTAAAAAATCTGTTTGCATTTTTAAAAATGTTGGGAAGGTAGGTATTTAAAGAACAGTGATAAGGTTGAACCTAATATATAAAACAGCCAGAAAAAAAATCCAATAACAAAATAAATATCCAATATTTCTCTTTTTTTAAGGATCCATAAACGGTATTATGCAAATATCTTTGAAAGAATTTTGTTTCCATATTTATTCAAAGCATTTATAGACCTCATCAAGTACATATACAAACTATATAGGAAAACATTTCACGTATTATTATTATAACATTCATTTAAGAAGAGGAACACTTTTTTCAAAACTTGCAAGCTTATATCCCTTTGATAGCATCATAGTCTCAAATAATTACAGAAACCAATCTGTTTCACTCATAATCCTCTACATCTAGGTAGAATCCAACCAATATACAATAAGTATGATTCATACACGGAGTGAGGATAAAATGACTCGAAACTGCCAGTGCAGAAACCACCAGTGGTTTCCAGGCAGCTAACCCTTTCTCCTGCCAGGAAGTGTTCAGGCAAGCTGTTGCAACATCATATTCCTGTGTCACAGCATAGGGCCGAAAGCCTGTATCTACACAACAGAAGCTACAGCCAAGGGCAAAAGTTTGAGAAAACATCTAGGAATTTTCCCATCACGTGTTTTCTATTTTTCCCAGGCACAGATAATTCTGCACCCAGAAAGTGACACCTAGATCAGGAAGAGAACCTGTGTGAGGGCTTAAAAACGGCAATTTTACAACATTGCCAAACACACGGCATCCTTGTTCAACAACAAAAAGCTTCAGCAAATCGTCTAATGGGGCATCCAAGACTCGATAAAGTGCATATTGTTAAATGTCCTCAGATACAGCTTCTGTCCAGTGTCTGCCTTTCTAACGCCTTGGCCTCCCTGGTAAAGATCCATTTATCATTTCCCTAGCGCACACGCTTGGCCAGGGCATTGCAACTTCAGCCTGGCCTTTAGAGAGAACTGCACACTTGTCAGCTTGCAGGAGATCAGGGGCAAAACATCAGCCTAAGAAGGGAAGAGAGGACAGGTGCATGGAGAGCCCCATGGACATCCAGGTGTCCCAGCTTAATTACCGAAGCCACGAAGACATCGCCTATCATTTCCACGGAGTCCCACTCGGAAACGCGGCTGGCCAGCGCGATCTGAAATAGCGAGTGGCACTGCAGGATCTCTTTGACTCGGTAGAACACCGTCTTCAGCTTCCTCTCACTCAGAACCTTTGGCTCCATCTCAGACAGCGGCTTCTCATATTGCTAAGACAAAATGAGCAAAGACAGTTCAGACTTTTCTTTTTCAGAGCCTGGGTCTTGTTTTGTTGTCCAGGGTGCAGCGCAGTGGTGCGATCATGGCTCACTGCAGCCTCAAACTCCTGGGCTCAAGCCATCCTCCCACCTCAGCCTCCCAAGTAACTGGGATTATAGGCATGTTCCATGGGGGCATGGCTGCTTCAGACATTTTTCTTTTTTTTTTTTTTGAGACAGTCTCAGTCTGTCACCCGTGCTAGAGTGCAATGGCATGATCTCAGCTCACTGCAACCTCTGCCTCCCGGGTTCAAGCAATTCTCCTGCCTCAGCCTCCCGAGTAGCTGGGACCATAGGCACATACCGCCACACCCGGCTAATATTTTGTATTTTAGTAGAGATGGAGAGTCACTGTGTTGCCCAGGCTGGTCTCGAACTCCTGAGCTCAGGCAATCCACCTGACTCAGCCTCCCAAAGTGCTAGGATTACAGGGGTGAGCCACCGAGCCTGGCCCAGACATTTTTAAAGCTTAGATAAATGAATGTAAATATTCACTTACATAAATTATATTTATTTCAACATAAATCATGACTTTTGATGTCAATATACAGACATAATACTTAGATCCTTTTGAGAATTTTGCAAATTTGCATGTTATGTTTCATAAACATATATGCTTTGCATTTATGGATCAAAATGTATATAGGTAAAAAAGAATAATAGAAATGTATGTATTATGTAACACGACACTTAAGTACCTCCAAAATCCTCTTAAGAGCATCTACGTAGTTCTTTTCACTGTCGACAACTGAACCCAGTATATATCTTCTTACAACCTGTTGGAAATTTGGAAGTACAATGATAGAAAACTGCTTTATAATACACACAGATACATTTTACTTCTATGCTGAGGCTTGCTGATAAGTAACTTTTCTATTTTTAGAAAACAGTGCACAAGGGTAGCCTAATTAAATAACATTACAGGTACAAAACATACTTCGCCCCATTAATACAATTATATAATGTCTTAAACCTCAAACTATGAACTATAACTACAGCTGGGACAAAAAAAATTACAGCACTGAAAAGAAATTCCTTCATTTATGCAACGATAATATACTGAATTAACAGATTGTATTTTATGTATCCAACATTCAGGTAGATGATACTTCCTATGAATTCAGGATAAAAAATAGTTCCAGTCTTGATCAATGAATGTTATTAGCAACACTTATCTAAAATATTTATTCCAAAGTTCTAAGAAAACAAAGTTTGTGGAATGTGGAGGAATCTTTTTTTTTTTTTTTTTTTTGCAAAGATCTTTCAACCATCCAAAGATCTACCTATGAGGCCAAGAATGTGGACAGTAAATTATTCATGTCACTTAGAGGTGCAAAAAAAAAATCTCTACAATCTGACATGTTTGCAATCAAAACCTGACGTTATTTTCCATCTTGCTTTTCATCACTGAAGCACATACAATAGACTTGTGGCTGTAAGATCCCGTGAAAGGCCTATGAGGACGCCCGGCATTTCCCTCATTCTAAACACAGTCCAGCTAGTGATCATTGTACTTCCAATTTGCCAATTCATGGAAAACAGAGCAAAACAGGGCAATAGAGTTTCTCCTAAACCAGCATGCGCACTCCCGCATATGAACACACGCCCGGGCACACCACACCACACACACTCCTGTACACACCCACCCCATATATGTGCAAGATAACACACACGTGCGCGCACGGAAGCACACCACACACACACATGCACACACACGGGTACTCCAGTGTAGCATCAGGCTACCTGCAGCCCTGGATTATGCTATTTGAAGGGACTGCGTTGCCACCTAGCGGGCAAAGAGCATTTTTCACAACGGAAATTTCTCTGGTTAAAAAGATTGCAGGGCAACCAAGATTTACAAAACCTGATTAACAATGGAGAGATTACTCCTTTTAGAGAAAGGATTATTCTATTCGCAAAAGACAAAAATCAACCCTTCTAAAATACCCAAAGAAGAAACTGATGTATTAAAAAAATACTAATGTATTTAAAAAATACAGGTATCGCTGGGATTAAACACACACACACACACACACACACACACACACACACACACACACACACACAGAGCCAGAAGCTGGGAAGCTGCAGCTGCTGCTACTGACTGATTCACAGGAAACGTCAGAGCACAGAGGCTTCCCTTTCAAACGAGAGCTTAGAACCCAAAGGCCAAGCAACCCCTCCCATCATCAAACCCAGGCCAGTCTTTCTTCTGAAATTCAGATTCCCAAACACTCTCCCAAGGCTCCTGAGTCACAGTTGTGGGGGTCAAACATAAAAATGTATTTGTGTATATATACATGTAATATATATAATATGTTATATATTATACTATATATATTATTGATATGTGTACCTATATTATGTATATGTATTATTTATATGTGTATATATATTATGTATGTATATTTTTTAAAGTCCTGAGATGATACTAATATAGTATCAGGTCAAAAGATCTGGAATAGGTATAATATTAAAATACAAAAACAAAACCAATATTCTGGGTTTCATGGCTACTGCACGTGATGTCAGTCTTTCTGGCAGCTCAATCTGACACGTCAAATTATATGCCCACTAAGGGGTGGGACAGGGAGCCTCCAGTGCTCAGGAAGAGTGTCACTCTCTTCCTGAGAAGCCTGACCTAAAGTCATAGAGGAGAAATCCATCCTGAATGCAGCCCCCACAGGGAGGGTCCCTGGCATGAAGGTCATGGGGCAACTGGACAAAGCCAGGGCTGGAGGACAATCAGAGAGGCTCCTAGGCCTGAGCTGGGAGAGCTGCGGATGGTGCCTGGGCCTGGCCCAGCCTGACCTTCCTCATGTCCTCACCGGGAATGGGGACGGGACAGGATCCTCTGTCCTCCAGCATCAAGGGTACTTTCCAAGTAAAGAACGACCCTTCTTTATTTCAAAAAGAACATTTGCCTTTTTCCACCCCCAAATTAGGCATGCAAAGAATGTTTAATATACAGCATTTTAGAGTTATGTTTCCCTTAATTCAATTCTAGAGGAGAACAAGAATTAAAGAGCATCAATACCCCCCATTTAACCACTCAAGAGAAAACTCTCATGGACAACACATTTGGCAGGAGGAAAACAAAATCGATGTGAATCATGACTACAATAAAGAAAGCTGCATGAAAGAATGCAGAAATCCTAAATACTGCTAAGTTTCTAATCGTAATCCCAGCTATCATCTCATTGAAAGTGACGGCACTGTGCTAACACAACACAGAGACCTTGCTATACAGGACTTCACTGAACCATTACGGTGGGATAAGCAAGATGGAAATAGACATTAAAATCCACCCTTCAAAGAAAAGGAAAACTGAACTTCAGAAATTAACTACTAGACAAAAGTAACTGAGATAATCAGAGCAAAAAACAGAATTTCATCCAGGTCTGTGAGACTAATTTGGGAAGCTTAAACCCTTTACAGAAACCATAAAACAATGAACAGTCACTGCCAATTCGCTGAGCAAATCCACCAAAATCAGTACCCAACAGACAGGCCCTTGGAAAAGTGCCATACAACAAAAAGGTCAAACCTCTTTCCTCTGATATGTGCACACACCCCTACCAATCACTACTCACTCTCTCTTCACAGAACCTCGACTCTTACCCAGTGACACCCCACGGACCCCGTGACCCACTCAGTGTCTCCTCACAGACCCCTCACACCCCACTTAGTGTCTCCTCACAACCCTCACTGCACTCAGTGTCTCTTCATAACCTTCGCCAAACTCAGTGTCTCCTCACAGACCCTTACACACTCAGTGACTCCTCAAAACTCTCACCCCACTCAGTGTCTCCTCAGAGACCCGTCTCGCCCCACTCAGAATCTCCTCACAACCCTCACCCCACTCAGTGTCTCCTCACAACACTCACCCCACTCACTGTCTCCTCACAACCTCAACCCATTCAGTGTCTTCTCACAACCCTCACCCAATTCAGTGTCTCCTCACAGACTCCTCACCCAACTCAGTGTATCCTCACAACTCTCACCCCACTCAGTATCTGCTCACAACCCTCACCCCATCAGTGTCTCCTCAGAACCCTCACCCCACTCAATGTCTCCTCACAATCCACAACCCTCAGTGCCTCCTCACAAACCCTCACCCCACTCAGTGTCTCTTCACAACCCTCACCCTATTCAGTGTCTCCTCACAAACCCTCACCCCACTCAGTGTCTCCTCACAAACCCTCACCCCACTCCGTTTTCTCACAACTCACACGGCACTCGGTGACTCCTCACAGACCCCTCACACCACACTCGGTGTCTCCGCACAGACTCCTTACCCCACTCAGTGTCTCAATACCCCTCACCGCACTCAGTGTCTCCTCACAGATTGCTCACATCACTCAGTGTCTCCTCACATACCCCTCCCCCACTCAGTGTCTCCTCACAACCCTCGCCCCACTCACTGCCTCCTAACAAAGTTCACCCCATGCAGTGTCTCCTCACAAACCCTCACCACACTCAGTGTCTCCTCACAAACCTCACCCCACCTAGTGTCTTCTCACAAACCCTCCTCCCATGAAGTGTCTGCTCACAACCCTCACCCCACTCAGTGTCTCCTCACAACCCTCATCCCACTCAATGTCTCCTCGCAACCCTCACTCCACTCAGGGTCTCCTCACAAACCTTCACCCCACTGTTTCCTCACGACCCTCACCCCACTCCGAGTTTTCTCACAACTCACACCACACTCCATGACTCCTCACAGACCCCTCACCCACACTCAGTGTCTCCTCACAAACCCCTCACCCCACTCAGTGTCTCCACACAGACTCCTTACCCTACTCAGTGTCTCCTCAATACCCCTCACCCCACTCAGTGTCTCCTCACAGACCCCTCACCCCACTCAGTGTCTCCTCACAGACCCCTCACCCCACTCAGTGTCTCCTCACAGACCCCTCACCCCACTCAGTGTCTCCTCACAGATGCCTCACATCACTGTCTCCTCACATACCCCTCACCCCACTCAGTGTCTCCTCACAACTCTTACCCACTCAGTGTCTCCTAAGAAAGCTCACCCCATGCAGTATCTCCTCACAAACCCTCACCACATTCAGTGTCTCCTCACACCTCTCATCCCACTCAATGTCTCCTCACAACCCTCACCCCATTCAGTGTCTCCTAATAAACCTCACCCCACGCTCTCCTCACAACCCCCCAACTCAGCGTCTCCTCACAACCCTCACCCCACTCACAGTGTCTCCTCACAGACCCCTCACACCCCACTCAGTGTCTCCTCACGGACCCCTCACCCCAATCACTGTCTCCTCATGACCCGCACCCCACTCCATGTTTCCTCACAACTCTCACTGCACTCCGTGACTCCTTGTAGACCCCTCACACCTCAGTGTCTCCTCGCAGACCCCTCACCCCACTCAGTGTCTCGTCACAGACCCCTCACCCCACTGTCTCCTCACAACCCTCACCCAACTCAGTGTCTCCTCATAACTCTCACCCCACTCAGTGTCTCCTCACAAACCTCACCCTATTCAGTGTCTCCTCATAACTCTCACCCCACTCAGTGTCTCCTCACAATACTCACCCCACTCAGTGTCTCCTCACAAACCTCACCCTATTCAGTGTCTCCTCACAAACCTCACCCTATTCAGTGTCTCCTCACAAACCTCACCCTATTCAGTGTCTCCTCACAAACCCTCACCCAACTCAGTGTTTCCTCAGGACCCTTACCACACTCTGTGTTTCCTCACAAACCTCACCACACTCAGTGACACCTCACAGACCCCTCACACCCCACTCAGTGTCTCCCCATACCTCACCCCACTCAGCGTCTCCTCACAGACCCCTCACCCCACTCAGTATCTCCACAGACTTCTTACCCCACTCAGTGTCTCCTCAATACCCCTCACCCCACTCAGTGCCTCCTCACAGCCCTCCACACTCAGTGTCTCCTCACAACTCTCACCCCACTGTCTCCTCAAAACTATCACCTCAGTATCTCCTCACAACCCTCACCCCACTCAGTGTCTCCTCACAGTCAACATCCCACTCAGCATATCCTCACAAACCCTCACCCCACCCCTCCTCAGAACCTACAGCCCCACTCAGCATCTCCTCGCAACCCTCACCACACTCACTGTCTCCTCGCAACCCTCGCCCCACTAAGTGTCTCCTCGCAAACCCTCACCCCACTCACTGTCTCCTCGCAACCCTCGCCCCACTAAGTGTCTCCTCGCAAACCCTCACCCCACTAAGTGTCTCCTCAAAACATTCACCCTACCTAGTGTCTCCTCATAAACCCTCATCCCACTCACTGTCTCCTAACAACCCTCACCCTACTCAGTGCCTCCTAACAAAGCTCACCCCACTCACTGTCTCTTCACAACTCTCACCCCACTCACAGTGTCTCATCACAGACCCCTCACCCCAATCACTGTCTCCTGATGACCCGCACCCCACTCCGTGTTTCCTTGCAACTCTCACGGCACTTGGTGACTCCCCACAGACCCCTCACATCCCACTCAGTGTCTCCTCAGAACTTTCACCTCTCCTCAGCATCTCCCCACAACCCTTACTCCACTCACTGTCTCATCACAACCCTCACCCCACTCCGTGTCTCCTCAAAACCCTCATCCCATCTAGCGTCTTCTCACAAACCCTCATCCCACTCACTGTCTCCTCACAGACCCCTCACATTGCACTCAGTGTCTCCTCACAGACTCTCAGCTCACTCACAGTCTCCTCACAACCCTCACCTGCTCAGGGACTTCTCACAGACCCCTCACCTCACTCAGTCTCCTCACAGACTCCTCACCCAACTCAGTGTTTCCTCACGTATCCCTCACCCCACTCAGGGTCTCCTCACAGACCCCTCACACCCCACTCAGTGTCTCCTCACAGACCCCTCACACCCCACTCAGTATCTCCTCACAGACCCCTCACACCCCACTCAGGGTCTGGCATCGCCTCTTTCACACTCACCCCCGCATCCTGCCCACTGGTCTTCAGCTCAGGCCGCTGTCTTGGCTTGGGCCATGTGTCCTCAAGGTCTCCTGACTCTTCTGGTCCTGAGTCACTCACACTCCTGTTATGATTCCTGTTTAGTCCCTCATCTGCTAGGAAGCATTTCCCCTGTGCTTTTCCCTTCTTTTGCTATTTTTGGTTTTCGGCTTCATCGCTACAGTAAGTTCTCAGAGTGCAGGATCCAAGTTCCTCTCACATGGTGTGTCCTCACCAGAATAGGTACCCCACATGCAGTGAGGGCCCCAGATAGTAGAGGACTGGCCAGCGTGTCATCCTATTGAGCGCCTCATAGGACTGGCAAGAAGGTGTTCAGCCATGAACCCCTTTTATAACTCCTGAGCATGAAGTGAGGTGGGTGAGCTGGACAGCATGCACAGGAGAAAGCGCTAGATCCTCTGTTCCTGGTAAAGGCTGTCAACCACCCCCCTGGACGTGTGGCAGCCCAGATCACATGGCCCCAGTGAGCACAGACAGGTTAGGAGCAGGCTGCGATGGGAGAGACTGAGATCAGACACGACCCCTTCCTCGCATAGCTGGAGGATGCAGTTCTGATGATCAGCCTCCTCCGAGTCCAGGCTTCCTTACAGAGTACACAAGGATGGCAACGGGATTTGCAAGGATGAAATGCAGTGAAACACACCAGGGACCGGGCACGGGGCCTGCACAGAGCATGCACACCCATGAGTGACAGCTCCTCAACAACTGTCTCCAAGCTCTGTTGACACTCCATCCCGTCACTCGTGTGATGCTGCTGACAAAACTAATACTTCAGTCATCGCTGTTCAATTCCACTGAAATGTAAGCTTCCTATTTCAGCCTGGTCAATTATGAACAGCTCGCAGGTATCCCTTTTCATCTCTTTTTAAACCTGGCCAGTCACTAAGCATTTCTGTGTTGTTTGTCTTTAATCTGACAATGCTCTCTCTTGCTCTATCTGCCTACCTGTATCAGGGATCTCCCCAGATCCGTGGATTACACATATGTCTGCCTATCCATCCTGGTGTCCATGATTTGCACCTCGCTGCCCATGTGGGAAACAACTCCCATCATCCCAAAGTATCAGCCCCTGCTGCTAAAGGCCTGCAAACTTGGTGCTGTCACTCTGGTTCCTCAAGTTTTCTCTTCCTTTTACCCTAAGACAATCCAATGAAAACCACTGATTTTTTCCCTTCTGCTACTGAGTATCAGATTTTTAAGAAATGCATTATATTCAGATTTAATTAGTTACTGAAAATCTGTCATTTTCATCTCAGTCTCAGGTAGCTACATACACATACTGACCATACAAACCCACACTCTGTCTCTGTGAAAGTAAAAACTGTGTGACTGACTCCCACGAAGAATGCAAGTTCCTCCCCTTTCTCACAGCTACACTCAGGGGCAGGGGTGCTGTCCAAAATATTTAAGGACCAGAAGGGCCTGAGTCCAGGCCACAGCTGCTGACCAGCGTCCCCCCAGACCCTTGCTGAGCCCAGCAGTAAGCCTCTAAGTGCTGGGCCAGGAACCTACAGTGGAGGGCCCGAGTGGATGCAGAGTTTGAGACAGCAAATATTTACCAACCAGCATCAAACACACAAATATTTAAAAACTAGCACAGCTCTGCTGGTCAACAGCCCCTGTCAGCTCTGCTCATCTCACCTGCTGCTGAGATAAACCCTCGGGCATCGGGGTCAAGATGGCTTCCGGGTGCTTGCAGTCAACATCAATGAACAAATTCTGTTCTTCCTCAAGAGAAGATCTGTGATCTTAAAAAAAAAGTCAAAATGCATGAATTTTACATTCAAATAATATATTCACAACACTACAGTACAGTAAAAAAAAGTCAAATAAATATTTTGTGTAGACCTTTCAATTTTCCATGCTTACTTGACACCCAGCTATTATTAAGTTGAATTTTTAACAAATCCAATAAAATATTCTTTCCAGAGGGTAATACAATATTTGTCTGTATTTAAAATTTTCAGTATTTAAAGTTTAACTTCAAAAAGGAGAAGTGCCATTTGAATAGCTAGATAGCAAAGTGGCAATATTTTGGAATCTTAGTGTTTTAGAATATTTCCTAAATTAAATATTTTAGTTTCTTAATCTATAAAATATCACAATCAGAAACAAGGAAACACAGCTAAGAATGGCTAAGAACAGTCATTGAAAACTGAGGTGAGTCAAAAGTCATTGAAAACTGAGGTGGCACTTAGTATATTTCTTCTGTCTCTCTCACTGGATGCCTTAAGAAGCACAGCTTTCCAAAACTCAAAACAGTTTAAACAAAAACTAAATTCACAGTTGGGTGGGGTGGCTCACTCCCCTAATCCCAGCACTTTGGGAGACCGAGATGGTAGAATCGCTTGAGCCTAGGAGCTCAAGACCAGCCTGGGCAACATAGCAAGACTCCATCTCTACAAAAAATTTAAAAATTAGCCAGGCATGGTTGTGAGCACCTGTACTCCCAGCTAGTGAGGAGGCTGAGGCAGGAGGATCGCCTGAACCCAGGAGGTGGAGGCTGCAGTGAGCTGTGGTCGTGCCACTGCACTCCAGCCTGGGCGACAGAGTGAGACCCTGTCTCTAAAAAACAAGAAAACGCCTACATTCATTTTTTTAAAACACAGCTAACTACATTAAAGCATCCACAAAATGGCTGGAAATCAGAAAAGCACAGGCACTTTTAGATGATAGAAACCTGAGTTTTTCTAGTTCAAAGATCCCAAACCCTGGCTGCACAGAAACATCTATCTAAGGGGCTTTAAAACCTACTGATGCCCAGACTTTTCCCTCAGAGATCAACGGATCAGCCAGGGAAGGAGGGCCTGGCACCAGCCTGTTTTAAAAGCTTTCTAGTTAATTCTTAGGTACAACCAGGACGAAGAACGAAATTCTGTCCAAGCCTCTCATTTTATGGCTTAGGAAACTCGGGTTGGGAGGTTAGGGATTTGCCCTTTTTTTTTTTTTTCTTGAGATGGACTCTTGCTCTGTCGCCCAGGCTGGAGTGCAGTGGCGCAATCTCGGCTCACTGCAAGCTCCGCCTCCCGGGTTCACGCCATTCTCCTGCCTCAGCCTCCTGAGTAGCTGGGACTACAGGCACCCGCCACCACGCCCAGCTAATTTTTTTTTGTATTTTTAGTAGAGACGGGGTTTCACCGTGTTAGCCAGGATGGTCTTGATCTCCTGACCTCGTGATCTGCCCGCCTCGGCCTCCAAAAATGCTGGGATTACAGGCATGAGCCACCGTGCCCGGCCAAGGATTTGCCTATTAAACTGCCGCATCTCTACAACTGACCCGCAAAAGAGTACCCCTAAACCAGAGACAAAGCATGACCTGCTCCCAGGGGCTGACTCCGGGCTTCTCAGACTGTCCCACACACCCAGTCCCGGGGGACTCTGCCAGCCTGCAAATCCTGGCTCAGGGGCCTGGCATGGGCTCCAGGTGGGCAGTTGTGATCAGCTCCTGGAATCTGGGCTCCAGTTGGGGGGTTGCTGCTGGTGGCAGACACACTCCTTGAGGCAGTGAATGTGGCCCCAAATCCCAACTCCTCACTGGACAGAGCTGCCTGTGCTTTCCAGGGGCTGTGTAATATGGCCACCTCCTCAAAGGCTGTCCTTTGCTGCCCTGAGCACCTCATGGCACCTCATCAGGGCATGATACTACTGCACATTTTATTAGAATGCACCTGCCCGTCTCCATCACCAAATAAACCCCTCGGGGATGCTGACAGCTTACCCCCACCTTGTCTGAGATGCCGAGGGCTTCATTAGGACTGAAAGAGGAAAAGGCCTCCTGAGTTACACCATGTCATACCAATTACACATCGTATCCGAGGCCGTTCCTTGAGGGACAACGTGACTGCAAAGTCCCTTCCAAGTACAGATATTAGCAAATGCTACCCACGTCCTAGCACCAGACAGGCACATTAGAAAGCTGGAGAAACAACCAGGAAATGCCAGGTCAGAGTCACAGCGACCCCTGTATGACAGTGAAGTCTCAGTCACCCTCCCGTAACTCGACCTTAGGACATCCGTGCACAAAGGCTCCGAGAAGTCTCCTCGGACGGTAAATGACCCCAGCCTGCTGCTTGTTGCCGCCGTGCACGACACCTCCACACCACCTGCCTTTTCCACACATAACTGCACAGACCACTGCGCCTTCGTTAGATGTTTAGAAAAACCTGGAACTTCAGCTGTCTACTCCAAATCTCCCCTCACCAAGGAAAAGATTCCTGAAATGCCAGTTCAGGACGCTCACGACCTCAGTCCCTGCGGGACCATGCCCAGGAGGGCCAATGTGCTATAAATACAGAGTCCAATACTAAGAATCCACAGTGACAGAGGCCCCTGCACAGCCCTTCCTATGTCCAGCCAGTGATTCTCAATGATTCTCAATGATTCTCTGCTGCTGGGTGCCCTCGGTCTAAAACGCCACCCCTGCAGGACGGGGAGGCTGGGGTCAGCAGGGCTGATTCAGACCCAAGCACTGAGCAGGCTGGTGCTCCCTAAGGCTGTGGGAGCCTGCGCGGCCGCCCCCCACCCCGAGTCCTCCCCACAAGATGTGGCCGCCCCCCCCAACCCCGTGTCCTCCCCGCAAGAAGACCTGCAGGCACGGACCCTGTGCGATGAGAGACTTGGTCCTGATGAAGGAGCGGCCCCTCTTCACGGCTGCCCTGGTCCTCTCCAGCCCGTCCTTGGTGCCGTCCTTCGCGGCCTTCACGAGCTTCTGCATCTGCGACGGAGAGGGAGATGTGAGAACGGGACGGCGGCAGAACCCACCTGCGACTTTCATTTGCCTGTTTTAAAAGAATACTGTCAAGTAGTCTGGTTCTTGTGAGCGCATGTGTCACGTGCAGTTCTGGGCTAGGTTTTGTTTTGGTTTTGTTTGTTGGAAAAAAGGAAAAAACAGACCTTAAAAATACAGCCCTTCCTGGACATGGTGAAACATGTTCCCTGCCCCATTTATGGTATTATATGTGATCCACTCACACAAAGAGCTACGTGGGGGTCACAGGTGAGTCACTAACATGCACAAATGTCAAACAACTCGCCTCGAATTAAATGGCAAAACAACTAACTGCAGACGCTCACAGCTCCAGTTCAGCCTTTTAACCTCCCCGGGGCTTCCCACTGCACCCCATGTGGGGGCATGGCCAGCTGTTGACAGGGCCGCCTCACACGCATGGTTACACGGACCCAGCTCCAGCCACGGGGCTGAATGCAAGACCCTGGCAAATGCTGCAGACACGCACGGGACACACCTGAGGGAGGGTCGGGGTGCAGCACGCTGCGGATGTCAGACTCGGAAGCCATGTCCCCCTGGCCTGGGGCTCCCTGCCTCCACTTCCTCGGCCAGAGCTGTGCTGGACACTCACGGCTGCCTAGACTCAGGGGCGTCTGAGGCGTCTCCTGCCATCTGATTTCTTATTCCTTAAAAACCCAACATCTGAGGTACTGGCCACTGGACGCTGAGTGATTTCGTCTTTAAAAGATGATCTCTTATGGGACAACCGATGTCCCCATCCCAGGGACCTCTCAAAGGGACCAGCAGTGCAGCTGAGAACCAGGCTCTCCTCATCTGGGTCACACCACCGCGTGAGGAGCAGGGCTGCTGGGCACCAGCGTGCAGACAGCGTCGCTGTAGCCCTGGCCGTGTCTGCCTGCCCTGGACTTCCAAACGCCTGAGGGCTGCCTTCCTGAAGCGTTCACCATGAACACCACACAACACGCACGGCCTCACACCCGCGTCGCCTGCCCCAGCCCATCTCCATCACTTGCAATGCTGTCCCCCATCCCCCGGGGGCTCCCCTGCTCCTGCATCTCCCAACCCCACATGGGACCATGTCCTGCTGCCATTTCCTTGGCCCCTGCACCCATGTCCCCTGCCTCCCGCCCGATGCCGCAGACAGCCCTGCCCGCCTGCGCGTTTCCGTCCTGCACAGCCTGTCTACATCCTGCTCTTTCTCAACCCCAGATTTGGGCTGTGAACCCTTGGTTTTCAGCCAGCGCCGTTCAGGGTCCCCGGACAGAGTATCAGAGAACTGCAAACTGACAAACTGGAGGGCCGCCATGCTCCCTGAGCCCCAGAGCAGGTGAGACCCCGGGTTCCAGGTCACAGCCTCGGCCAGGACTCCCGGATCTCAGGGCTGACACAGGGGTGTTCTCACCAGGGGAAGCGAGCGTGCTGGGCCCAGCCCTGGCTGCCTCCCCAGCCTTCCTTTCCCACTTCCCACAGTGCCCTCACCTGCTTCAGCCAGGGCACTCCCCGTGTCTGTGAAAACCTCCAAATGTAGCTCACACACCCCTCCCATGGTTCTGATGGCGCCCTCCACTCCTCAGAAACCCCGCCACACTGCCTGCAGCCTCCGGCAGGTCCCATCAGACACCCTGCAGGGGAGCCAGCCAGATGCTGCATGTGAGGGGGTAACGCGGCTCCCAGGGGGCGGCTGTGGCTGTGGCTTCTGATGGCCCAAGCACAACAGGGCGGATGAGCCGGCTGCTCCAGAAGCTGTGTGGAGTGCACATCCCTTTCCAGTGAGTGCCATTCAACACATATGAATGATCACAAAATACCAGCAGGATAAAAGGTCCAATTGCAGGAAACAGTACTTGACAGTGCCCTTTTAAAAGACATCGCTCAGAACAGACTGTCACGACACTCAGGTCCGGCAGTTCTCAAGCATTCCGGTCTCAGGGGCCCTGGACGCTCTTAAAAATTATGGAGAGCCCAAATGGCTTTTGTTTACCAGGGTTTTATGTATCAATATTTACTGCATTTGAAGTTAAAACGCTGAAAAATTTTGGATATTTTTATAAATGTTCATTTAAAAAATAATCAACCTATTACATGTTATCTTAAATAACATTGATGAAAAATTGCTGTATTTTCCAAAACAAACAGAAAGTGGCATTGTGCGTTTCTGGAAACCCCTCTCTAGTAGACAGCCAGATGGCATTCCGCCAGCGGTGAGGCCACAGCTGTGGAGCCTCCAGAATGTTCCTGGGTTCCCCGTAAGAGGGAGACAGTGAAAGGCACAGAGCGTCTCAGAGTCCACGTGAGCCCCAAAGCGTCGGGGGATTCCAGGAGCCCCGGACCACCCTTTGAGAACCGCTGTTGAGACAGCAAGGACCGACCGAGCCGCGCGGTTTTTCTTTACTGCCCGGCTGGCAAGTGGGGGCAGCGGCCGGGGGCAAGACTCTACCTTCAGTTCATGCTTCTGCCTGAGCTGCTGAATCTCCACCACGCCCACCGTGCTTGCCATCAAATCTCTCATCTTTTTCTCATAGTGCTCCTTTAAACGGGTTAGGTCATGAGAAAGCTACAGCATAAAGAGACACAGTCTTTTCACAAAAAGGCTCTTTTTGGTTCTTTGGGACAATTTTACATTGAGAGGATGCTGGCAGCGTCTGCAGTGGCACATCAGGCCTGTCCTGGCTGGGGGCTTCTGGGACCACACGCGAGAGTCCCCATTACTAGCCCAGTTGGTCCTTGAGAGATAAATGCACAAATAGTTGGCTGGGCGCAGTGGCTCACCCCTGTAATCCCAGCACTTTAGGAGGCGGAGGTGGGAGGATCAATTGAGCTCAGGAGTTCAAGACCAGCCTGGGCAACGTGGTGAAACCCTGTCTCTATTAAAATTACAAAAATTAGCCAGGTAGGGTGGTGCGCGCCTGTGATCCTAGCTACTTAGGAGGCTGAGGTGGGCGAATTGCTTGAGCCTGGGAAGTGGAGGCTGCAGTGAGCCGTGATGGTGCCACTGCCCTCCAGCCTGGCAGACAGAGTAAGACCCTGTCTCCAAAAAAAAAAAAGAGAGATAAATGCAGAAATGAGCTAAACATGGCATCAAAAGACAGACACTATCCAGACACCAGGCTAGGGTCTTCTCTGTGCTAGACAGGAGCAAATGCACGCACACAAAATATCTGTGAAATCATTCGTTTACATTTTGGTGGAATAAAAATTATCCAATAAATAAAAATACATAAAATCATTTTTTATGTTGGCATCCAAGCAAAAGATACTTGTATTTAAACTATACTGAAAGTGACATATTTTGGGGATGGCAGCACGGATTTTCAAGGGTCTCCAACCTGAGATCACTTTCTCTCTAACTGACGGGACTGGGGACCCCCTGGATCCTTCTCCGTGTGGTCACAGACACTTCAGATGCACGTGGCTGAGGCCCCACTGGCTCGTCTCGGGGCATTTCTCATGTCACAGACACTTTAGGAAGTTTTTAACAAAATTCGAGATTTTTTGAGATGACTTTTGAACAACATATAGTTTTATTTTGGTCGTTTTTAAAATGTGACCCTTTGAACGAGAAAACTTGGTGCTGCCTGCAGCACTTCCATCCTGGACAGGCCTAACACACGGGCGCCCTGTCTGCACCCCACACAGTATTCCCACCCCCGGTCCAGGCCACTGTCCTGGCAACATGGACGTGTAGGAGAGGCTGGAAATGCAGAGCCCAGCGCTCCCGGGTTGTAATTCTGCACCACAAACCCACTGTGTGCTGGCTTTCCCCAGCTCCTTCGCCCAGCAGGGAGGGCTGCTGAACCACTGGCACTGCCCAGACAGTCAAGGGCTCCTCTGGGATACGGGCCCGCTCCAAAGCAAGGGCAGGGTCTCCTGAATTACTACCAAGGAGTGACTACTAATGCCTCTCGGCTCCTCAGTGGCCTGGCCCCTCTGTCCACAGCCCACCATGAAGGCGAAACTGAAGAGCATTTAACCCACGCTCCGAGGCACACACCGAGCCTCCATCTGTGATGTCAGAGCCCAGCACTCTTCTTAAATCTCAGTTTAAATCAAGTGTCTGACTCAGCTACAGCAAGCGAAATATCACCTCAGTTATCAGCTGTTAAAAACTACAATTGCAGGCCGGGTGCAGTGGCTCATGCCTGTAATCCCAGCACTTTGGAGGGCTGAGGCAGGCAGATCACGAGGTCAGGAGTTCGAGACCAGCCTGGCCAATATGGTGAAACCCCGTCTCTACTAAAAATACAAAAATTAGCTGGTAGTGGAAGGTGCCTATAATCCCAGCTACTTGAGAGGCTGAGGCAGGAGAATTACTTGAATCTGGGAAGTGGAGGTTGCAGTGAGCCGAGATCACGCCATTGTACTTCAGCCTGAGCGACAGGCAAGACTCCATTTCAAAGAAAAAAAAAACCCGAAAAACTACAATTGCAGCTTCATCGGTTGTTTAAATCGCAGTTGTAATGATGACGGTGGCAGAAAAGATCTAATTCCTGGAAGAACTTGTGAATGAAACTGGGTAGGTGAGCTGACTGCCAAGATCTAGTAGATTCTCCTTGAGTTTCACGAGCCAGGTTCACAGAATATGAGAATTGTAGGCAGCCCATAATCACTTGTAAACCATAGGGACGTGGCAGCTAGGTCCAGGAATGAAATCTCCGCTTACTGGGGGTTACTAGGGGACCGGAGGGATAACACCGGTTATCGACAACTGTCACTATGGCGGGCATCCGTTCACCATCTCTATCAGTAACACGGGACTCGCCAGCCTCAGACAAGGACTGCGTGTGGCTTCCATCTCAGCCTCACACAGAAAGTACACAGACATCACTGTAGATGAGCACAAATCTATCCTTTTACAAACAGTCAAAAAAAACTCTAACAAAACACCGGTGGCACGGCCTGGCACCACCGAGACCTGGGAGGTGCCTCAGCTGAATGGTTCCTGGGTTCCATGACTCACAACCACCCAATTCCAGAATTCACGCCTTACAGCTCTGACATCCCACCTCACACCCTAATCTCAAGACTTTTCCACAAAAAAAGTAAAATAAAAATTCCCTGTAAGAAAGGATCATCCGGCTGGGTGTGGTGGTTCACACCTGCAATCCCAGCACTTTGGGAGGCCGAGGTGGGCAGATCACCTGAGGTCAGGGATTCGAGACTAGCCTGGCCAACATAGGGAAACCCCATCTCTAATAAAAATACGAAAATTAGCTAGGAGTCATGGCAGGCACCTGTAATCCCAGCTACTTGGGAGGCTGAGGCAAGAGAATGGCTTAAACCTGGGAGGCAGAGATTGCAGTGAGCTGAGATTGCGCCATTGCACTCCAGCCTGGGAGACAGAACGAGACTCCATCTCAAAAAAAAGAAAAAGAAAAAAGAAAGGATTGTCACAGGTCAGTTTAGAAGCTTTTGTCCCTTAACATCTTCTATTTTTACGTCTTCCTTTTCATGCTGAACATGCTAAAGTTGAAACCTCACTTAAAGCAAAGTGCAGATGTGCTGTGTCTTAGGGAACCCCGATCCCATCTATTCAGTGTTCCGCAAACGGTGCTACGTGCAAAGCACATAATACATTAAAACACAAGCAATTCAGAGAATAACTACTTTCTTATTCAAGGTGGTGAGCTCATTTAAGACCTTTTAAGTGGATTATAGAAGCTTAATTTCTCCATCTTTCCATGACGATACTTAACTATATGAAACAAGACACGTCTTCTCCTTTGCCAATATCTTATGCTTTCCCCAAACTACTTATCAGCATCTTAACAAATCACTATGAAGTACTAGGTGGATCACAATCATATTCACAGCCCCCTGTCCGTGTTAACGCGAGAGAACCATCCCTCACATGTGCAGGGAACACGTACTTGCTTTTTGTGGTTGCTGCGCAGGAAGGACCTGGGAATCCCATTCTTGCACTCCGAGTCACTCTGCTCTTCGTAACTTTCAAATTCACTCGAACTCCATCCGTATTCCAAGGAGCTGTTTCCACCTTCATCCCCATTCTCAACATCATCATAAATCATTTCATCTGAGTGCATAAATTCCAAAATGAAATTAAAACTTTAGAATTCCATGTGGGCTGTTTTGTGCCTGTTTGTGGTTTTACCAAATCATCTAGAGCTGGGGGTGGAAGGAAATCTGAATCATGCTGAGGACCCTGCGGAGCCCCGGGCTTGCTCCATGGAAGGCACCGTGCAGCGCCTCCACCACCCGGGCAGGGCCGGGGAGGCTGGGGAAAAGCACTTCAGGTGTTTCTCACAAGTGCCCCTGCCCCATCTGTACCCCGAGGACCACCTGGCTATGGGCATCCGCCACAGTCATGCCAGGTAACTTGTCAGCCTTAGAGAACTTCACAAGAAGAAAAATCTTCCTTTATATAAACTTACAGGATGTTTTGAAAATTAGACAGAGAGAAATGGTGGACAGATGATAGGCATGTCGATGGACGGTGGATTATAGAAATATGGGTAGGTGGATGGATAGGTGGATGATACAGATATTCAAGTACCAGCACTAGCAAGAAAATACACACGGATTTTTAAATTTTCAATGCTGTGACACTAACAAGACTTTTAGAGAATGAAAATGACATTCTTCAAACTCCCAGAATATGAGTGTCTCTCTAACTCTTTTATCAGTCACACAAGCATAAATGTTTCTTTATTTTACCTGGTTTCTTAGATACAAATAATCTCCATGCCTTAAAAATATTAAATTTATTCTTTATGCATCCACAGTCATTCACTGTAACAAAACTTGGCCTTAAAAATCCTTAGTAATTAAGCACTGAGGAATATACACATCTCAGCACATAAGTAACATTCAAAGCCAACACTTGCTTTCACTGGAAATGCAAAATTAGACATGAACTTGTCACTTACAATCCTTAGATATTTCAAATTACCCTATCCTTGTAATATTTCTCCACTGACTACAAAACAGGTCCTCCAAATGTCTGATTAAAAGTTCTGGCAGGTCAACAGCAGCCTGGCAAAGCCATAAAATGCGTGAAATGAGCTCACTTTGCAGAAGCTGCAGTGTGTTCTGTGTGCCACGGACAATGATCACCACCCGGGCACCCAGCAGTCTCAGCAACTCAGCTCAGCGGATGAATGGGTCAAGTCCTTGCACAATTGCCTGAAATTTGGGGCTGGGCATCATCCTGAGAGCTCACCCACATGCCCAAGAGCCAAGAGTCATCCTGAGAGCCTACCCACGTGCCCAAGAGCGGAGGGTCTACAGCCTCTACCATGTACTAGGGGACTCAGAGAAAAGCACCCCTACGCTCCCCAGTGTGTGTCTCCACTGTTCCTCCAGCCTGTCTTAGAACCTCCACCCCCTACACGCCCTGGTGTGTGTCTGCACTCTCCCACCAGACTGTCTTAGAACCTCTATCCCCGACACAGCCCCGTGTGTGTCTGCACTCTCCCACCAGACTGTCTTAGAACCTGTACCCCCTACACGGCCCCGGGTGTGTCTGCACTCTCCCACCAGACTGTCTTAGAACCTCTACCCCCTACACGCCGTGGTGTGTGTCTCCACTGTTCCTCCAGCCTGTCTTAGAACCTCTACCCCCTACACGCCCTGGTGTGTGTCTGCACTCTCCCACCAGACTGTCTTAGAACCTCTATCCCCGACACAGCCCCGTGTGTGTCTGCACTCTCCCACCAGACTGTCTTAGAACCTGTACCCCCTACACGGCCCCGGGTGTGTCTGCACTCTCCCACCAGACTGTCTTAGAACCTCTACCCCCTACACGCCGTGGTGTGTGTCTCCACTGTTCCTCCAGCCTGTCTTAGAACCTCTACCCCCTACACGCCCTGGTGTGTGTCTCCACTGTTCCTCCAGCCTGTCTTAGAACCTCCACTGCTTACACACCCCGGTGTGTGTCTGCACTCTCCCTCCAGACTGTCTTAGAACCTCTACCCCCTACACACCCTGGTGTGTGTCTGCACTGTTCCTCCAGCCTGTCTTAGAACCTCCACCCGCTACACACCCCGGTATGTATCTGGACTGTCCCTCCAGAGGTTATAAGGAAACTCCATCCCCTATTTCCTCGCATCCATCTCTGGACTTCCAACTTTTCTGGTCCATACAAAACAAGTCTACACAGACATGGTTTTCACACATGTTACCTTTTTCACCTCAATTAGATTTTCAGCCCTTTGAGAGCTGGAGCTGCATTTTCTGTATTCCGCACAGCAGTTGGCAAGAGTCTAATCAATCAATCCAGCTCTCTCAATGCCTTGTTAAGGCTCCTGGGACCCAGCCACAGGATCAGGCACGTTTGGACGCCTTTACTTAGGTCTGTTAGAACTCAGGCTATTCAGATGTGTGAAAAACGGGTGGTTTTCAATGTTTTAGAAACGCAATTGCTGTTGTGACCCCCAGCAAACACGGAACTTCCAAGGACTTTGAAGGGTCTTGCTAACCATCAATTCAGTGAATTACTCACTTCCTCTTGAATGCCTGGGCTGGCAGATTTGTGGTTCTAAAATTGAACGTTAAATCCAGTCACCCTGGCATGTGTTTTCTGACCAAGCCAGTGACCAGGCAGCGCCATCGACTTATTGTCCTCGATGACAATCTTGTCGTTGGCCCTTAGCCCCGCGTATTTAAAAAGTGGCCTATGGAGGCATTGGCTGTACAGTGAGCGTACCTAATGCCACTCAGTCCTACGTGCTGAACTGACCGAAAGGAATATTTACGTATACCTGACACAATAAAAAAAAAAGAAAAAAGTGGCCCTGTGTGGCCTCTGTAACATCTAGTAAGGAATTCTCCCATATTCTCCCTGTGTTCTGAGAGCCCCGAACTCTAAACGAGTGAAGAAATGTGGGTGCACTACCCCGCGGCACCTCTCAAGGCAACTAGGAAATGCGAGTGCA